>NC_000011.10:8544848-8847878 GCF_000001405.40 Homo sapiens | reverse complement strand
ATTCCTTCTTGTGCTTGTCATCTTGTGCATGCTTTGAATCTTTTATTGAAAAATATATTTTTGTATTTTATATCTTTTTCTGATTAGTTTTTTCTGTAGCATCACTTCTGTTTTTATTGCATTCATCAGTTCATTTAGTATGGACCTTACGTTTCTGTTTCTTTTGCAGCCAGCACTTGCGTAGTCTGTTTCATTGCCTTGAGAATCAATATCAGCCATTCTGTAAATTTGATGACAAATATTGAGAGCTTGCTGTGAGGAAGGCATTCCATTACAGGGATTAGCTTTTCTTTTCTTTTCTATCGTTAAGCTTTGTTTTCTTTGACTGCTTATACCCTTTTCCTATATATTCATTCTTCTCTGTTTACTGATCTTTCTTTCATAGTTTCAAACTATTTTATTTGTATTGTATTTACTGAGATTTGTGAGAAATTCTTTTAAATATACTATTGAGATCCCACTTTATGTTCGTTATAAAAGGTAAAGGAATTGAGGTATTTTGAATTTTGTAATGGCGAGTGTAATTAATGATCACCTAATTATAATCCCCCCATTTTAGGAAGTGACTTTGTATAAGGGAAACGAAATTCCAAATTCCCATTTCATTCTTGTTAAGATTAGCTTGAAGGGAGAGCCTCCCATGATGGGAGAATGCTCTCCACTAGAACGTGGTTTGTACCATGTGGGCGTGTCTCTGGAGAGCTGGCTCATTGGTGCTACAGCCTCAGGTAGAGCAGCAGCTGAATGACTGACTCTGGAGAAGTTTCACTGAGTGGTTAGCAAGTGTGAAGCCCTAAGCCAAAGACTATGAAAGACCCAAGAATTCAGAATCCACATGTATATAATGAACCTTTAATTTTGTGAAAGAGATAGACATTTGGATGAGTGGCAGGAGACAGTGTGTGTCCATTGGAACTGTAAGCAAGTAGGTGTCCCGCACAGTAAAGCATTGAGGGGTCACCCTGTGGGACAGGAACATGTCTAAGTCACAAGCCTTATCTTCAGAGAGGCATCAAACACCTACAGCAAAGAGCTAAGGATTAATATCAAAATACAAATGGATCATGGAGCGGTTTAGAAATATTGCAGGCCGCCTCTGGTATAAACAGAGAATGATGAGGGTTTAGAGGTAGAAGAACTGACTATAAGCAGAAGTGTTTGAGGAGGCTGCATGGAGAACAAGGGGCATCATCTTGGCCCTTGGCAGGTTGGCAGGATTTGACTTGGTGAAGAGAACGAGAAAGGGGACTTTAACTGGGAGGACTACTCTGGGGCACAGAGGAGGGAAGCTGTTTTATGAAACCAGGTTCATTTGTTCCCATCTGTAGGTTCTGCCCTGTCCGCAAGCAGCCGCGTCTTGGCTCACTCCTCTTCTCCCCTCCTCCCCATTGTGATGACCATGAGCCTTCTCTTGGAGTGTCTGCCCAGTGGGCCCTTCAGCCTGGGCGCTGCTTTGGTTCGGATGATACTGTCCTCCACTTGTCTTCTTCCAAGGATAGATAGCGCCCTGACCTCTAGGGCCAGCAGCCTGTTGGGGGATCTTCCTTCCAATGTCACCAGCCTTACCAGCTTCTTGAGTATTTATTCCTTCATACCACACTCAGCCTTCTTCTGGCTCCTTGCTACTTGTTCTCTTAGCATAGACACTGTCCCCTCTCCCTTTCCCCAGACATAGGCTTCCAGGTTGCAATTCCATGAGTGTTCATAACAAGCCTCAGCAGTACACTTTAGGTCTTACTGTCCTTATGTCCTCTGGCACGTCCCTGTCTGTGTTGCTCTGTGGACCATGGTTTCCCATCTAGAAACCATTACTTGCAGTGGGGAATGATGCACATGAGGACCTTCGAAGGGCTTGTAGGAGCTGAGGCTGTGGGAATAAAGTGTGGGCCCTGATTCTGAAGGGACTTGATTCAGTCCTGAAGAGAAACCGTGTATTTTTGGTTTCTAGACACTCTGTAATTTATTTAATCAGACCTTTATTGAGCACATTTAGGCTGTCTTCAGTCTCTTTCTGTTAAAATATAACAGTAATTATCCACGAATAAACATAATTTAATGTTAATTTTGATAATGCCACTGTTTTGGTGGGAGAGGCAGATAAGCTAGTAGTCTTCAGACAGGGTATATTTTCTAGATCCTTGACTTTCTATGTCCCCTTTCCAAAGGCTGATCTGTCTGAGAATTCAGTTGCACTCAAGGTGTTTCCTTTCTCAATCACTCTTCTCCCACTTTACAAAAGGAAGACATAGTCATTATTAATCTGGAGTCTTGCTGTTTGTGTGCCTGATGTGTGAAAGCCTCCAGATTAACAAGCAAAGGAACAATTAGGACTATTATTAGGAAAGTGAATGACTGTGAGTAGCAAATCCTTTTCTAAGTCAGATGGTTTCCAATTCTTGCTTTCAACAAAATTGAAGGCATTGTCAGTTGGTAGATAATTAAAAATAATTTTTGATTATAGGTCATGACATGATTTTGACTTGTGATTCTAAAGATACTGATATTGCTATAGCAAAATTTATTTTACTTCTCCCATTCAAGTACTAACGGGGCCTGACCCTGCTTAGCTTTTGAGATCAGACGAGATGGCACATTCAGGGTAGTATGGCTGTAGACTGTCACTTCTGTTTAGTTATTTATGTGAACAAGGTTTCTTGGTGCTTACCACTATAAAAATGAAAAATTAATGCATTTTGAATAAAATTTTACTTTTTATGTTTAATAATAGTACCAATTTCTAAACCAATTATGTTTTGATCATTTGCATATTCAAACAATAAAGATAATGAAAACCCAATCCAGAAGAAGAATTTTTTTTTTAACATTTACAAGTTATAGCCTGGATGTGGTGGCTCACACCTGTAATCTGAACACTTTGGAAAGCCGAGGCAGGAGGATCACTTGAGGCCAGTAATTCGAAACCAGCCTGGGCAACAAAGCAAGACTCTGTTCCTACAAAAATAAAAAATAGAAAGAATTAGCTGAGCAATGTGGTGGGCATCTGTAGTTCTAGCTGCTTGGGAGGCTGAAGCAGGAGGATTGCTTGAGCTCAGGAGTTTGAGGCTGCAGTGAGCTATGATTATGCCACTGCACTCCAGCTTGGGTGATACAGCAAGACCCTGTCTCTAAAAAAAAATAAAATAAATAGAATAAAAAATTGAGGTTATAATCATAGCAGAATTTAAAAATTTATGCATTTATATGTATATATGTATAATACTAATATATATATTGCAGAGAAGTATAGGTTGATCAGTAAAAGATTTTGAAGCATAAATATTAGGATAAAATTCTGAAAACGAAATAAAAGGAAGTAAGAGTTAACAAAAAGGCATAGTATAAAATGTATGTTCTTTTAAATAGATGATCCACTATGGCATTTAGAGTCCATTGGATCATTTAGATTCATTTAAGAGAGTAATGTTGTATTTAATTTAAAAATGTAAATATTTATTTATTTTTAATAAAACATTTTTGTCGAGACAGAGTTCTGCTCTGTCACCCAGGCTGGAATACAGTGGTGCAATCATGGCTCACTGCAGCCTCGATCTCCCGGGCTCAAGCCATCCTCCCACCTAGCCTCCCAAGTAGCTGGGACTGTAGGCATGCACCACCACACTTGGCTAACTTTTCGATTTTTTTGTGGAGCTGAGGTTTCACTATGTTGCCTAGGCTGGTCTTGAACTCCTGAGCTCAAGCCATTCTCCCACCTCAGCCTCCTCAAGTGCTGGGATTACAGGCATGCACCACTGTGCCAGGCCTGTAAATATTTATAAAATGCCAATATTTAGAATATGGCAGAAAGTACGTCTTTACTACTGGTTGTGATGCAAAAATTTAAATATTAAATGTAAGGAGGGTAATATAACATTCTTTTAGGGCACATAAGATAAACAGACATTTACAATGGAGTATGATACAGATGTTTGACCAGAGGAAAGCAAAGAATGTTGAGGAGAAGATGCAAGGGAAGCCCATGGCCAGAGAAAGCAACCAAAGGAGGTGCCGTGGGAGCGGCATCTTGAGGGACTGTTGGAGTTGGCTTAGCAAACAGAGGAGGGAAGCCATTCTGGGAAGAGGGAGTGGTGTGTGCAAAGGGTCTGGAGGTAGAGAATATCAGGATCAACCTTGGGGGAAAGCACAGGGGTGGCATGAGCAGGATGGTGATTTACGGCAGCCAGACAGCGTATTATTTGTGACAGGATTTGTGTATTCCGTATGAGAGGAGGGCTTGGAAAGGAGAGGCGGTGGTGGGGCTGGAGATCTGTGGAGGTAGCTGTTGCCAAGGGCCAGGCATGAGCAAGTGAGGCCAAGAATGACCCCTGAAGGGGTGCTTCCTTCCCAGTGACTGTTTTCCATCTTAGTAATCTTCTGGACATTTTTACAAATGCAGAGATTCTTATTTACATTCTGCTAGAGGAAGAAATTGAGGCCCACTGAGAGTCTGTTCCTCTTGCAGGTTTTGTACTTAGTAGCAATGGGCTGATTGGGCTTAGTGCTGCAGCCTAAGGTTCCACATTGGCCACATGCTCAATTAGGGCCTTTAGCTTGTTATTAAGACGAGTGACTCCGGCCGGGCACGGTGGCTCGCGCCTGTAATCCCTGCACTTTGGGAGGCCGAGGTGGGCGAATCACCTGAGGTCAGGAGTTCGAGACCAACATGGTGAAACCCCGTCTCTACAAAAAATACAAAAATTAGCCAGGCGTGGTGGCACTTGCCTGTAATCCCAGCCCCTCAGGAGGCTGAGGCAGGAGAATTGCTTGAACCCGGGAGGCGGATGTTGCAGTGAGCCGAGATCGCGCCACTGCACTCCAGCCTGGGTGACAGAGTGAGACTGCATTTCAAAAAAAAAAGAGAGAAAAGAAGAGCAACTCTAATTTTGGAGCCAAAATTTGAGATCCTTAGGCCAGTACAGGATTTTTGTCCTGATTTTTGAATTTGCTTACATGAGAAGCCTTTACAGAGTCCTAAACATTAAATCAAACTGAATGTATGCATTTACGAAATCACCCTTACTGTAAAGAATTTAACTGTATAAACTCTTTGGTCTCAGGAAAGGTAGCACGTGTGACACTTTTCTGGTACAGGGAATTACAGGGAATTCTTTGTCTTTCATGATGTCTCCATCATGAAATAAGTGAAATAAGACTTTAAATAAGTGAAAGACTTGAAATAAGTGCAGTGAAATAAGACTGTGAGCAGTCCCAAAAAATATTTATGACAATTTTTTTCCCATTTGGAACATTTGTTTAGCACAGTGATAGAGACCTGATGTGGTGTTTGCGCAGGGCAGATTGAATGCACTCCAAAAGGAAACCATAAAGGGTCGAGTCGATACCACACAGAAACACGAGGTGGTGGGATGAGTGGTTTTTCCACATTTTAATATTTTCCAGGATGACACTGAAAGCCTTACCCTTAGAGAACCCTGAGCCACCTAATAATTCATAACTCCAGACTCTTGAGAGGGAGAAATGGAGGTTTATACCATTAAATAGATGTTCTGGGCCTTTCCTAAGAGAGGCTGGAAAGAAATTGAGGGCAGTCATCGGAATGTGACCAGCACAGCAAGGTAAGGGACACTGCACGACTTTGATTCCTTGTGGAACAATGTCTTCTTAATATCAGTATTTCCAGCTCCCTGTTTTTAAAAAAGTCTCTAAAAAGCCTATCTTTTTTGGGAGGACAGGAGAGAAACCTGTCAAGGAAGTAATGAGTCAGCACCGGGGACCTACTATGTGCCGTTCACAACTTGATACTTTCGTGAACGGATTGTCTCAGAGAGGAGGAAATCATGACTCAGAGAAATTATGTAAATCACTGAAGATCCAGGATTTGAACTTTGGTTCATTTGATTGCAGATTTCTTTCTACTACTTTGTGATGCCGCCTTGTGCTGAAATCGTGGAGAATGGGGGATACTCTGGATTGAACTGGGGAACTCATGGTATCCAGCTAACTGGCCTGAAAACCCAAGTACCCTTGATCTGGAGGTGTTTGGGGAGAGGAAGAATGATGGTTAGAATAGAGGAATCGAGGAGAGAGACATCAGGAGTTGCTCAGACTGTTTCCGTTTCATGGAAAGGGAATTTTGTGCCATGTCATGTAGTCCATGGTGGTGGTTCGGAAGAAGTGGGTCCTGAATTCATCTGCTACCAGTTACCCAATGAAGGAAAATGGGAGAAATGTGGCATATGGGATTTTACAAAACACGTTTTTCTTTTATTTTGAGACATGGCCTTACTCTGTCACCTAGGCTGGAGTGCAGTGGTACAGTCATAACTCACTGCAGCCTCGACCGCCCAGGCTCAAGCAATCCTCCTGCCTCAGCCTCCTGAGTAGCTGGGAATACAGGTGTGTGCCACCATGCCTGGATAGTTTTTTAAATATTTAGATTTTTTTTGTAGAGATGAGGTCCCACTATGCTGCTCAGGCTGGTCTCGAACTCCTGAGCTCAAGCGATCCTCCAAGCTTGGTCTCCCAGAGTGCTGGGATTACAGGCGTGAGGCACCTGGCTTCACAAAAACACACGTTTTGTTTGTTTGTTTGTTTGTTTCTTAATTTGGACCAATATAGGAAAAATTTTAAATTTTTTTTTTAGGCAAAGGGACTAAAAACAAAAACCTCAAATCTATTATCATCTTCACAACATATAAGAAGAGACATTTGCAAATCAAAATAATAAATAAATTAAAAACAAGTCAAGAAAATGGGCTAATAAGACAGCAAAGAAAGAACCTTCCACTTGTCTATTATATAGTTAGGTTAGATTTAAGATGTTTGAATCATGGAAAATGACAGCGTAAGTTTCTTGATATTTGTCAGTTTGGGAATTTTTATTTAGTAGTGCAACATTAAGAGAAGTTTGACTGTCCAGCTTGTTTCATGCCTTTTTCTTTTAAAATCACAGTTACTGTTGGGAGTCCATTTTGACAGATTTTGATGAAAACAGTATCAACAAGCATTGTAATTTCACTCAATATGGAATATTCTGGTGGATGGCAAAAGGGGAGTGAGAACAGTTCTTAGGCTTTCAGTTCCGTGGCCAGGCCAGGAAGAAAGCAGGAGTAGCAGCTCCTGTGTGTGACTGGTGAGGGCTGCAGGAAGGGGCTGCAAGGACCTGTCTGCCAGTGCTTCCTATGTGGGGTGGGGCTGGATACTGCACAGCACCCTTCCTGCCCAATATGGAACGGGTAGGAGTCTTACTTGAGAGGGATGCTGTGGATGGTAAAAACTTTCATCTTGGCCGGGACTGATATTTAGGAGAGCCCCTCTTGTAAAGGAATTATCCTGTTTGGTTCTCCAAAAAGAGATCTACAGGAGAAGGCACAGACAAAGGCCCCATTGTTTTCTCCAGGGCAGCTGTTCATTGCGTTGGTGCTGGGAGGGGTGTGGGAAGCTTGCCCGACTCAGGCCTAGGTGCTCAGATGTGGGAGTGGTCCTGCCGTTCAGCCCTATTATTTTCTTCTGAGCCTTTCTTGTGGGGTCTTTTTGCAAACTGCATTTTCCTCCAAGCAGCAGAATCTTAGCTTCACCTTTTTTGTGGTCTTGGTGCCCTGGAATTTTGGTGAATGCTGAGTGCCTGGGAACAGAAAAGCCTGAAAGCACCTTGGGAACTCCCCAAGTCCCCTCTCTTTTGTCCAAGAGAATACCTACTTCTGCCTTTCCAGGGGCTGTGCTGGGGGAAGTGTGTGTGTTGGCCTCTCTGGAGAAGGGCATGCTGGCTTCCCTGGCCTGTTTACATTAGTCTCATTCTCGCTGCCCTTGATTACAAATGAGGCATTGGGCGGGGGATTTCCCTGCTTCCAGGGAGGTCACTCCTTCCTTTTGTCTGTGCTCTCAATTTTTCCACCTGGGGAAGAGCTGCCTTGAAAAAAAACCCCAAAACTCCCCTTAGCTTAACTCCTTGTCTCATAGACTGTCCAGTAAGTGGATCAGTTCATAATCAGGAAGCAATTCATCTGTCTCCTGAAATTCCCTTCCCCTGGGTTCTCTTAGTCCTTTTCTCATTCTCCTGTCTCTGCTGTAGTTATCAGCACTCCTTCCTAACAAAACAGTGTTCCCAACCCAGAGTCTGGTCTGCTCCTGGGTGCTTCTTGAGCTGAGGTGTTGATGCAAGGGTTCTGGACCTTAGGAATGTGTGTCCTGGCACTTTGAGTAGAATGGAAACCCTTTGAGGTTAAGAGCTCCAGGTTTTTTCCTTCCCTCTTCCCCACTCTGTATGTAATGCTTGTGAGAGGACAGGAGGGGTCACTGGGGAGGGGGACCACTGGTGGCCCAGTTTGCTGGTGTGGTCACCTCAGAAGTGAGGGAAAGCCTGTTGCCCTGAGCATGGGTAGAAAGCTGGCCTCAGACCCCTTTGCTCTTCTGTGGAACTCCCCGCCCACCTTTCTTGTTCAGTTGAACAGTGTCAATATCAGAGCCTCTAATACAATTAAGGGATCCTATTTGAAGCCCTTTCTTAAAGGTTATTGGAAAGTGTAAGTGAATTTTACTTGGTGGTAACAACCTTTCCACTCTTTTCACAGATTTCACACCCTTTGGAGAGTTTCTTTCTTGGATAATTCAGGTAGGTTTTTACCTTTTGTTTTTTAAATCAGTGGATCTAGTTCCATACAGTGACTTCTTCAGTTCCCCCGGCAAAGATCCTTGTTCGGGTCCCTTGAATTTCCTTCTGATTCCACTGATGATGCTCCTGGTTTCCCAGGGCTTCCATCTCATTCTCATAGATTCCTGTGTACCTTATCATGTTGCAAGCTTTATTCTAGCTTCTGTTAGGCCAAATTAGTATCCATTCTCTTTCTCTCTTCCTCCTTTTTTCTTCACTGGAAAGTTAATGTTTTGCCTTTGGGCTTTTTTTCTAAGCCAGGTTTCAGTTCAGACCTTGGTGCTGGGAGTAGGCTTGGATTCCTGTGTTATGTTGCTTCAGCATACATCTGTGTTGTAGGCCTAAGAATGGTCATTGCTTCTATGTTGCTCTGAGATTTTAGCTCCATATCCTTTTGATCAAGCTTTGTGTTGGTGAGCACTTTTTGTGTCCTTTAAGAATTCCTTTCCCGCCCCAAGGTCATGAAGATAGTCCTCCTAAGTTTTCCGTAAATGCTTTCCCTCTTAGATAACATTCCCATTTAGACCTACAATCCTATCTTTAGATCTCAACCACTTTTAAAACTCGGATTCCTTTGTTCCCAGCTTGTCCTCAGTTTAGGATTGCATTTTTCCTCTTTTGTCACCCATCTGCTGGCCTTTGCAGTGGTCTCTTCGATTTCCCTCTGTGCTGTGCCTACCCAACTCCCACAGTTTTCCTCTCTGGCATAGGTCACAGAGGAAATATTTAGTTAGTCCCTGCCAAACATTCTGGCTGTGTTGTTTTGCTTAAAAAGACATGCAGTAAACTGTTTTGATTCTTGGTCGTGGTGCTGTAGGGCAGATGTTTCTCCTATAACGGAGGTGTTGTGGTCAGTTGGAAGGAGCGGTGGACGTGAGTTCGGAGAATTGGATTCTAATCCCTGCAGTGTTACTAGTTTGTGGTGGGATCTTGCGCAAGGCACATTTGTATGTCTGAATTTCCTTTTGTTAGAGGGGAACTTATTTCATGGTGAAGAAGACAGGACTCTGTGGGTATGAGATAGGAATCTAAAGAGTAAGCCTGGGAGATCCAGGAAAGACTAGACAGGCAAGAGGCAGAGAACCATTAGTGTGAGCATCCTTAGTGGAACTGGAAGGGAACTCAGATGACTCCAAACAGATAAAAGTAATATATGTAGTCACTTTGAAAAAGTATAAAACGTGGTAAGAAAAACTGATGGAAATTCTCTGACGAGGATAACTTAAGGAGATAACTGCCTGTCCATGCCTCGGCTTGCTGTGGGTCCACACGTGTTTGCTGTCACCCTTGGGATGTGGGAGGCTTAGCCTTCTGCGGGTTCAGTTCCAGAATTCTTCTTCCCACCTTCCACCTCCTTCATAAACTCAGGAATATTTGAAACTCAGCCCAGATCTTCACCTGGCTTTGATTTCTCCATCATGCGGAGATTGGTCCTTGGAAGTTGTAGCTTCCAGAGACCTTCGATGTTTGCTAACATGTCCAAGCTCTACATTTATTGATTGTTGGTTCTGTTCATGGCTATGTTCAAATTCTTGTACCCTGAGGGTGGTATGATTTGGTTCCAGCAAGGAAGGGGAGGGTATTTGGGGGACCCTATCATCAAGAACTAAGAAATAAAGGGAAACGGCTGGATGTGGTGACTCACGCCTGTAATCCCAGCACTTTCGGAGGCTGAGGTGGGCAGATCACAAGGTCAGGAGTTCGAGACCAGCCTGGCCAACAGAATGACACCCCATCTCTACTAAAAATACAAAAATTAGCCGGGCATGGTGGCGGGCGCCTGTATTCCCAGCTACTCAGGAGGCTGAGGCAGGAGAATCACTTGAACCTGGGAGGTGGAGGTTGTGGTGAGCCCAGGTCGTGCCACTGCACTCCAGCCTGGACAACAGAGCGAGACTCCATCTCAAAAAGAAAAATAAAGGGAAACAACTGAGTAGGTGTCCTCTTGGTGTTCCTGAGAGGCAGGCCTTTGAAGAAGAAACAAAATGGTTTAACTTCTGCCTATGTAATCCCCATCCCTCCTCCCCAAATACACTTACTCAGACAGAGCTACATTTCTTCCTTATCCCTGTACCCTTCTGAAATGACTGAGATTTAATCAGATCTTGCATAGTTTAGACTTTTTTTTTTGTTCCAGTTAAAGATTTGCATTGGCTTCTTCCAGTACAGAATGAGTTGGACAAAGACAATCTCCAAAGTATTTTGCTGTTCTGTGGTCCTTTGTCGGGCAGAAATTCTCCTAAAGAAGTACTGAGGGCCGGGCATGGTGGCCCACGCCTGTAATCCCAGCACTTCGGGAGGCTAAGACAGACAGATCACTTGATCCCAGGAGTTCCAGACCAGTCTGGGCAACATGGTGAAACCCCAGCTCTATAAGAAATACGAAAATTAGCCAGGTGTGGTGGTGTGTGCCTGTAGTCCCATCCACTCGGGAGGCTGAAGTGGGAGGACCACCTGAGCCCAGGGAGGTCGAGACTGCAGTGAGCTGAGATCGTGCCACTGCACTCCAGCCTGGGTGACAGAGTGAGACCCTGTCTCAAAAACAACAAAGTAGCCGGGCGCGGTGGGTCACACCTATAATCCAGCACTTTGGGAGGCTGAGGCGGGTGGATCATGAGGTCAGGAGTTTGAGACCAGGCTGGCCAACATGGTGAAACTTCATCTCAACTAAAAATACAAAAATTAGCCGGGTATGGTGGCGAATGCCTGTAATCACAGCTACTTGGGAGGCTGAGACAGGAGAATCGTTTGAACCTGGCAGGCGGAGGTTGCAGTGAGCTGAGATTGCACCACTGCACTCCAGCCTGGGCGACAGAGCAAGACTCCGTCTCAGAAAAAAAAAAAAAAAAAAAAAAAAGAAGTACAGAAGGATGCTTGTCTTTGCAGGGTTAGTGATGAGGATGAGGACCCATGCTCACTGTTGCTGTGCCCAACCCTGGGAGGCTCTCAGGCTGCTGAAACTTGCTAGAGAAAGTTGTGGAGCTAAGTAGAATATTTCTGGGCAGAAGAGCTCCATAATTGATTCTGTATACTTTCAAGTAGGACTTCTCTGTTATTTTGCAATTTTTTTTTTTTTTTTGTATTTTTAGTAGAGACGGGGTTTCACTGTGTTAGCCAGGCTGGTCTCCAAATTCTGACCTCCTGATCCACCAACCTCGGCCTCCCAAAGTGCTGGGATTACAGGCATGAGTCACCATCCCCGGCCCTATATTCACCATGTTTTTATGTATTCCATAAGCCCTAACTCCACTGTGACCTACATCCCCGATGAGGATGCCTCCTACTTTCCTGAGACTGTTAGAGCTAGGTGACATAGAACTCTGGGGTAGTTTATTTTCTTTAGATAGATCGGTACTCAGCCAGCCAGCTCAGGAGAACAGGCAGTGAGCATTCCCCGTAGGCTCTGTAGACGTGTTCCTTGCGAATGCCAACGATGTCTGGTTGAAGTAATAGTTTGATCTGGGGCTGGATAAGAGTTGTGAGCCTGTGTCTGGCATTTGGTATTTTCCCCCATTCTTTGATCTTAAGTTGTCCTAGGCAGGTGATCCAACTGGTATCTGTCACATAATATCCAGTGCGTCCTCCCTGGCACTCCGATTCTCAGTAGTCATGAACCAGCTGGCTTCTATATCTCTCACCAATCACAGGTAATTTAGGTCTCCCTCAGGTAAGTGTTCTTCAGATCCTACTCACATCCTCTTTAATCCCCATCTTTCCTTCTCTTTCTGTCCTTATGATTTTGCTTAATTGCCTCCCAAAAAACCCTCCTTATCCCCTTTCCTTTTTGCCTGTGGGATAAAAGCTAGCTTTGATCATAGCTGGTAAAGTGTGAAACCAAGAATACTTCTGAAAGGACAGTCAGACATTTGGGAATGAAAGTAGACGGTTTGAAGTATCAGTGCCATCACTATTGTTCTTGAGAATGCTTTTAAAGATTCCCCCCAGATATCCATCTTTTAATTAACCTGCCCTTCTTCCAGGACCACAATTTGAAACACGTAAAAATTATTATTTATTTGTTTGTTTGGAGACAGAGTCTTGCTGTGTTGCCCAGGCTAGAGTGTGGTGGCGCGATCTCAGCTCACTGCAGCCTCCACCCTCTGGGCTCAAGCAATTCTCCCACTTCAGCCTCCCGAGTAGCTGGGACCACAGGCACACACCGCCATGCCCGGCTAATTTTTGTATTTTTGTAGAGATAGGTTTTGCCATGTTGCCCAGGCTGGTCTTGAATTCCTGGGCTCAATTGATCCGCCCACCTTGGCCTCCCAAAGTGATGAGATTACAGGTGTGAGCCACCGTGCCTGGCCAAAAATGATATAATTTTATTCCTCTTACATTTTGTTTTATTGCTAGTATTTACAGAGGTATTGTTTTGTGTCTTTATTATGTATAAACAGTATTTCAGCCATGTTGTTCATTAATGAGCTTGTCTGCGCATCTGGCTACCATGTCTGGTGTTGTTTCTGTGGAAAACTGTCTTCAACCTATAAAGGGCGACTGCCTGAAAAAGGAGCTTTTAGTGAAAACACAGTCTGTTCACCCTCTGGCCCCTGCTGGTGAAGTTGCTCTAGAAGAGACTGACTCTGTTCCCATTGCATGAAGAGGAAGAAAAGTGCTTCCAAGGGCTTCCGGGAGCAGGTCAGGAAAGCTAGGTCTGTTTTCTTCAGTCTCGGCTAGAGGAGCTGGAATGTGCCATGCCTAACTTTGCCTAAGCTCTTTTCTTTTTCGCACTGTGTGTCACACTGGGAAAAACTTGAGCTTAAAACCCAATGAAATTCTCCCACTTTGAAAATCATGATGTAATTATGACAGGATCGCATTCTTTAAACTTACTGTTTAGTGGGGTTAGTGGAGTTATCTCCTCTGATTTTTGACAAGGAAATAATACATTCTTGTTGCAATGCTGTATCAGGTCTTAGGATGGAAAGCGTCTAATTTAAAGCTACAGACCTTTCCTGTAGGACGCATATGCTGCTAATCTATGAAAACTGAAGATGTCCCAGTGCACTGTGTGTAAACTGCAGCATCTCCTTGTGGAATGAACAGTTCAGGAAAATAGAATGACTTTCCAAACTGTACTAGGTTCCAGGTGACTGAAAATTTCCTGTGAGGGTGGGAAAGCTTATCCAGATGTTCTTGCTTGGGGATCAGCATGTGTCATCCCGTTCCAAAGAAGTACAGTCACAGCTGATTTTATCTTTGTCCTTCTTTCTGTGGTGCCCAGGGATGCTCTTTTTGAGTTCATCTTTGGTCTTGTCTCTCTGAAAAAAGCAGCATGCATTTTGATCTAGGTTTAAACAGTTAAAATCTGTGGCCACAGGGTAAGGTGAAACTAATGGCTCTAAGTAGCCAACTTTTTACCTTTGCTTCACTGGCACCAGGCTGTGAGTAACTGAACTAACCAGCTGCAGACCCTTATTATGCAATTTTGAGGTAAGGATGGGTGAAATCCTAGGGGCTGGGAGACAGACATGTTTGGCTACCAGAGAGATGACATCAGTTCATTTACTGGTGCTGTGGAGGAAGGGGAGATTCCAGGTGCTTAGCCTTCTTCCTGCATGTGGGGGTGTCCAGAGCCACCCTTAATCCTATTCGCAGCCAAGGTCTTTGCTTGGGAAAAACCATATTTAACTCTGTGCCTCCTGTTATCCCCATAGGGACATGAAGTTGGAAGGGTTCTTGTATCTTTGGCTTCCCGAACAAAGCTTTGAAGAACAGACGTGTGTCTATATGTGTCTCTGTGTGTATTTTGTATTAATGCTAGCAACTGATTAAGGTTTTCAGAGTCCAGGTCGTATATGAGAAGGGGAAGTGTCATCTGGATTTTATGGAATCTGTATTAGGAATTGCCCTTTCCTTGCAAAGGAAACAGTTAATGATGTAATCCACTTTTAAATTAAAATTATTTTATTATTTTATTTTGATATCCTTCACGTGGACACTTAGTATATAACAGGAAGGCATCTTTAATAACTCTTTCTGTGTTCTGCTCCTTCTCCTGTGCTTATCCTAGAACAGAGCCTTACAGGGTCATAATTTGGAGGAAGCACAGGCTTCTGGGAGCTGTGGTACTAACAGTAGGACTAAAAAAAGCCTTATGACCTCTGAAGCATGACTGAGAGAATCAAGCTGGGAGGCATTAGAGCCCATCTGCTCACCAGCTTTGCTGGCCTGTCAGATGTTGGGCTTCCCCTCCGGTTTGCCCTCCTCCCTCAAGATGTGTTAGAAAATGAAGCCTGCTTCCTGGAAAGCAGGTGACGCCAAAGCCTATGCTAAGAGGATCCGACCTCACATCTGCGTGCCTGCCTTGGGCTCCCCTGTGACTGGATTGCTTCGGGTCTCCCTAAGACCCTTGCTGACATTCAAGTGCAGCCGCTGCTTACTGGAAGCCGTCTGGGGCCAGCCCAGGCTTGTTCTGTCAGGGCCTCTTCCCACCACTGTGTCCTCGCCTCCTGTGGGCTTTCACATACAAGGGCCTCACCATCCCTGAATTGCCAGAATCCTTGTTGTGAGAACCCAGTGCCTCCCAGTCAGGGCCCAGGAAGCTGTGGGTAAGCTCTTGGTTTCCTTCTCGGCCAGACACTTCTGGGAAACTATCTGCATTCCTTTCTGCCCAACTCTGCCTCTGGGCTCTGGGGCTGTGTGGGGTGTGGCTGCCTCATGCCTCTGTGAGGAGGAATGCTAGTTCCACTGAGACCAGCCATGGAAGGTAACCAGGAGTTTGAAGGTGGAATTCCCTTTTCTTGCAGTCCTAGAGCCAGGAGCTAGCTTTTCATGGATTGTGATGAGGTGTTGGTTCTTTTTTTTTTTTTTTTTTTTGGAGACAGAGTCTCGCTCTGTTGCCAGGCTGGAGTGCAATGGCACAATCTCGGCCCACAGCAACCTCCGCCTCCCCGGTCCAAGCAATTCTCCTGCCTCAACCTCCCGAGTAGCTGGGACTACAAGTGTGCACCACCATGCCCAGCTAATTTTTGTATTTTGTACTAGAGACGGGGTTTCACCGTGTTGGCCAGGATGGTCTTGATCTCTTGACCTTGTGATCCGCCCACCTCGGCTTCCAATAGTGCTGGGATTACAGGCGTGAGCCACTGTGCCTGGCCGAGGTGTTGGTTCTTTTAAAAATTTTCCAACTTGCTTTCCTGTCTCGCTGTCACTCTGGAAGGCGGGGGTGAGGGGTAGGAGGAGAGACAGTCGGCTCAGTCGGCTGTGATCCATCTTTGGCACTGGAGATGGGTGTGGCAGATACCTTTTGTGAGGAAGGAGCTTAGAGGCAGATGAGAGAATCTGCCTCTTGGTCTTGGTATAACTGGACGTCTCCCCAGTCTGGCTCTGTTGACACTCTGAATGGTTTGTGAAGGCATCCTCTGGCCCCTGAAGGCATTACCATCCTTACCAGGTTTAAAATCTTTCAGAGTGCACCCAGCATCATCAGCTCCTGCAAGCAGAAAGGGCCCAAGGGAGCATGAACACACACTGGGTAGAAGTTAAGCCTGGTTTTTTAAAATTTAAGTTTAAATTTTTAATTATTTAGGGAGTGAATCCTACAGAATTTAATTTTTCCATCTTTTTTTTATGGAGACAGGGTCTTGCTGTGTTGCTCGGGCTGCTCTTGAACTCCTGGGCTCAAACAGTCCTCTTGCCTCAGCCTCCCAACGTGCTGGGATTACGGGAGCAAGCCACCCCACTGTGTGCAGCCCAGAAGTTGAGCCTGAGAGGTAGGCTTATTGCCCTGTGTCTACCCAAGGGTGTGTGTGTGTGTCTGGAAGTGGAGATTAGGAGTGAATGCATCTTATAAACAGGAGAAGATCTGGAGAGACGATGGTGGGGGCTGGCTGTGGGGAGCACAAAAGCTGGGACTTTTGCAGAGGTGTATTTGCTCCCGAGTGGCCAGAAGCCAGGAGTAGTGGGGAAGGTGGGTTTAGGCATGCTAGGTTATGCTTGCATTGCTGAGTACCTTGGGTGTGATGGCCAGGAATGCTTTCCTCTGGGAATTGGGCCGATCTCCTGACAATCCTCCCCATTTTACACCCATTACATACTTATGTGATTCTTACCTATCAGGGAGGTCTTGGGGTCATGTGTTGTGGGGCAGAGGCTCTGAGTCTAAGAATGGGCTGGTCAGCCAGGGGCTCCACCTCCCAGTTTGTTGGCTTCCTCAAGGATGCCATCCTTCTTTGCAGCTGCCAATCTTCACTGGTGTCTGTGCCCTGGCAGGGTATAGAGCCCTTCTCATGGGTGCTCTGCCTCTTTGGGGGCTTGAGAACAGATGGGGCTTAATTTGAAGCAGATTTCCCTCCAGGGCCCAGGTATGAAATATATATTAGAAGATGACTACTGGTCTTGGCTTTTCTTTCTTATGTGTCTCTTTCTTCCTTTTATCTTCCCACTACTGTCAGGCACTGTGAGCAGCTGTTGCTATCACACGGGCGGATCAGAACATGAAGAATGGAGCTAAATAGAGCTGTCTGCATGCTGTTCTGATGGGCTCAGGCTCAGCCTCAGAGAATAGGTGGATTGGAGCCTGTGATGGGGGCTCTTTCCCCCACCAGAGTGGGTGAAAGCAGGGAGGAACAGGCGGGAAGATACTTTAGGAGTTGGGAGGGTATTAATTCCACCTCTTCTCTCCTTCCTCTGTACCCCAACATTCCCTGTGAGTTGTCAAGGGCTGGAGAGATAACAAAGATCTTTCTTTCCACCATCAGGCAGTAAGGCAATGCAGCCCTCGCTGAATTTTCAGCTCCACTGACATTGTGATGCAAATATTAAATAAAGCTTATTTTCTGACCTGAGGGAATTTATAAGCTATTGGGAGAGACAGTGTTTGTTAAACAAGTAGAGAATATCCAAGATCTTAACTGTGTTGGTTTACGAACCATGGATACATTTATAGTTCAGAACAAGAAAGTTGTATCTTAAAACCACAGAAAACTTTCCTTGGAGGAGGCAGGATTTTTCTGGTCTTTAAAGTTGGGTCAACTTTATAAGGAAAGGAGAGATGTTCACTCCAGTGTCACGGCGATGATCTACCTTGGAGGGGTAGGTGTGGCAGAGCAGAGCCAGGGACCTGAGCTCTGGAAGTCCTGCCATTACATAGGTGATGTGAAGTGATGCAGTGAAGGTGGAGTTTTGTGGAAATCTCTCCTGTAGATCGATGAAAATAGGATAATTTTGGAGAGGCCAGAGAAAGGCAGTGAGGAGGCCTGCTAAAGGACCTGGCAGGTCAGCAACAGGAGAGAGGAAGGGGGCGAGTCCTAGAGAATATTCCAGAGTAGATGAGGCAGGACTGACATGAAGGATGAACTTGAGGGGCAAGACGGAAGACACCAACGTTTCTGACCTGTGAGAGCTAACCAATACTGACACGTTCTGTTTGTGAAGTACTTGGACTTTTCAAAGCACTTTTTCATTCAGCAGAGCATTGTCTGGGCTCTTAGAGTTCATCTAGTCTGGCTCTGTTTTATAGAAGGGGAGATTGGGGACGAAAGGGGAAGCGACTGTTCCCAGCACACACAGCTATTTAGTGGTGGGGCGGGACCCGTGATATAGGCCTCTCCCTCCTAAGACAATTTTAAGACAACAGCAGCATGGAAGAGAGTGTGGGCTTCGCAGGAAGTCCGTCTGGCTGGATAACATTAGGTGATAAACCAATCTCTGAGAGCTGAGAGAAACTTACTCAGAAGCATTCAGACCATATCAATGGTTCAGCTCCTCAGAATTGTTTTTGAGAACCACAGAGAAGGAAGATGGACTCCTTGGGTCCTTCTAGTTCTCAGATTCATAGGAGTGCACAAAAATAATGTATATGAATAGTACTGAATGGGGCTCCCCGGAGACTGGCGGGTCTCCAGTGTGGTGCCTTTCTAAGGGAATTTTCAAGATAACTTGACTCCACATGATTTTTGCCTTGTGCTGACCACGGAAGCTGACTGCAAAGACACCACTGCTGAATTGCGCTGTGGCCAGTCATCACCACAGCCAGGGGCTCAGCATTGCAGTGACGGCTCTGATGTGTCACCCACTCCTCTCCCACCTCCTCTTACAACATATGCTGCACATGCACATGCACACACATACCACACACACAAACACCACACACACCACACATACTACACACCACACACACACCACACATATGCACACACACCACATGCACAAAAGCACACCACATACCCACACCACACACACAAACACACCATACACACCACACCACACACACCACACACAAACACACCATACACACACACGCACAACACACTCCACACATACTACACACACACCACACACATGCACACCACACACACACCCACACACACACCCCACACACACACACTTTCTCCTCCCTTCCCTGCCTCCCTCCTTCCTTTCATCTTACTTTTTGTCCTCCACAGTTTCTTGTCTCATCCCTGTCTTCCACCTCTGCTCCCCGCTCTTGTCTGGTCTAATTAACTTCCTCTGTTGGAGCAGCTTCCCCTCTTGGGTAAACTCAGACATGACCGCAGCAAAGCAGCGTGGAATCTTCTGTTTGGTCAGTGTTCCCTGAAATGGTGGTGGCACTCAGCCATCCGGGTCAGAAGCTGGAGTCCTTCTGGAGCTTTGCTCACCTCTGCAGCTGGTCACCTCCGAGTCCTTGTTTCCTATTAAAAGAGTGCTCGGTCCGCCCTGCTTGTCCCCATTCTCACCACCCCACATGGCAGGAGAGGAAGCAGAGAGGGATCATGGTGGAAGAAAGGAACGCAGAGATGAGGGTCCCCTTTGGTGTCCTTGAAAGCAGTGACCCCTCACAGAGTGGGTTCTTGTGGTCTGCGTCCTGACCCCCAGCTTCCCCGCAGATACAGCTGCATTGGAGCCCCTGAAGACAAACCAGAGAAGTGCTGCATCCTGGGGGGCAGGAGGCTTTGCTTTGCCCAGGGCTGGGCTCCTGAATGAATTTTGGTGCAGCCTTAACGGCCGAGTTGTGCTGTTGAAGGTGCACTGCTCTGTGTCCAGGCACTTCTGGAAGAGGAAGTCAAGGTCATGAGGCTGAATTAGGCTTTGTGTGCTCCTTCTAGGTTCTCAGCGTCTGTCTGGTCCTTTACTTGCTTTAGATCTCTGCCCCAGCCACTGTAGGCAGGAACAGCTCTCTTCCTTGAGAACTCAAGAGGTTCTCAAGGTAGTAAACTTCATGGTGCTCTTAGTTTAGTCTGAATGGCCTTGGCCTTGGGGTCCATCCCAAGTTCCATAGCCAGCAGTTGGGTCCATGTCTCACATTTTTGTCCCTGTCTCCTCCACACAACATTGCCACAGTCCACCCCCGTTCCCCCTCCCCACCTCCAGTCTGGTGCAATAGGGATTTAAGGAGGAAATGGATTACCTGGATAGTAGAGGAAGGAAGTTTGTGGCTGGCAAATTGTTATTTTATTTGGAAAGTCTATCCCATTCTCTCCCAACCCTCAGAGCATAAGGTGAAGTCAGATGTCGTTGAGCTGTCTCTCTTCCTAGCCATCTTGGATAAAACAGAGGTACAGGGTTCACCCTTCAGAAGCTTGCTGAGACAGTCTTATTTACTAAAACAACAACAAAACAAAAAACACTTCAAGCCCCCAAATCCCAACCACATAAGTCTCTAAGCCTCTGACAACTCTCGCATCTCTCTGGGTCTTGGACCCTCTGTGACAAAGCAGTGGTAACTTGGTAACTGTCTTGGGAGCACGCAGAGAGAGTCAAGCCTCATCTTGCCAAATTTTCCCAGAGTATGCACCCCTTCTTCATCTCCTCTGGGCCTTTACCTTAGAAGAGCTGTGTCATGCATTACTGATGGCAGAGGCTGTCTGCATTGGAGATGAGTGGCTATAATCTTTCATCACCTTCAGGAGAACTGTGAAATCGTTGACTTCCTTTATCTGCTCGGGTTTGAGATGAGCTAGCATCTACCAGTTTTAGCCTCTGGAGTCCCATGGCCTTGTAAGAAGGGAGTGTTCTGCTGGCACTAGCTGTGCGGGGGACAGTAGTCCTTGACCCTTTGTTCTTTTCACTCTGCCTTCCTCCTCTCAGTCGTTCACAGCTCAGCCAACCAGCTAAGTGGGGTGTAGGCAGATGTATCACCCCAGGGTAAGGAGCCCCAGACAGGGAGGGAATAAAGGCTTTCTGAATTCTTTCTTTCCTGCAAATTCAAAAGGCTAAGTGGTGCTCAAGTATGTTCCCTGACATCCCTGGGAGTAATGCTCAGGAATTCCCCCAAATTTGCCACTCTGAGACTTCCAAACAAGCTTCCTCCTGTTTCTGTCCTTCAAGATCTTAAATTGCTTTCTACTCTCCCCGTTCCCTCCACATTCCTCTGCTTTTCCTTTCATCATCTCCCTCATCTTCCCTTCCTTGAATCGTGGGGTCTAATTGATTTCTCTATCACACAGGTTGTTCAATGTTGATCTCTAAGTGAATGAACATTCATAAGGACCTCTTTTTACACAAAGGCAAACTAGCTCTCTTCCGCAGAAACATAGGATGGGCCCAGTGCATGTCTTGTTAGATAAGGAGCTAATCATTGCATAGATTAGGAACTTCTAAGTTCTTAACCTTGGGGAAAAAGAAGATAGTTTAAAAAATGGCATCTTCTCCTGTAGGATGTTGACGTTTATTTAGTATGACTCATCTGTAGATCAGGGCCGCCTTCCATGTTCCTAGGATAAGAACCGGATGTTGAATGGCCACTGCTCTTCTCTCTCCCCAGATCCTTAGAAGAAGCATCATAGGGTTCCTTTACAGGAGATAAGCTGGTATGTCTATATCCCAGCAATCCCTGAAGAAGCTGAAATGCTGCATTCCTACCATCTAATGTTTCGGTTACAGCATTTAAGCCTGAGTCCTTGCTCACAACAGCTATCAGATGACAGCTTAGTATAGGAGGTTAAAGATCCACAAGAATTCACTCTGATAGTTAAAAATATCACTGTGATTCTGCTTGTAGTGAACCATGGTTTGGGGAGATGATGGGTCAGAATTGTTTGGATTCCTGAGCTGCTCTATATCCTTGATAAAGCTCGGATGGTCAGAGCCCCAGCTGGGAGGTTTTGATGTGACTAGCAGGAGGGACAAAGGGCAGGTCAGGCAGGGCCCAGCTGTCTCTTCTTTCTGTGAGCGTTCTTTATTCCCCAGAGATGACTCCGTGGGGATAAAAGCGGTAGTTTTCTATCTTCTTGTTCTGCAGGAGAACTTACAACCTCATGAATCAGACGTGTTATCTTCTCAGTTTAAGGGGCTCCAAAAGACTTGATTTCCTTTTTTTCTTTCAATATATTTGTCTGAAATGTTATTCAAGACTCCATTTACCCCGGGACTGCAAATATAATATATGTCCCCTGGAAACACTTTTGTTCTAACCAGAATGGAGCAGAGTAGGACATGAATCTCATTTGATCTGGGCCCTGTGTTTTGTCAGCTAAACTCAAAATCACATTTGCTCATCAGTTGACTCATATTGAACCTTTCCTCAGGTCTTTTTCACTAATAACCATCTTTATCCTGTTGTCTTGCAGTATTTTTCTAAGCTTCAGTGTAAAATTACATATTTTACCCTTTAAAAATTTCATCTTGCCGTATTTAACCTATGGTTCCAGTTTGTGGAGGCTTTTCTCTCTGATTATATCTAGTATATTCATTATCCCTCCCAATTAATTTATCATAAACATATTTGATAATTGTGTCTTATCCAAGTCATTGATAAAAAGGGTAACCATGATGAGATCTAGAATAAATGGGAAGAGAAAGGAATATTACAGGGCAACATCCCTGATGAACATAGATGCAAAAATCCTTAACAGAATACTAGCAAATAGAATTCAACAGCACACTGAGTCTAATAAGACAAAGGTCCAGTATCCAGCATCTATAAGTAACTTAAACAAATTTACAAGAAAAAAAAAACCCATTTTTAAAAAGTGGGCAAAGGACATGAACAGACACTTTTCAAAAGAAGACATACATGTGGCCAACAAGCATATGAAAAAAAGCTCAACATCACTGATCATTAGAGAAATGCAAATCAAAACCACAATGAGATACCATCTCACACCAGTCAGAATGGCTGTTATTAAAAAGCCAAAAAAGTATAGGTGCTGGTAAGGTTGTGGAGAAAAAGGAATGTTTATGTAGTGTTGGTGGGAGTGTAAATTAGTTCAACCATTGTGGAAGACAGTGTTGCGATACCTCAAAGACCTAAAAACAGAAATACCATTCCACCCAGCAATCCCATTACTGGGTATATACCCAAAGGAATATAAATGATTTGATTATAAGATGCTGGGTGCAGTGGCTCATGCCTGTAATTCCAGCACTTCAGGAGGCCGAGGCAGGCAGATCACTTGAGGTCAGGAGTTCGAGACCAGCCTGGCCAACATGGCGAAACCGTGTCTCTACTAAAAATACAAAAAAAAAAAAAAAAATAGCTGGGTGTGGAGGTGTGCGCCTGTAGTCCTAGCTACTCGGAGGCTGAGGCAGGAGAATTGCTTGAATCTGAGAGGTGGTGGCTGCAGCAAGCCGAGATTGTGCCACTGCATTCCAGACTGGGTGACAGAGTAAGACTCTGTCTCCAAAAAAAAAAAAAAATTTTGTTTGATTATAAAGATACAAGCACATGTATGTTCATTGCAACACTATTCACAATAGCAAAGACATGGAATCAACCTAAATGCCCATCGCAGTAGACTGGTTAAAGAAAATGTACATATACAGCATGGAATACTATGCAGCCATAAAAAAAGAATGAAATCATGTCCTTTGCAGGAACATGGATGGAGCTGGAGGCCACTATCCTTAGCAAACTAATGCAGGAGCAGAAAACCAAATACCGCATGTTCTCACTTATAAATGGGAGCTAAACATTGAGTACACATGGACACATAGAGGAGAAGAACAGGCACCAAGGCCTACTTGAGGGTGAAGGGTGGGAGGAGGGAGAGGATCAGGAAAAATACTAATGAGTACTAGGCTTAATACCTGGGTGATCAAATAATCTGTACAACAAGCCCCCATGACACAAGTCTACCTGTATAACAAACCTGCATATGCACCCCTGAACTTAAAAAAAAAAAAAGAGGCCAGGCATGGTGGCTCACGCCTGTAATCCCAGCACTTTGGGAGGCCTAGTTGGGCAGATCACAAGGTCAGGAGATCGAGACCATCCTGGCTAACACGGTGAAACCCCACCTCTACTGAAAATACAAAAAATTAGCCGGGCGTGGTGGTGGGCACCTGTAGTCCCAGCTACTGGGGAGCCTGAAGCAGGAGAATCGCTTGAACCCGGGAGGCGGAGGTTGCAGTGAGCTGAGATCACGCCACTGCACTCCAGCCTGGGCGACAAAGCAAGACTCCATCTCAAAAAAAAAAAAAAAAAGAAGAAGAAGAAGAATGAGCAGTGGCCTCAAGTCACAAAAAAAGGAAAAAAAGGGTTCATGTACCATGATCAAGTGGGATTTATCCCTGGGATGCAAGGATTGTGTATTAGTCCATTCTCATGCTGCTATAAAGAACTGCCCAAGACTGGGTAATTTATATGAGAAAGAAGTTTAATTGACTCACAGTTCCACATGTCTGGGAGGCCTCAGGAAACTTAGAATCATGGTGGAAGGCACCTCTTCACAGGGTGGCAGGAGAGAGAATGAGTGTAAGCAGGGGAAATGCCAGGAGCTTATAAAACTATCAGATCTCATGAGCCTCACTCACTATCATGAAAACAGCGTGGGGGAAATGGCCCCCATGACCTAATCACTTCCCATTGGATCCTTCCCATGACACCTGGGGATTATGGGAACTACAATTCAAGATGAGATTTGGGTGGTGACACAGCCAAACCATATCAGATGGCTCAACATATGCAAATCAATAAATGTGATAAAAACAGATGGGATGTGCCTAAACTTCTAGGAGTTCCAGAGCTCCTCTTCCTGGTTGATGCAGATTCATTTCATAGCACTGTTTGGACCCAGCTGTCCTGAGTTACCAGTCCATCCAGCTGCCGGTGCATCTCTGATTTTTTTTTCTTTAAAGATCAAGAGAGATTTTTCTGAAGTCCAGATAAATTATGTCCCTGACATTCTTTGCCATATGTATGTGCATATGTGTGTATTCATTTATGATATATATATTATATACAAATATATATTGTGTAAATATGTATGGATATTACTTTTTAAGTCCCCAATCTGTTATTTATGGATCACTTACTAGCTATTGCTGAGTGTTTTACATGTATTATCTATTTTATTCCCTACAATAATTATATAGTAACCTCATTAACTAAAAGTAATGATGTCTCTTGATGCGATTTGTACTTAATCTCCAGGGATCAATACTTCCTTCTCTGAGTCCTTGCCACTTTTTATATATTCTTTTCTGGAGTTTTGCCTATGATATTGATTAAGAAATATTTTTTGAGCACTTGCTATGTACAAAGAAAGTACTGCATTACAGCCTGCTGGAAATTCAAAGATGAATATGCTAGAAGAGATTATATGTAATTAAAAATGTAAGGGAATGAACAATAGCTTGGTAGGGAAAGGAGGAAAAACAAAAGAACAGTCCTGAGTGTGAATGGAATGCCGAAACTAGCCCACCTGCAGAGTTCGAAAGGGAAACCTTTAGAAGCCATGGGGATGGTACAGTCCACGTTAGATTCTCTTCACAGAGGTGGAAAGTATCCAGTTGACTGACAGTTTTAAATCCTATCTCAGTACCTTGTTGGAGTGGCTCCGTGAGTCCGAGGTCAAAGCGGAAGGTTGCAGGAAAGAGTCCACTTTTGAAATCTTTTCTTTAAAAAAATGTTGCTAAACGTTCAGTTATAAGATAAATCCTGGGAATCTAATGTACAGCATAGTGACTATAGTTAATACTGTATTGTTTACTTGAAATTTGCCAAGAGAGTAAGTCTTAAGTGTCCTCACCTCTCCCCACCACATACACAAAATGGTAACTGTGTATGGTAATGAATGTGTTAATTTGTTTGTGATAGTTGTTTCACAGTGTATTAGTATATCTAATTATCATGCTGTACATCTTTAGTATATAGAACTTTTGTCAATCATAACTCAGTAAAGTTGGAAAAAATTGAGAAATTATTTAAAATATGTAGAATGTCTATTTTTATATGTATAGTTTAAGTGACCCACCACCTAGCTTAAGAAAGAAAATGCTACTATTAACTTTAAAATCTCCTGTGTCCTTACCAGTAATTGATTTAATTTAAGAAAATAAATGTATGTTGAATGGTAGAAAATAGTTCACAAGTTTGAGACCAGCCTGGGCAACATGGCAAAACCCCCTGTCTACAAAAAATAAAAAAATTAGCAGGGTGTGGTGGTGCACACTTGTAGTCCCAGCTACTCGGGAAGCTGAGGTGGGAGAATTGCTTGAGCCTGGGAGGCAGAGGTTGCAGTGAGCCAAGATCTTGCCACTCCACTCCAGCCTGGGCGATAGAGCCAGACCTTGTTTCAAAAACAAAACAAAACAAAACAAATCTACAATAGCAGCAGTGTAGAATATGTAGAATTTAGTAAAAAGGAAAAAAATTGCTAACATGATTATTGCTTGGTATAAATTTTTTTCACTTGCATATGTCTTTACATTTTAATGTAGTTATAGCTTTATTATGCATAATTAGCGTTGTCTCCCATGCTAATAAAGTCTTCGTAATTGCCATTTAAAGTTAGTTCTTTTTTTTTTTGAGACAGGATCTCTCTCTGTCTCCTGGGCTAGAGTGCAGTGACGTGATCACTGTTCACTGCAGCCTCTATCTCCTAGGCTAATGTGATCCTCCTACTTCAACCTCCTGTGTAGCGGGGACTACAGGCTTGTGCTAATTTTTTTTTTTTATTTTTGGTAGAGACAAGGTCTCTATGTTGCCCAGGCTGGTCTTGAACTCCTGGTCTCAAGAGATCCTCCCACCTTGGCCTTCCAAAGTGCTGGGATTACTGGTGTGAGCCAGCTAGTTAATTTTTAAATAAAAAACGTGTTATAAATTCAAAAGGTACAAAAAGATATACAGTGAAAAGCAAGTTTTCCTCCCACCCTCTTTTCTCCTTAGAACAAATTGCTGCTACCAGTTTGTGGTTTATAGTAGTTTCTTTTAAATTTTTTAAATTTAAATTAAATTAAATTAATTAATTAATTTTTTTTTTTTTTTGAGGCAGAGTCTCGCTCTGTTGCCCAGGCTGGAATGCAGTAACACGATCTCAGCTCACTGCAACCTCTGCCTCCTGGTTCAAGCAGTTCTCATGCCTCGGCCTCCTAAGTAGCTGGAATTAAGGCATGCGCCATCATGCCTGGCTAATTTTTGTATTTTTGGTATAGATGGGGTTTCACCGTGTTGGCCAGGCTGGTCTCGAACTCCTGACCTCAAGTGATCCACCTACCTTGGCCTCCCAAAGTGCTGGGATTACAGATGTGAGCCGCTGCACCCAGCCATAGTCATCTCTTACAATGGCTGCACAATAGTCCATCTAGTGCAGTTTTTCAGACCAAGGGCCATAATCCATTATTGGGTCAGGAAATCAGTTTAGTGGGGCTCTATGTACTTCGTTTTCTTAATTTCTTAATAACATAGATTAGGATTGAAAATAGCAGAGAGCATCACATACAGTAAAGATAGTGTTGTTTTGAGAAACCTTTTTGGTTCAGTTTTTTACACACATGCACATACACACACACCCTCTCACACATGCATATGCTAGATTACAATGTAAAACATTCTTTATTGGGTTGCGGTTTAAAAAAATACTAATCTAGGAATGACTGATATGGAGATTGTTTCTAATTCTTAAAATTATTAAAAATAGTGCTGGAAACAGACATTTATTCTGCATACTTAGGAATTTTCTCTTAGGATATTCTCCCTGAGTGAGGCTACTGAGTCAAAGTCTGTGAGCATTTTAATTGATAAGTTACTTTCCAAAAGCCATATCCCATTTACTATTTAATAAATGTCATCTGTGCTTTGTTTAGCATAGGTTATTTTTATTTTAACACAGACTGTTTTCTATGGGTAATATATGTGATATATATATTTTTTAACAGAAAGGGATGATTTATTAATTTTACCCCCAAGTAATATAAAGTGAACATTTCCCTATTTTACTAAATATTCTTCAACAGCAGTGATTCTCATTCTGGGGGCGACTTTTCTTGGGTGTAGGGTAAATACTTTAGTGCTTCCCAAACTTGAGTCAGTCTTACCTACCTTTATGATTTTTTCCTGTAACCATGTATTGTATATACTTTTATTTACTTATCTTTAAATTTGGCTTTTAAAAACTTTTTACTTTTAAATAATTTTAGACTTAGAGAAAAGTTGCAATGGCAGTACAAATTCTCCTAATCTTGTGTAACTACAGTACAATGATCAAAACTAAAATTGATATTGATATAGACTTACTGGGATTTCACCAGTTTTTCTTACGAAACTCCTTTTTCTATTCCAGGATCAAATCCAGGATCCCATGTTGCATTTAGTTGCTGCGTCTCCTTAGTCTCCTCTAATCTGTGACAATTCCTCAGTCTGTCCTTGTCTTTCATGACCCTGGCCCTTTTCAGGAGTACTGGTCAGGTATTTTGTAGAATATCCCTTAGGTTGGGTTTACTTCATGTTTTCTCATAATTAGATCAAGGTCATGGATTTGGGAAGAGCACCACAGAGGTGAAATGCCCTTCTCAGCACATGGTATCGGGGTACGTGGTGTCATTATGTCTTTATTGCCTGTGGTGTTAACGTTGATCACTTGATTAAGGTGATATGTGTCCATTTCTCCACCGTGAGGTTATTTCTACCTTTGTAATTAATAAATACTCTGGGAGAGATACTTTGAGGTTACACAAATATCCCATTTTATCTTAAACTTTTTTTTTTTTGAGACAAGGTCTCACTCTGTCACCCAGGCTGTGGCGTGCAGTGGCATGATCATGGCCCACTGCAGCCTTGACCTCCTGCTAGGCTCAAGTGAGCTTCCCACCTCAGTGTCGAAAGTAGCCAGGCCTACAGCTGTGTGCCACCACGCCTGGCTGTTTTTTATTTTTTGTAGAGATGGGGGTTTTGCCATGTTGCCCAGGCTGGTCTCAAACTCCTGAGCTCAAGCGATCTTCCTGTCTTGGCCTCTCAGATTGTTGGAATTACAGGCATGAGCCACCAAGCCCCGCCTCTCCTTAAACTTCTACCTGCTATAAAACAATACTAAAAGCATACAAAAAACGTAACTTCTTTAGTATTGATCTAATCAGTGAGATTGGTAATAATGAGGTTAGTAGCTGGCTTTGTTCTTCTATACATTAAGTAATATAAAAGTATTAAAAACTTAAAAAAAGTTTGTCCATATACCACTTATAATCATCTTGTATACACACCCCATCTTGGACACTCTGGACTACTGTGAGGTGTTAAGCATCAAATGGTCTAGGTTCTGTGGTGACATTATTAATACCCTTTTTAGTTGGATTGATTAGTTGGTTGGTTTTATTAGTTCATTCATTTAAAAATTTATTAATTGTACGTGGTACACAGCCCTAAGCTAGAATTCAGAGTTAAGACATAGTTCTTTCTCTAAAGAATATTACAGCTAGCAGGAGAATTAAGCTGAATGAGCTTTGGTGCAGTCACACAAGGCAGTGGGGCATGGCTGGCATTGGAGTGGCAGCCTGTTCTGAGGAGTACTGGGGGGTAGGGCTAGAGAATCAGTCTAGCCGGGGAGAATGAGGGGAGCTAGGATTGAGGAGGTTGGCACAGTCTGGGCTCACACTTCCTACAGCCTTGCCCAGATCTTACTCTTAGGGGTACTTCTTTCCCAGGCTGAAGGTATTTTCTTGGGTAGATCATAGAAAAGCAGCTTGAGTCCACATTCCTCTTAATACCCTACCTCTTCCCTTTCCCTCCACTTTGCACCTTGCCTCCGCAATCCTGAAGATTTTAATCATGGTAGGTTAAGGTCATTGTTGAACTCAGAGTTCTGAGCTAGCTAAGCTTGGAAAGCCTATTATTATTATTATTATTATTAGAGACAGAGTCTCACTGTGTTGCCCAGGCTGGAGTACGGTGGTGTGATCTCAGCTCACTGCAACCCCCACCTCCCAGGTTTCAACTGATTCTCCCACCTTAGCCTCCTGAGTAGCTGGGATTACAGGCGCCTGCCACCATGCCTGGCTAGTTTGTGTATTTTTAGTAGAGACGGAGTTTTGCCGTGTTGGCCAGGCTGGTCTCAAACTCCTGACCTCAAGTGATCTGCCAGCCTTGGCCTCCCAAAGTGCTGGGATTACAGGTGTGAGCCACCACGCCCGGCCAGAAAGCCTATTTTAGAAGGGTAAAATGGTGCTTTCATGGGGATCTAGGGTATTGCTTCCTTGATCCAGTCTTTCCTGGCTGGAAGCCTATGTTTATGTGGCCCAGTGTTAACATGCTCCGACTTAATAAGGGACAGTGGTCAGGGGCCTGTGGATTTGAGAGATTTCAGAAAATTGGCTTATATATTAACGTTATCACAGAGACTCCAAGAAACTGAAGCAAGCTGTGAGTACCTATGTTGTGAGTATCTGGACATTGAGCTTTATACGGAGGGTTGTGAGCTGAGCGGAGGTGAACTAGGGCTGGATGACTGGCAGACTGAAGGAGAGGGGGCGCAACCTAGCATGAAGGTGTGTGGTAGCTGCTTCACTGCAGGGCTGTGGGGTCTAGAAGAATTATAGACTGAATTCCACACTTCCCTAGTTCAGAGCCTTAAGGTCAGGGGTGGGGTGCTGGTGGTAGGAGAGGCAGGGGGAATTAGGTCAGGAGTAAGGACCTGGGAAAACTTCCTATCATAAAACACTAGGACTTGACCACAGAATGGGTATTTCTCTGCCTTCCTAGGAAGGCTGTGCAAGCAAAGTTTGTGTGGCAGTGGTCAACACTGTGCAGGTCCTGCCAGATGTGGCTTCCAGGTGGAGGGGGCCCAGGATTGCCATCTTGAGGAAGACATTTGTTTTGTTGATCTGAAGGCCCTCATAGCACCCAGGTAGAGAATGCTTGATTTGCAGTAGACAGATTGTCTTCCAAGAGAACTTAGGTATTGTCAGCTGTTCAATGTCTGCTTTGTAAAGGCAACTTTGTCTCAGACTTATGGATAGGGGTGAGTCTGAGCAAGGACCTCAGCAGGAGCCTTAGTCCTCTTCCAGGCCATTTCCTAATTTCCCCATTCTGTAATTTAGCACCTTTCTTCTCTGTCCAGCCCTCCTTAGGCAGGAAGCCTGAGTCTTCCATTTTTTTTCTTCTAAAAAAGGCTACTGTTCATTGGTGATGGACCTCTGTCTGATCCCAAAGCCCCAAGCCCGGGGCTCTGCTGAAAGGAGTCTTTCTGCTGCTTTGGACTTAGAAAGCAGTAGGACTGGGTGACTGCGTAGAATGATGCAGTAGGACAGTCAAGCCGAAGGATGCTTGAACAGCTAGTCCAGCCCTCTCATGTGGAGGAAAAAGCAAAGGCCCCTAAGGGAGACAGGGACTTGCCTAGGATTTTACCATTCCAGAAAGCTGGAAGCCAGGACTGGGCTCCAGCCTGCTAGCTGTCTACTCTTGAATTTTAAAAGCTTCCCTCTTGACCACATTGCCATTCACAGGCAGAAGAGGAAAACTGTAAAGCCCTTAAGGGCTCTTCTATAAATGGCAGCTAGAACCCAGTGTAGGAGAATTGGTGGAGAGGAATATGTTTGATTCCCCCCACCTTTTTTTTTTTTTTTTGAGACACAGTTTTGCTCTGTCACCCAGGCTGTAGTGCAGTGATGCGATGATGTCTCTCTGCAGCCTTAACCTCCCAGGCTCAAGCGATCCTCCCATTTCAGCCTCCCAAGTAACTGAGACCACAAGCGTGTGCCACTATGCCCAGCCAATTTTTTAAAATTATTATTTGTAAAGATAGGGTTTCCTTATGTTGCCCAGGCTAGTCTTGAACTCCTGGGCTCAAGCAATTCTCCCACCCCAGCCTCCCAGAGTGCTGGGATTACAGGTGTGAGCCACTGCACTTGACCTGATCACCCATTAATTTGGTAGAACTGGATGTTTTCAGTGGGAATACCACTGGACCCCAGTCTGGGGGGCATTAGAAACTAGGCTTCCCAGAGGCATTTGAAATTAGACTGCCATTTCTTAGGCATTCTAAGATCCAACCAATAATATTGAAAGAACAGCCCATTTTACTTGAATTTCTTTGATCCCAAAGTAAGGAATGACTTGAAAAGATTTACTCTGTTCCTGTGTTTTCAGGTTCAGAATTTCAGTTGTCTTTAAAGAGACAAGAAAGTACTATAAACCCCTCTAGTGACCTAATCCAAAATCCGATTTACATATATGTATTTTCTTGTACAATGTAGGTCCATCCACTCAAATTCCCTCACCTTAAGAGAGGAAATAGCTGTTTCTGTTTGTTTGTTTGGAGAGTCTTTTCAATGATTCGTTTATCTCACACACACTTATTGCATACATTGAATGAAATACTAAAGTGGATACACCTCGAGGAGCTCAGGTCTGTGGGGGAGACAGGTGTGCAAGTAACAGTGATAAAGTGATATCAACGCTATAGTAAAGGCATCTTTAAACTGCTGTTGATTTGCAGAAGAGACAAACAGATTCTATCAGGAGATTGAAAAATATTTTACAGAGGAGGTGATAAATGAGTTGGACCTTGAAGGCAGTAAGATTTTGTTAGTGGGGGAAGGAGAGGCATTCAGATAAAGGTAACAGCATGAGCCATAGAGGGAGGGAGAGGAAAATGCAGGCAGTGTTCAAAGAACCAGGCAGTGCACTGTGGTTGTGCCTGTAATCGGGTGGTTGGTAGCAGGGGAGGTGTGGGCAAGAGATGAAGCCAGAGGATTTCAGATTTGGGTGGGAGCGTAGGCCAGAAGAGGGAACGTTGGATGTAGTCACACTGCTGTTGGTGTTACTTAGACCTTCATTTTTCCACCAGACTGTAGTGTTCAAAATTCTTTTTAGTAAGAGAACCCTTTTTTTCTGAACTTTTTACAACCATCTCCAAATTATGAAACATAAGACTTTTTTTTTTAGTAAAAATGTATTTTTTTACAAGCACAGTGTCTTGCACCATGGAGGGGAGAGGAGGTGTTTTGTCCTTGGAGCTGCTGGCCTGAGAGAACCTTGTCATCGTGGGAGCTGGGCCATTCCTACACAGTGGTCTGGCAATGACCCGGTGGTGGTGGAGGCCTGTGAGTGGGCACTGGTAATGGGAGCAGCTGTAAAACCCTGGAGGGCAGCCCCAGGAGAGTGACCTTACCAGGAAAGTTCTGGGAAACAAACCACAGGGAGGCTTTACAGGAATTTTTGGTTGTGCCCACAGGCAAGGCACATGAGGAAAAGAAATGTAATTATAGTTTGTAAGTCGATGAAAAGAGGCAATGAGTGACATGAAATAGCTGCTCTAAGTTTCTTCTTCCTGTCGGACAGGAAGAAATGGGGTTTTATGCATTTCATTCAGCAGATATTTATTGAGTGCCAGCTGTGAGCTGGGCCCTGCACAAAGTGCAGGGAATATTGGTGGTTAGCAAAATAGTCAAGGTTCGTATCCTAAGGAACTCTTCTGAGGGAAGACTGAGATTAAGCAGATAACTGTATAAATGCATAATTACACAGCATGGTGAGTGCTCTGAAGGATAAGTGTGGGGAGCCTCATTTAGATTGGAGGATTGTGAAAGTCAAGAGACAGGAGAGTCAAGGTGAGGCAAGGTGAGTAAGAGCTATCCAGGCAAAGACTGCTTGGTAGGGGAGTGTCCCAGCAACGGGAAACAACCTGGAAAAAATATGACACCTCAGGGGAACTAAAAGCAGTTGTATGTGGCTGATGCACAGACAGGGAAGGGCAGGAAGTGTGCTGAAAGAAGGCAGGAGGAGAATCATGCTGGGCCTTGTAGGTCCTGGTAAGAAGTTAGATTTTATCTTAAGTGTAGTGGGAAGTCAATGAAGTGTGTTAAGCAGGAAATGACCTGATCTGGTGTTAAAAAAAAAAAAAAAAAAGGTGATTCAGACAGCTCTAATGACTTTGTGAGGGGAGAGTGGAAGCTGGGGCAATTAGGAGGTTTTTGCAATAATTAAGGTGAGAGATGGGTAGCATCAGAGGTGGAGAAAAGTGGACAGATAAAAGATATATTTTGGAAGTAGAATTGTTTGCAGTTGGGAAATGGGTTGGATGTGGGCAGAAATAAGAAGGGAGAGTTGAGGATGTCTCCCAGGTTTCTGGCACATGTATGCTTGCAGGCCTCTCAGTAGACAGCAGAGAGCTTATATAAGGTTGTCAAATCCTTATCCTTCAGAAGGGTCAGGTAGGATTGGTCTAAATCCAGCCTTGCAGAGGCAGTGGTGGGATTCAGCTGTCCCTGACTCTGCCCAGTTCAAGGAGTGTGTACACAGTAGCATTACCCAAGCAGGGATTCCAGTTCTCTCAGTAATGGGGCCCTTCCTTTGTCCCTTCCCCCAGGACAAGGCCCTAAGGAACCTCCATAACTCCAGCATGCCACTAGGGGGAGCATGGCCCGCATTCTGGGTCTGGTTTGGAGGGCTTCTTAAGTTTGGATTACTTCAGGAACTGACTTGTATCAGTTCTAGTACTCAGTCCTGACCCCTGGCCCCTCATACTGCTTAAAAGAATGCCTGGCATATGGTAGGTGCTCAACAAGTGTTAACTGATGTTACTACTGTATTATTAATATTATCTTATTATAGAAAGGGGTGGGATCACCCCTTCTTTCTCAGGATGGAGACTGGGCAAGTGGAATGTGCATTTTGAGGATCAGGAGGAGAGCAGAGGGATGCCTTTTGGACAAGGAAGAGGCGGAAATTTAGTGATTTGATGATACTGCATTTGCCCTTCTGTCTTGTCTTTCTTTGTCTTTCTTTGTAGACTTGGGATTCTTCAGCTGGGGCTTGGGTGGGGTTGGGGATTTATAGTGGGTGATTAGGTTCACTCCCTTTCAAGCTCTGATTGCTTCACTAAAGCAGTAGTGCCCCCCATTTAGGATTTGTGCCATTCTGTCATTTCCTGTTGGATTTTATAACACTTTCCTACCTTAACTTCTGGTATATATTTACCTTTTAAACTCAAGTCAATCAGAATCTTGTTTTGAGAATGTTGTGATATGCTGGAAATTAATGAAAAAAACCCACTAGATTCTGCATAGGATGTTGCATTAAAGATTCTATCAGGCTGGGTGTGGTAGTACACACCTATAATCCCAGCTACTCAGGAGTCTGAGGTGGGAGGATTGCTTGAGCTCAGGAGTTCAAGACCAGCCTGGGCAACATAATAAGACCTCGTGTCAATAAATAAATAAATAAATAACATCAGGACCTTTTTTTTGGGAGCACTGTTTTTGGGAGCAGCATTGGAAAATATCCTCCTTAAGCCTCAGTGTCCTCATCCTGGGGAGGGTATTAACTGTCCCAGTGTTTTTTGTTTGTTTTTGGTGAGGAGTTGTCAAGAGGAGTAAAGTTCTTAGTTCAGTTCCTGACTTGAGAGTGCTTTCACGGACAGCATCTCTTCCGATGCTCAGTCCCAGCCCTGTCAGTAGGCTCTGTAGGTGGAAAGGGGGAAGTCATGGGACTTGCCCAATGGCACATGGCCCGTTAGTGGTGGAGTCAGGCACTGCCAAGGTCTTCTGACCCCTGGTGCTGTTGCAACCACTGTGCTTAATGTACTCAAGAGACTTGAAAGGCTTGGGGATTGTTTCTAGATTTTATTTCCTGGTTCCATGACCTGGGGCAAGTAATTTTACTTCTGTTGTAGAATTAAAAAAAAAAAATCTGTTAAATTAGTATAATAATGCCAATCCTAACTTTCAGACCTGTCATGTTGAACAGACGAGCCAAGATTTTGAGAGTCGTTTAGAAAAGTGCAAGGTCACATATAGCTGTAGGGTAGGGCTTTTTCTCCGAGCTGTGCATCAGGACGTTTTACATCTTAGAGATGCTGTCTTAAGGTCTTTAGGCTGAAAGGATGGTAGTCAGCCTATCTCGCCACAACTTACAAGGATTCTCCACCTTCCCTTGGGAGCCCAGCGTTATCTCATAACCAGTTATCAAAAAGTTGACAGTTTTTGAAATCAGGTGGCAATATACTTTAGTTGAAAGTGTGCTGGACTAGGGCGAACTTGGCTGATCTCTTAGTTCTTTGACTGCCTAACTGTATAAGTGCAGATCAAATGTTTAATCTCTCTGAGTCTCAGTTTTTCCATCTATAAAATGGTCATAAGGCCAGTATGCTGGCTCACGCCTGTAATCCCAGCACTTTGAGAGGCTGAGGCAGGAGGATTGCGTGAAGCCAGGAGTTCAAAACCAGCCTGGGCAACATAGTGAGACCCTGTCTCTATAAAAATAAAAATTAAAAAAGTAGCCAGGCGTGGTGGTGCATGCCTGTAGTCCCAGCTACTTCAGAGGCTGAGGCAGGAGGGTTGTTTGAGCCCAGGAGTTTGATGATGTAGTGAGCTATGATTGCACCAATGCATTCCAGCTTGGGCAATGGAGCAAGATCCTGTCTCTAAAAGAAATTTAAGAAGAATAATAAATAAACTTGAAAAAATGGTCATAAAAATATCTGTGCAGTGTATTTCAAAAGGTTATGAGGATCAAACAAAATGATACATGTAAAAAGAATGTTACAAAGCAGAAATGTATGCTGGGTAGGGGGGAGAGGAAGGGACAGGATGGGGATGGGGATGGGACTAAACTTAGGGGGTCTGCCGTGTCCCAGGGACTGTGCTCATTTTCTGACAGGAGCAATATTATTACCGACTGTGACAGCAGCTCCCACTAAGCCTGCACCTTAGCTGCAGATCCTTAGCAGGGCAGAGAGACAAGGCTGTATTTGTATCAGGTTTGTCGTCTGGGTTGTGACTCTCGACTTGCCCAGGATTCTTCCTGGTCCTGACCGAGTTGTCTTTGCTCTCCATTTCAGGAAGATGAGAGACTGCTTAGGCGCCACCACTAGTACCATGAGTCCCTGCACTGGTTAAAGCCATCGCCACAACCTGGACAGGCAGCAAGGTAAGCAGAGAGGCCAGTCCAGGCGAGCTCCTGGGATGTGAGTGCATTTCCGCCCCAACTGCTGCCCGGAAAAATCCCAAGTGCACAAACAAGTCAAGGCAGCGCATCAGGGTCCCTCCTACCCGAGCTCCAGGACCCAGAGGAAGCTGGGTCCCCTTCAAGCGCTTCAGCTAGCTCCCTCCCCCCTGGCAGGGATTCTTCCAAGTTATAAAAAATGAGACACTGGAGGGGAAGAAAACAAGTCCACTCACTGTCTTCTCCCTTCTCCCCTCTGAGCTGTTCAAGCAAGTTCCCAGGAGCAGTTCAGAGCCCCTGTTGGACTGGAAGGGAGGTAGGAGGAGTGGAATGCATGCAAAAACCGAGCTGATCAAAAGACAGTGCTGTTTCATGGAAGCCTCCCAGAACTGAGAGAGAGAGAGAGAGAGAGAGAGAGAGAGAGACAGTGAGAAAGAAAGAAAAAGAGAGCGCCCTTGTGCACGCGCTAGGCCAAGAGCGCGCCGCTGTGCGCGCGCCCGCCTAGCGAGGACAGGGTCTCCATGACAACCGGCCTGGCCGGCTAGCAGTGCTCTGCTCACTTGGCTGCGAGGAGCGCCACGAAAGGTCAGAGGAAGGAGCTGTGGGAAGCTCGCAGCAGGTATCGGAGCTTAAGCCAGTGGATTTGGGGGCCCTGGGCTCCCTAGCCGGCTGCGGTGTGAGAATGGAGTGGGCAGGAAAGCAGCGGGACTTTCAGGTAAGGGCAGCTCCGGGCTGGGATCATTTGGCCTCCTTTCCTGGCCCTTCTCTCCGGCTGTTTTCTGGGAGTCAGGCGAGTGTCTGTAGTCTCTGCTCGGGGTTTGGGGCTCAGGAATGATGTCATGCTCCAACAGTTGGATTCTATTAGCTTAAGGAGGAGGGAAACAGCCAATTTTCTTGACTTTGCAAATCTAGCTGATCTCACTCTTGCTGAATCTGAGGTGTTTAGACTTCACTCTAAAAAGCATCATTTTACTTTTATTTAGCACAAAGGCACAGGATATTTTTACAGGAAGAATCTTTTATATGGAAAAATCTGAGTTAACATCACTCCCGTGGTGTTTGTAGTTCTTACAGGGAAACTCCAGTGCCTTTTGAGCCGCTTGTTCGTCCTAGTGAACACTGTCTGTTTTGTCTCTTGGTGCTGCTATGTCTGACCTGTAATGGAAAAAAAAAAAAAAAAAAGGCTAATTAAGCTCAGCCAGGAGCCTGTGGTGAGTTCCAAGTCCCTCTAGAGCATTTATTAGGACAGAGGGACTGTCACAGGGATGCCTGAGCTGGGGTTTTGCACTCTCTCTCTTCCAGGCAGCTTGGTAAGAATCAAGCTGTCCTCCCACATCAAAAGGTCGATCACAGACTTTCCTAAGAGGTGGAGGAGGGGGCTGGCTTGGGGTTGGGGGGCCTGCAAACAGGTTTCTCATCCAGATGTCCCAGAGTGAGCTCTCAGCAGCAGCTGCTAAGAGCTGGGGAACATGAGGCACTGTAGTTGTGCCGGGTGGATTCCTTTGGTTACATTTTGACCAAATCTCAGGGCACGCAGTGTCCACGCTGTGCACTCCTACACTGATTGTCCTAAGTTTTGGTAAAACTTGTTCTGACCTAGAGGAGTGGTACATGGTGAGCTGTGTGGCCTTGGAAAGGAGACCCTCCCAGAAAGGCAGTTTTATAGGTGATAGGGTAGTGGGGTTGTCAGTAATATTATGAGGAGGATGAATGCAGCAAACACTTCCTGCAACGGAGACCCATCAGGGGTTGTGCTTCCACTTGAGCCATGTTATGTCTTAAATTCACTTCTTGGCCTCAGGGAACTTTGCAAATGCCTTTGGTTTCTCTGTGGGATGAGGGAACAGCTGCTGTCCTGGTTCTTCAGTTTTTCTTCTTGAACTTTCTGAACAGAATGTCTTTTGTATTCTGGCAAACAATGAGGGGGCATTCTGATTAACTTCGGATCAGCTTGCCAATGCAAGCACTGGCCATGTCCCCAGTTCCGGCTCCCTAAAATGAGTACATGTATACATCGTGGTTGTGGCCTGAGGGTCCACAAGGGTGAACTCCATGGCCCTGGACCTCAGACGGTCCACTTCTGAAGTTATTCCTCTTGCTACATACACTCCAGGGATCCTTTGCTTAGTTGAAACCTACATTTTGCTGGAGGGATGTGGCATAACACTGAGCCAGTGGCCCCTTCAGTTGGCAGTGTAAATCCAGAACCTCAGCCTTCTTTTCTACTTGTGTGTGTAGTTGGAGCTCTTCAATTTTACCATCCCCACATCTGTGAAGAGGGCTAGCAGAGACCCAGTTTCAGGAGCTGCTGCTCCTTCTGTTGGTATAGCAGAAAGAATAATGGATTTGGGTTGCTAGACTTGAGTCGACGGCTAGATTCTGTTCCCATAGGGCGGCCACGGGCAAGTATCTTAACTAATAGGAGCTTCAGATTCTTACCTGTGAGATGGAGGTAATAAGAACAACTTCACAGGACTGTTGGGAGGAGCCAGTGGGATAACTTCCATGAAAGTAGTTTGAAACAAGTCACGTCCTATCTAACGAACCGTGTTGTGAATTGAAGCTTGAGGAATGACCCAACTCTCTCTGGAAAGTCACTTTGCCTCTCTGTTCTGGTTCTCTCATTTTATAAAGTGCCTTCTTCCTTTCTGCATTTATAAGTAAACATGAGAAAAATCTGAAAAGACTTCTTCAGGATGTTTAAGGAAACAAATGTTGCTTTCCTTGGGTTGGGTCGTTTCATAAGAGTGATGTTTGCCATAAAACTGGAGCCTCATAGACGATCCTGCAGGGAGGAAGCTTTCCTTGGTCACCTGACTCATGTGTTTATATATAGTATAGAGGAGAGGTATTCCAAAAGACCCGTCGCTTTTCCTGTGTCCCACAGCTGCCTGTAGAGTTGTGGCACCATAAACTTTAGCAGCTGGAAAAGAGGCCAGGCCTGGTTCCCTCATCCTGCTGGGTCCTGCTGGGCACACTCTGCAGTGGGCAAAGGGGTCTTTCTCCTTCATTCTGGGTTTAGAAGGCAGGGTTCTAACTGGGAGAAAGTGTTATTGCTCCGAAAGGCTTCTTGGGGGCTGGGCAGGTCTTTCAGGAACTCATAAGGCCACAGCTTATGGGGAAAGAAAAAGAAACAAGGAAGTGGGAATTCCAAGGGCAGAGATTCTTGATATGCCATGGGACTGTGCCAAGGAATGGAAGAGCAGGGGAAGGGAGACTCCAGGCAAGGAGAGTCCCAGGTCTGTCCTCATTGAGTCGAAAGGGCGTATGGCATACTAGAGCGCGTCACCCACAGCCCCAGCTTTACTGTAGGATGGGGAAGACCTGCCAGCCATATCCCGGAGTGGTGTCTGGGAAGAAGCCCTTGAGCAGACCCATAGTAGGCAGATTAAAAAAATGAAACAAAACAAGCAGCTCCCCTTCTAGTTGAGTCATGTCACAACAGCCTCTAAGGCCTGAAGGAGAAGCTGCCCACAGCTTAGATTGGGGCTGCAGCTGTTCCCCGACTCCCATCAGTCCGGCTTCCCAGAGCTGAGTCACAAATTGGATCTGTCTATGTTCCTTAAGGATTAAAAAGTAACATTCCTGTTCTCACTCCCTCTTTCCTCCTTCTACTCCGCTTCCTGTACCTTCTCCCCTTGGGCTCTCTCTCTCTCAAATTAGATATCAGTCACCCCGGGAAGATGAAACTTTGAAATACACTGGAGAACAGGCCAAGGACACCCTTGGTTCTGCTGGTTCAGCCTCTTTCCCTGGAATGAAGGGCGGGGTGTACAGATTCAGGAGGGCAATCCAAGTATCATGGCCCCACTGGTAGCCTAGACCTAAGAGAGGCTGTGCCCCACTCCCCACCGCATCTGATTCTAAGAACTGCATTACGGGAGGTCCACCTGGCACCTCAGGGAGATGGGAGGCTCTGAGGCCTGGGCCTTCTGAAGCACCTCCCTGTGGGGCAGTTGGGACTGAAGGATTGAAGAATACATCTTCCTTCCTGTCACTCCTCTTAGCTGTTAACTGTCATTGCCCTGGAAACGTCCCCATTTCCATCGTTGGGCCTAAGAGAGTCGGCCGAGGCAGCCAAGCCCGGGGAACACATAGTTGAGGCTGGAGGAGGCCTGGCAGCAGCCCTTCCGAGCCCTGGCTTGGCCTTCCTTCTGTGCCTCTGCATGGGCTTGGGAGGAGGGTGTGTTTAGGGCAGGCTGCGAGGAGGGGAAGGGGAAATCTGCAGGCAGATAATTGAGTTCTTTGAGTTGGAGGGACCATGGAAAGTGGAGAAGGGGCCAGGAGGGCATAGAGCGAAAAAAGAAAAAGAAAAAAAAAAAAGACCATCTGGCATAGTCTGCAGAGATTTGTCTTTAAAGCCTATGGGAAAACTTGCATTAGTGTGTGCCTTCTCCTGGGGAGGCAGGGGCTGGGGAGGCTAGGCATTTGTTTCATCCTGGAGGGGAGGTGCTATGTGTGTCTGTCTCAGTAGGTGGGTCGGAGGAACTACTGGGTGCATCTGTCTTAGAGGAATATGCCACGTAATATTGTGCTGATAGAAACACCTGAGCTCTCTATTTCTAGCCATAGGCCCCAGAAAGCTCTCCTGGGTGTGTGTGTGTGTGTGTGTGTGTGTGTGTGTGTTTTGAAGGGAGAGGAGGGTGTTAAATGAGTCTAGATTACCTTATTGAAGAATTTCTCCAAAGACCCCTTCTCTTATTTTTTTGGCTCTGATGTCATGAATGTACTGTTGTTGGGGAGGGTGTTGAAACTATCACTATACTCTTCTCATCTAAAACTGCCTGAATGTTAGATTTCACTGTCCTTATAAAAGAGTGAATTATATGCAGTTAGCGTATGAAGCCTTCTTAACCAAAGCAGACCTATTCCTACAGGCTTGTCACGAAACCACCACAGTTTCTCAAAGCTCCAGACTCTTCCTCTGTGTGACCTGTCATCACCAAAGGGGTTGTGTGTGAGCTGGAGATGGACTGTTGGAAATCACATAGTGGATGGAGGATTATTTGGAACTGGGAAAAAATGAGATAAACTGAGGGTTACGGGAGACAAGATCTGAGGCAGGAGGAAGACTACTGGAAGGAAGCAGGAGTGAGGCACTGGGCAAGGGGCCCTGGGCGGAGGCAGTTCTCAGGAGCAGCAGGTGGTAATCGAGAGAAGGGCTGACCTCGGAGGCCTACACAATTTAGCAGAAGGCCAGACTGCCCCCAGGGAGCTCAGGGTGACAGTGTCGTGCAGGCCCTCAGAAGCACTGGAGGGGGTAGGGGTGGCTGGCATTAGGGTTAACACCTCTGTTTGTTTGTTCTTGGCTCAGAGGTGTCTCTGGTGCCCATCTATGCAGTATTGGTCTGTTCACCCATTTAGTCAGTGAATACGGAGTGTCTGGGCCAAGAGCTGGGGAGGAACGCAGAAGTATCAAGTATGGGCCTTACTCCCATCTATGTCATGTTATAATAGACGTTGTGTTGTAGTTATTTCTTCCCCTCTCTCCCCCACTCTGTCTGTGTGATTAAGAGAGAAGCAGCATAGACCTGCTGCAGTTCTGAGTTTTGATGGTAGGGTTAATGACCATCTCATGCTCTTAGGCTGGGAAAAAGGAGGAGGGTCCAACAGACTGATTTCAAGCACGATTCGAATGAAGGAAGAGAGCCAACTGAAGGACTGGAAGTAGGAGGGTGAGGATTCTAGGCCTGTGTTGAAGCTTCTCTTGACAGTGTCAAAGGATGGTGTATGTGGGAGGGAGTCATAGGAAAGGGGAAATGGGAAAGTTGGAAAAAAACTATCAAGTCAGCTATTTTTAAAACTCTAGTTTTGTTCGAGGAACTGACTTTTGGTGTGCTTGTGACTTGGAACACAGGCTACCTTATGGAGTTCTGACAACTGAGTATTGTAGATGGTTTTAAAATGAACTAGCCTGTGGTGTGTTTGTTCAACTCTCAGTGACTCTTAGGTACTCAGTGAGTGCGTGGTGCTGCCTTAGAGCAATTCTGATGGAACCATTTGCATTTAATATGAGTATCTGACATGCATTGCAGTGCACTGCAGTGATGAACAGCTATAGCTCAGGGGTCTTAGAGGCCTAGCTTTAGAGCCTGACCTTGCTGTGTGACCTTGGGCAGGTTATTTAATCTCTCTGTGCATCAGCCTTCTTTGAGGCATCTGTAGAATGGATGTAATAGTACTTGACTTGATAGAGTTGTGGTAAGGATTAAATGAAATGATACCTGTAAATAGGCCAGTGCCTGGTACATAGTAAATGTCCAATGCTTTCCAGTATATTATTATCAACTTACAGCAGCATTTTGAAGAGAGTGGGCTGGTGTCTCTCAAACAGGTTGATGTTACTACGCTGGGAACAAACCAGATTCTTCTTTTAGAAGTAGCTGCTGGTTGGGCGCAGTGGCTCACGTCTGTAATCCCAGCGCTTTGGGAGGCCGAGGTGGGTGGATCACTTGAGGTCGGTGTTTGAGACCAGCCTGGCCAATATGGTAAAACCCTGTCTCTACTAAAAATACAAAAACTGGCCGGGCATAGTGGTGTGTATCAGTAATCCCAGCTACTCGGGAGGCTGAGGTAGGAGAACAGCTTGAACCTGGGAGGCGGAGGTTGCAGTGAGCTGAGATCGCACCACTGCACTCCAGCCTGGGCGACAGAGCAAGACTTCGTCTCAAAAAAAAAAAAAAAGAAGTAGCTGCTATTTTGCATCTCGTTCATCTTTCTGTCAAGACCCCAGGTAGTCTGGTCTGGGGTCTGTGCAGTCCTGGGTGTGTAATAATACAAGATTTCCTAATAACACAGGATTTCCTCCCCACCTCTCAAAGCTGCTTGTGTTCAGTTCCTGCCACTTGACAGACAGCTCCCCATGTCTTATGGCTGCTGCATCAGGCAGAATGATCAAAGAAAGGGCACAGGGAGCCATGGACAAGGTAGGGAGAGAAAGACAATTGCTTTGGAAAGTCACCAGCAGCCAAGGAGGACTGCCCTTTCAGACCTGGCCTACACGTTAGGAAGGTACTTGAGAGTGTCCTTTAAGAGGAAGGAGTAGGGGCCAATGAGATTTTGAGGACACGGCAGCCGCCCACACTGGAGAGGCCAGAAGTCCTGAGTCTGAGGTAGTCCTTGTCAACCCAGCTTCACAGGTTCAGCTCTTTCCTCCTGCTGTGGGATGCTCACTCCTCACAGACGGGGAGACCCGTCCATCCAGAACTGCTTCTCGCCTGCCCCTTTCCTGCTGGCCAGCCTAGGTGGAGCCCCTGAGGTCTTTCTCAGTGTGGTATTGGAGGCCCTTCACAAGCTGCTCTCAGTGCTCCAGACCCCGGCCTCTGCCTCAGCCCTCCTTACCCCTGCTTCCACAAATACTGCCCTTGTACCCTTCCAGATGCAGCTTAGAGCATAGAATAGGCTTTGCAGCCAGCTCTGAGGGTCCATAGTCTGGTTTTTCCTCTATCTGTGGACCTCTGGTGAGTTCATCTCTGTAAACCTCTGTTTTCATCTGTAAGTTGGGAGTGATAATATTACCCACCTCAAAGGGTTATTGTAAGGTTTCAATGTGTTAATTTATGTAAGGCACTCGACTTAGTTGTAGACACAAATATGCTCTCAATAAATGTTAGCTGCTGCTGTTGTTAATAATCCATCCTTCCTGTGAATTTCTCTGCCTACATATAGCGGTAGAAAGTCCCAGCCAGGTAGTCAGCAGGTCTGGATGTTAGTTCTGGTTCTGTCTCTAATTTGCTGGGTGATCTTGGGGAAGTAACTTGACTTCTCTAGGGTTCAGTCTCCTCTTCCAGAAAGTAGAAGGCATGGATTCAGTGTTCTCATTGACATCCTGACTTGACATTTTTTTTGAGACAGAGTCTCGCTCGGTCGCCCAGGCTGGAGTGCAGTGGCATGATCTTGGCTCACTGCAGCCTCCACCTCCCGGGTTCTAGCGATTCTCCTGCCTCAGCCTCCCCAGTAGCTGGGATTACAGATGTGCGCCACCACACCTGGCTAATTTTTGTATTTTTAGTAGAGACGGGGTTTCACCATGTTGGCCAGGCTGGTGGCCAACTCCTGCCCTCAAGTGATCTGCTTGCCTTGGCCTTCCAAAGTGCTGGGAGTACAGATGTGAGCCACCACACCTGGCCCTGACTTGACTTTTCAAATGTGTATATCTTGTGTTTTCAACTAGATTCCTTGAAGTTGTATGAAATCAAGTATAATATTTTATACTTTTTATTTCCCCAAATGGCTAACATATATAGTTGGTGCTTAAAAAATATTTGAGTAACTTTTCTTTAACCCCATCAACCAGATTCTAGGAAGCATTTTGACTTGGTTCTCAGAACTCGGAGGCTGGAAGCTTGTTCTCCAATGCGTAGGGCAGTACAAGGAGGCCTCAGCCTTTAGTAAGTAAGAAGGTAGGTTTCTCTTGGTGCCCTGGGAAAATTTTGGTTAACAGATGTTTGGGGTACTTATTTGTTTGGCTCTGTAGCCTTAGACCAGGTCTTTGAATAAATATTTCCATCACTGTTTCCTTTTCTCAGTGGCGAAAAATGCCAGTGTTTTCTGAGCAATCCCCTCTCCTTTAGAGTTTAGGGTGAGCCAGTTAGTGCCCAGACGCAAATCTGTGTCTTAGGGGAAGAGCCATCCAATAGGAGAGTAATGTTTAGAGCCTGGGCTCTGGGGTCAGATTGGGTTCAAATTCTGCCTCTGCCACCTAATAGCTCTGTAACCTTGGACAAGTTACTTGTCCGTGCCCTGGTTCCTCTTCCGTAAAATTGAGGCAGTGGTAGCATTATCTCATGGGGCTGTAACAAAGCCTAAATGCCAAATGTAAAGTGCCTAGAATAGTACTTCCTGCCTCCTTGCTGAACAAAATGTTTGCAGTTATTGTTTTGTTTATTATTCTCTTGTAAACCAAGTAGTGTTTAGTTCCTTTTTTTTTTTTCCAGACAGAGTCTCACTGTCGCCCAGGCTGGAGTGCAGTGGCACGATCTCGGCTCACTGCAACTTCCATCTCCTGGGTTCAAGTGATTCTCCTGCCTCAGCCTTCCAAGTAGCTGGGACTACAGGTGTGTACCACCACACCCAGCTAATTTTTGTATTTTTAGTATCGATGGGGTTTCGCCATATTAGCCACGCTGGTCTTGAACTCCTGATCTCAGGTGATACACCTGCCTAGGCCTCCCAAAGTGCTGGGATTATAGGTGTGAGCCACTGCACCCGGCCCTTTTTTTTTTTTTTTTTTTTTTCCCCAAGAGAGGGCCTTACTGTGTCACACAGGCTAGAGTGCAGTGGTGCGATATTGGCTCACTGCAACTTCTGCCTCCCTGGCTCAAGCGATCCTCCCACCTCAGCCTCTGGAGTAACAAATGTGCACCACACCTGGCTGATTTTTATAATTTTTTTTATAGAGATGGGGTTTCTTCATGTTGCCCAGGCTGGTCTCGAACTGAGCTCAAGTGATCCGCCCACCTCGGCTTTCCAAGGTGTTGGGATTACAGACGTGAGCCACTGCACCCAGCCTCAGGAGTGTTTGTTTGTTTCTTTCTTTCTTTTTTTTTTTTTTTTGAGACAAAGTCTTGCCCTGTCACCTAGGCTGGAGTGAAATGGCACGATCTCGGCTCACTGCAACCTCTACCTTCCGGATTCAAGTAATTCTCCTGTCTCAGCCTACCGAGTAGCTGAGATTATAGGTGCATGCTGCCATGCCCAGCTAATTTTTTGTATTTTAGTAGAGACGGGGTTTCACCATGTTACTCAGGCTGGTCTCGAACTCCTGAGCTCAGGCATTCCATCTGCCTCGGCCTCCCAAAGTGCTAGGATTATAGGCGTGAGCCACCACGCCAGGCAGCTGTGTTTATTTCTTTGTGGCTTGTCTGTTGGGTTTGTTCTGCTGAGAAATGCAAGGCCCTATCCCCTTCTTCTGTGTCTTGGGCAGACGGTATCAGCAGAGCAGTGATAAGCGTCCCCCAGTCAGCATATAGATCGGAGCTCCTGTACCTTGCTTTTGTAAAGAAATTATAAACCAGAAGGGGAGTCTGGCTGAATCAAAAGAGCCTCTAGGCTGAGCGGGCCCCTCTCTGAGGAGTAATATGTGTTGTATGAACAACAGGGATAGGGACATGGCAGACCCAGTGTCAAAGAGCAGAATGGGAATTGGGAAGGCTGATGGGAGGGTGAGGGAGATAGACGGCTCTAGATAGTGAAGTGGCAAATGTCTCTGGGCATTTGTGGCTAAGGCAGTAAGAGGCATCAAGGTAAGTTCCTGGTACTTCATCTTCCCAAGAGATAGCCTGATCCCAGCCCCAGGTGAGACTTGCCCCAGCAGTCTCACTCCTCTTTCAGAGGAGTGGTGGATTGGGATGAGGAGGTTCTAATCTGTTTCTAAAGAGAATGAATAGCTCCTTATCTACAAGTGTAAATTATAAAGAGATTTTCTTTTGCAACTTCAGGGAACAGGAACTTTTGCTGCCAAATTTAGCAATGTGTTTTAAGTCCCTCAAATCTTCTTTGAGTGCTACCAAAGCTCTGAGCTTTGTTGTTATCTCTTGTTGAAATACAGCCTGGAAAGGTCATATCAACAGTGCCAATTTATGGGCCTGCTGAGCCCAGACAGGCCTAGGGCAGAATAGGGAGTTCCTAAGAGTAGAGGCTTCACAAATTTTCTCTTTGAGTGAGGGTGTTTACAATGTAAGGTTATTTTTGCTTTAGAAGACCAAACTCTAGATGATGGTCAAACATCCTGTTCTTCAGCTTTTTTACTTCTGCAGGCTTCCACAGGCAGGGGCTCAGATTCGACAGTAGCTCCTTGTAGAACCAGGAGAAGCTTAGCCTCGATGGTGCATAGAGCTCCCAAAACTGTGCCCCGTACTCCTTAGTGGAGGTAAGTTTCCTTGCAGAGTTATGCTGGAATCTCCCTCCCATTTAGTTTATTAGCAATTTGTGACCTAATATGTGTTCTGATGGAGTAATTAAAAGATGGTAAAGGCCGGACACAATGCAATGGCTCACACTTATAATCCTAACACTTTGGGAGGCCAGGGCAGGAGGATTGTTTGAGGCCAGGAGTTTGAAACCAGCCTGGGCAACATAATGAGACCCCCATCTCTACAAAATAAATGAAATTAACCAAGCATGGTAACACATGCCTGTAGTCCCAGCTACTTGGGAGGCTGAGGTGGAATGATTGCTTGAGCCCTGGAGTTCAGGGTTATAGTGAGCTATGATTGTGCCACTGCACTCTAGCCTGGGTGACAGAGCAAGATCCTGTCTCTAAAATAATAATAATAATAATAATAATAATAATAATAATAATAATAATAATAAATACATGGTGAAGACTGAGGACTGTAGACACTACACGTGGAACTTTGTACTCATTTGCAAAGACCTTAGGACAAAAAGGTCTGACTTGTGTGTATATACTTTGCCACTTAGCAAAAAGGAATGCCAGTAGGGAAAGGAAATTAAGGAACTTGAATGACCCCAGCAACTATAAAGGAGTGTGCTCTGGTTTTGGGCACCTGTAGTCCCATCTGCTTAGGAAGCTGAGGCAGGAGGACTGCTTGAGCCCATGAGTTTGAGGCTGTCCTGCGCAATGATCACACCTGTGAATACACACTGCACTCCAGCCTGAGCAACATAGCAAGACACTGTCTCTTAAAAAAAAAAAAAAAAAAAAAAGAGAAAAAGGAGGATGGTACATGAGTGTGAGAAGAAAATAGCTAGGACATGTGAGACAAGCTTGGCAATGGCAGTGACCTTGGTTTGCAGTCTGTGGCTTGGACTCTGGCTGGTATGTTCTGAGAATTGAGGCTTTTGAATCTAGAAAGGAAAGAAAATACTGAAGTTTCTTATGTTCTCTGCCTCTCTCCAACCTCCTGATTGACTTATCCCTTTGGGTTGAAACATAAATGGAACAGGTAGCACTGTCCTTTCCGAGTCCCTGCCTCTCTGCATTTGAGTCATCACTGATGCTCAGGGTTTGCTCTTGGCTTGGCTGTGCTGGGAGAGCCAGTTGTGAAGATATTGGAGGTAAGAAGGGCTATTGGTTTTGTCAACTGAACTCTAATAAGTACCCAGGGGGAAGTGGCAGGGATCCAGGTTAAAAAGAAAGCAACCAGGGCAGGGTGCAATGGCTCAGGCCTGTAATCCCAGCACTTTAGGAGGCTGAAGTGGGTGGATTACTTGAGGTCAGGAGTTCAAGACCAGCCTGGCCAACATGGTGAAACCTTGTCTCTAAATACAAAATTAGCCGGGTGTGGTGGCCGGTGCCTGTAATCCCAGCTACTTGGGAGGCTGAGACAGGAGAATTACTTGAACCTGGGAGGCGGAGTTTGCAGTGAGCTGAGATTGTGCTGTTTCACTCCAGCCTGGGCAACAAGAGTGAAACTCCGTCTAAAAAAAAAAAAAAAAAGCAACCGGAAATTGTTGTTTTATTTAAATCTCATTAAGTGGAAATAGAAAAGCCTTTTTATTTTCTTTCCTACCCCCTCCAGTTGCAGGACCCACAACTGTTTGGTAAACCCAGGTGGGTTTTTTTTCCCTCCATTTAGATGTAGGTGCCTATTCTGCTTATGTGCCCAGATGGGTTTTCAAAGCAGTGATATCCAGACTTCTTTTCATCTGAAAAACACCGAAGGCCAGATGTCTACATGGCCTTGCAGGAAGAAGCTGAGCTTCTTCTGGAAAGCTGTAGAAACAAAAAAAGGCGGTGGAGACTGCAACACCTGTGCCATCCTCCTGGGTCCCTGATAGCCCTTAATGTTTTGTCATTGGGGGGGTTGGGATGGCTTTTATTTTTTGGTGTTCCCCAAAAGTTAATCCTCAGTCTGTTCTCTTTTTAATTTACAATCTTTCCCTGGGATTCCATCTTCTACTGTCACCAGTTAGAGAAAGCGAAGGAGTGAGGGGGAATCTAACTCTGCCTCTCTTGCTTCGGAAACTGAATGTATTTATTCATCCAATAAATATTTATGGAGCATTCCTTCTGTTCTAGGTTTTGTTCTGTATGCCGAGGAGGTAGAGATAACTAAGACATTGAAGTCCTTGTTGTCATGGAGCTTGACGTGTAGTGAGTGGGGAAGCATTTCAGTAAACAAGTAAACAAATCAATAGATGAGATCAAGATAGTGCTGTGAGCTCGGAAGGATATAATGGTGATGTAAAAGAGAGAGTAACAGGGACCTGAGAGGTTAGAGAAGGCCTCTGAGAATGACGTTTGAACTGTGAGCTCAAGGATGAGAAGAAGCCGTTAATGTGCAGATTTGGGGAAAGTTCCTTTCTGGAAAAGGGAACAGCTGTCAAAGCTCCTGAGGTAGGAAAGAGCTTGACATGCAGAAAGGACACCTAGGAAGTCATCATTGTTAGAATGTAGGGAGCAAGGGGGTGTCGGGGTGGAGGATGGTGGCACAACTTGGGATAAGGTATGGAAATTTGAGAGGGAGAGAGAGGAACATTGAATCTGATGGAGAAGAATCAGGAAAAAGAGTAGGGTGCTGGGCATGGTGGCTCATGCCTGTAACCCCCACACTTTGGGAGGCTGAAGCGGGAGGATCGCTGGAACCCAAGAGTTTGAAGCTTCAGTGAGCTATGATCATGGCACTCCAGCCTGGGCAACAGAGCAAGACTCTTTCTCAGAGAAAAGAATAGAAGAGAAGAGACAGAGCAAGACTCTGTCTCAGAGAAGAGAAGAGAAGAGGAAAGGGGGAAAGGGGGAAGGGGGAAGAGGGAAGTGGGAAGAAGGGGGAAGAAAGAAGAGGGAAGAAGGGGAAGAAAGGGGAAGAAGGAGGAAGAAGGGGGAAGAAGGGGGAAGGGGATAAGAATATGAGGAAACAGAAGGGATCTGAAGTGGGCATAGACATACCTGCTTAGCTAAGGAAGTCGAATTAATATAGTCTGCATACTTCTTGGGATCAAGCACTATGTATTTTTAAATTTTCTGCAGATTTTAGGTTAGCGGTAAGACATTAGTGTAATGTTTACTCTGTTCTAAGCATTGTGTTATACTAGGCATTTTTATTTCATTGTTTTAGTAAATCCTTACAATGATCTGTGAGTTAATTTGTTGATGTTGTAACATCTGCAGGGATGTGGAGTAGCTAACTTGCTTAAAATCTAAATCTAAGGCTGTTTGATTCCAAGCATGTGTTCTTGCCACACTTCCACTCTGGTTGGTATATCAAATGCAGCTCTTCTTTGGTTATCTAGAACATCTAATGAGTTTTTTCCTTTGTATCACTATGTGTTATTTATGGTCACATTTTGAATGTTTGCAGAATTGAATGAGTTTTTTTTAGCTTTCTCTGAAAGGGGTACCTGGTTAAATACTGAGAATGCGAGTCCATATAAACAACTGGGGAGGGTGGGGCTGTGGCAAGACTTGGAAGCAGTTAACCTGACTTACATCTCTCCCTCTGGGCAGGAAAAAAATGGCCTTTCTCCTTAACGCTCCATAAGTAGTTAGATGTCTTAGATTGCAATTCCCCCTATTGTATAAGAAGATGGAATTTACTTTTGGAAAAAGTAAGTAATTTGTCAGTAAACTAGTGTTTGTAAATAAACCCTGATTTCCTAGCGTACAGATCTCTTCTAGAGTCTTCAAGTTTGTTGGAAATGTTTGAGAAAAGAAATGTATCAGGCCACAAATTTCACTTCTTGGAAATTGAACATTGACTAGTTTCTATGGGTTGATACTTCTTTTTCTTTTTCGAGATGGATTCTCTGTCACCCAAGCTGGAGTGCAGTGGCATGGTCTTGGCTCACTGCAACCGTTGCCTGCCTGGTTAAAGCCATTCTCCTGCCTCAGCCTCCCATGTAGCTGGGATTACAGGCACACGCCACCATGCTTGGCTAATTTTTGTATTTTTGTAGAGAGGGTTTCACCATGTTGGCCAGGCTGGTCTTGAACTCCTGACCTCAGGTGATCTGCCCACCTTGGCCTCCCAAAGTGCTGGGATTACAGGCGTGAGCCACTGTGTCCGGTCCATACTTCTTTTTTTTTAAAGGTTTGATCCTGTTTGGATTCTATCAGTAGTGAAGGCCCGGGATTCTGAAATGAAAATGTATGCAGTGTTTATAAACTCTCATTCCTTGGTGTTCATGAGATCTGTGGTCAGCCCAATCAGCCTGCTTAGATGGAATAGTTTGTGAAGGGCAGAGCAGGGTGAGACTGAATTTCAGATTTAGCATAGATTGCTAGAAAACAGAGGAATTTCTTTGGTAAGTCACTGGATTTTGCTTTCCTGTCTCCCCTTCCCAGTCTGTTTCAGTAACAGACTTGCTTCTGAAGGAAAGATAATGTAGTTGGGAAAGGTTCCTTTACAGGGTGTTGTTCAGATGGTCTTCATCACTGATTCACAATGAGCAGACATTGAATGGTCATCTGCCATGAGCAGGGACACACAGATGGGTTGGAAGATGAGGCTGGAAAGACTGGCTGAGGTCAGATCTTTAAGGGATTGAACCATCCAGAAAGCGGGGAATCACTTTCCCCAGGAAGCAGGAAGGAAACACATTTGAATATGATTTGTAGAAAAGAAACCTAGGAGACCATGTAGAAGATGGAAATGGAGTGGGAGGAAACTTGCCTATTTTATTGGCTGTAACTGGAGGATGATATTCCAGTCCCTCAAAATTCATTTAGAGCAGAAAGTAAGGGAAGTCTCAGGGTGGGCGGGATCAGAACTCCAGATTGCAGAGCTTTCTAGAGCCCGTAGAGCAGTGGTTTTCAGACTTGACTGTGCACCAAACTCACCTGGAGAGCTTGTTAACCAATTTAGTAGAAATTTTTTAGTAAAAATTTGCATTTTTAACAAGTTTGGAAGTGATGCTGCTACTGTTGGCTGGGAACCCCACTTTGAGAACCACTGCTTAAGAGGCTTGGCAGCTGAGATGCCAATAAGGGTATGAGGGCCAGATGTTAATTGGCTTGCTTTCTTTTACTGACCCAGAATTTCATGTCTACAAAGCTTTACTTTAGATGTTCTTAGGTGGCTTACTCTAAAACATCAACAAAGCCTGGTAAAGGTCCATGCTCTCAATGACTCTTCTCACCAAATCCGTATCACTTCTGGATGAGATTTCCAGGTATGTGCTCGTCTTTAAACAGATGCTTGTCTGATTTTTGGAAAATGCCCATCCTGGGCACTTGATTTCATTAGGATTGGTGGCATTTCTGCCAGGAAAAGCTTCCCCCCGCCAGTCAGCACTACTACTGGCTGGCAGGGCTGTTTCAGGGACAGCCAGCAGGGGCTGCACAGAATGTGTTCTGTTGATTAGCCAAATTTACACAGGACATGCCTGGGAGATTATCTCTTTAGGCCAGGAGTTGAATTTCAAGGGCAAAGTCCACAGTTGGCAGCCGAAAGGCTGAGAACACCTGGAAGAGGGGAAGGATTTCACTTGACTTTCACTTCCCCAGGCCTCAGTGCCTCTTCCCACAGAGGCTGGGTTTTCTCCTTGTTGCTGCCTGAGCAGGTGACCTTGGGATGGTTCCCACAGAGCAGTGTGGCTCCAGGCACTGCCCTTTGCTGTCTACTTCAGCACCTGTGGCTTCAGGTGAGACACTTGCATTAGTCAATGTCAGCTGCCCTGTCCTCCTTGGCATCATCATTTCTTGAATTCTTTTCTGGGCTTGCTTCTTTCTTTGCGGGGAAGGCCTTCATTTTCCTTCATAGTCCATGACTCGCAGGTTTTCCCCGAGCTCTCCTTTTCTTACCTTCCTTCATTAGTTCAGTACAACTGTAGAATTCTGTTTCAATGTAGGAAGGGAGACGGCTACCCATACATAGCCTGAGACAACCCACCTGGGGCTCCTGTAGCCTCAGTGCTGTCCCCGGGGTGGAAGGACCACGTGGGTGGGTCCACACAGCTGTCGTCTATTTTGCGGATGCTCACTGGGAACTTGGATTCAGTCCTAGGTGCCTGGGAGTTGAGAGGTGAGAATACAGAGTGCTCAGGGTGGCAGAGTGGGGACTGGGACTCAGGTCTTCTCACCTCTGCCCATTTAGGGCCTTGCTGTGTATGTAACACTGAAACTGTGTTTCACATTAGCAGGCAGGCATCAAACCGTCTATCTGGCTAACTTTTGTTTAAGACATTTTTTAAAATAACAAAAGCAACACCAGGTGTTCTAAAAACTTTTGCAAAATGGGGAATACGTAAGGCAGAATATGAGCATCTTCTATAAACCCATGCCCCAGAAAAATAGTTATTGTTAACAGTTGGGTAGCACTGGGTTTTTTATTTATTTATATTTTTTATTTATATATTTAAACTAACATCCTTGAGCCATAAAGATTCTTTAAATGATGCATTTTTATGTACATTTAGTTTTACACGAAAAGTTTATGCTCTTAATTTAAAAAAATGGAAAGTAAGAAGTGTTGGTGAGAATGTAGAGAAGTTAGAATCCTCATACATTGTTAGTGGGAGTGTTAGCGGTGCAGCTGCTGTGGGAAAGTTTGATTATTCCCCAAAAAGCCCCAAATTGCCATATGACCCAGCAATTCCACTCCTAGGTATATGCCCAAAATAATTGAAAACAAGGACTCAGATTCTTGCATGCCAGTGTTCATTGCAGCATTATTCACAGCAGCGAGAAGGTGGAAACAACCCAAATGTTCACTGACTGACGAATAAACAAAATGTACAAACAATGTGCAAAGAAAATGTATAAACACAGTAATACAGACTGTGGACTATTCTTCAGCTGTGAAAGGAAGGAAGTTCTGATGCATACTACAATGTAGATAAACCTTGAAAATGCTGCCCTAACTGAAATAAGCCGTATATAAAAGCACAAATATTTTGTGATTCTGCTTATATAAAATATCTAGAAAAGGCAAATTCATAGAGACAGGAAAATAGATTAGAGGTAAACCAGGAGCTTGGGGAGAGGGGAGAATGGGGAGTTATTGCTTAATCATTGCGGAGTTACTGTTTGGAGAAGTTTGGGAAATAGTGGTAATGGTTGCACAACATTGTGAACATAGTTAATGCCACTGAATTGTACACTTTTAAATGGGGAATTTTATATACTTTACTGCAATTAAAAAATGGAAAGAAAAGATTATACTGTACTGAAAAACATATCACTTGTAATTTACCTAGGATATTTTTCTACCTCAGTATGTGCTTTTAAGGAGCAGCATTGCATTTCTTCAGAGGGATGTATCATAATTTATTTAACCAAGCCCCTTTTGACGGACAATTGAATTGTTTCTCAGTTGTTCCTGTTATATGCAGTACTGTAATGAACAGCAGTATCCAGCTGTCTTTGCCCATGTGTCCTAGTACTTGTATTTTATTTCCTTAGGCAGAATTCCTAGAAGGAAAGATTTGCTGATCAAAGGGTGTGCTCATTATAAATGTTAAATTGCCAAACTGCCTTCCAAAGAGGTTGCATCAGTGTACTTCTCATCAGCAGGGTATGGAGGTGCCTCTTTCCACTGCGCCCTGGCCCAACACAGGTGTTATACATTTTTTTACTCTTCGCCAATCTGATAGGTGAAAAAGGATTTCTTATTGTTACTTTATTTAGGATGTCTTCAGTTATTAATGAAATTAGCATCTTTTTATCTTTCTGGTAGTTGATTTTATTCCTTTGTAAATTTTCTGCTCAAATACATTGTTAATTTTTCTCTTTGGTCACTATTTTATCTTGTAGACTTGTGAGAGCTTTTACATACATACGGCATTAGGACTCTTTGCCATATGTGTTGCTGATAATTTTTCCCCCAATAAAAATTTTTTTTGACTTTGTTTATGCTAATTATTTGCCTTTCACATGTTTTACATTTTTATTTAGGCAAATATTTTCCTTCAAGGTGCTTCCCCTCATCTCGCTTCTCGGCTGTGGAGTTGAATTTTCTGTCATACTTGGAAAAATCTTCTTCACTTGTCAGAATCACAAAAAAAAATTTATTCATGTTTTCTTTTAGTGTTTTCTTGGTTCCAGTTTTTACATTTAAACTGTAATTAATTTTGCTGTAAGGAGAGAAGTAGTAACTAAATTTTCTTTATTTGTGTGTGTGTGTGTGAGATAGCGTCTCACTCTGTTGCCCAGGCTGGAGTGCAATGGTACGATCTCAGCTTACTGCAACCTCTGCCTCCCGGATTCAAGCAATTCTCCTGCCTCAGCCTCCCAAGTAGCTGGGATTACAGGCACCCACCATCATGCCCAGCTAATTTTTGTATTTTTGTAGAGACGGGGTTTCACCATGTTTGCCAGGCTGGTCTTGAACTCCTTGACCTCAGGTGATCCACGCGCCTTGGCCTCCCAAAGTGCTGGGATTACAGGCATGAGCCACCATGCCCAGCAGGAATTACATTTTGTTGATAAGAAAACCTAAGATAACCTTTTTTTCTATTAAATTTTTTCTTTACTAAAAATTTGTGAACTTCTTTTCACTTAAGGATGTACCATAACAATTAAAAACATTTTCTGTGACATTAAAGAAATATTCCTTTTTTTTTTTGAGATAGGGTCTTGCTCTGTAGCCCAGGCTGGAGTGCAGTGGCATGATCTCAGCTCATGCAACCTCCTCCTCCCAGGTTCAAATGATTCTCATGCCTCAGCCTCCCAAGTAGGTGGGACTACAGGCACATGCCACCATACCCGGCTAATTTTTTGTATTTTTAGTAGAGATGGGGTTTCACTAGTTGCCCAGGCTGGTCTTGAACTCCTGACCTTGAGCGATCCGCCTGCCTCGGCCTCCCAAATTGCTGGGATTACAAGGTGTGAGCCACTGTGCCTGGCTTAAAAGAATATTTCTGATTAAGTTTACAAAAAAAAAGCCTTTAGTGAGAGAGGCAGATTAAAAATTTCACCCAAGTCTTCTGATTCCTAATCCTGTTTTTTGTTTGTTTTCTCTTATCCTATATACGATACAACCAGATTTCTTTTGTTAATGTTTGGGGATAGTTGCATGAATCCCCTTTGCAAAACTTTCCAGTGCTTCCTATGTGCAATTGTATTGACATGCTGGACCTAGATCTTGTGACGTAGAAGCTTCTCCCTTAAAAATTTTACCTGCTTTGATGAGCTCACCCTGGCTGAGGTGGCAGCAGGTGGGCAGCTGGTACTGAGGAGAGGCAGTAGGCCAAAGTCTAAGCAGGTATTAAGACCCAGAAAGGGTGTGGCTTTTGGAGAAGAGCAGCTTGAAAGGTGTGAGGAAATGGAGCTGCTTTGGGAACAGATTCAGGAAGGTTTTTGAAGTGAGAGAAGGAAAAGAAATAATGTTTATTTAGTACCTACTTATGTCCCAGACACTAAGCTAGTCAGGTCCCACCTAACTGTATTTTAAAAGGCAGCTTTTAGTGCTGGATCAACCTGGGGTTGTTTTTCCAAGGGTTGTGAACTTGCGAACTCAGAAAAGAAAAGTTAGAGTTTAGGAGACCGAGAAAAGCAGGATTTAGCGAGCATCATTTCTGCTCCATCAGCCAGGGGCTTAAACAGAATTTTTCTTTGAGACTGCTCTCTTTCTTTGCTCTGTTGCACGGGCTGGAGTGCAGTGATGCTATCACACCTCACTGCAGCCTCTACCTCCTGGACTCAAGTGATCCTCCCACTGCAGCCTCTGGAGAAGCTGAGATCATGGGCACGAACCACCATGCTTGGCTAATTTTTAAAAATTTTGTAGAGATGGGGCCTTGCCGTGTTGCCGAGGTTGGTCTCGAACTCTTGGGCTCAAGTGATCCTCTTACCTCAGCCTCCCAAAGTGCTGGGATTACAGGTGTGAGCCACTGTGCCTGGCCCAGAAATGTTTTTAGTAGAAATAGGCTAAGTAAGGAAGCAGGAGAAACCACTTCCAATCAGCATACATTCGTTAGGCCCCTGCAGGACCAGCGCACAGACATATAGCACTTACCTTCTTGGAACTTAATAGTTTAATGGACAAGACATATGAAAAGCCAGTATACTGCATTGCAGTTTATGCCACCCTAGATGTTTCACTGGGAGGAAAGGATTAATTGAGTTACTGGTGGGAGGAGAGTGGGGAAAAGGAGGGCATGGTTTCACAGAGGAAATGGTGCTGGTACAGATTTTGAAGGAGGCATAGTTCCTTTATAAGGAGACAGGGCAGGGAGGGGCATTCCAGGTAGAAGGATTTGCATGCACAAAGACAGGAGTGAAGCTGTAAGTGTAGAGTGTGCAGGGAAGTCCCAGTTGGTCGTGTTTGTTGTCCTTGGCAGGGTAGATTGAGGAGTGTCAAGATAAGACTCCAGAGACAGGTCTCAGGGCTGGCTCTTGAAAGGCTGGATTTACCAGTGTCCTGCCTACCAGACCACCCCAAAACATAGTGGCTTAAAACCACAATACTTGCCTGGTTCTGGGGTTGTTGCTCGGGGTCTTCTTGGATAGTTTTAGTTAGATGGTGGGGGCCTCAGCCTCCTGAGTAGCTGGGACTACAGGCATGTGCCACCACACTCTGCTAAATCTGCTATTTTTTTATTTTTTTATTTTTTGTAGAGATGGGGCTCTTGTTGTGTTGCCCAGGCTGGGAGTTCAGTTTTAGACACTTCTTATTTCTTAACATGAATTCACTTTTCACATTATGGATTTGTCTGATTGTTTCTTTGGGGTATTGTTCAGGTTCTTCCTCTCTGCCCTGTGTATTCTATAAACTGTAACTTAGATCTAGAGACCTGATTAGATTTAGGTTAAGCATTTTAGGGAGAAAACAACCCTTTATGAATGATGCAGCAGATCAGAGGCACATGATGTTTGGCTGGCCCATTATTATTGATGCTAAGTTTGATTACTGGTTAAGGTAGGATCAGCTAAATTTCTCCATCGTGAAATTATAGTTTTCATTTTGTGACTAGCAGGTAATCTGTGTGTGACCTTTGGCATTGTTCCCCATTAATCTTGCACGTAAGTTGTTTTATTGTTAAACTTTTTGTTATGGAAAATACCAAGCATAACCAAAGTAGAGAGAATAGATGACTACTGCTGTGTCCACCATCCAGCTTCAACCATTATCTGTAACTATTAACTAATAACTATGACTATTAACACATGAACTAGCTTGTTTTATTTCTATTCTTGTCCAGTACTCTTCCTTTTTTACCACTGAATTTTGTGAAGCAAACTCCAGGCATCATACCATTTCCTCCATAAATGCTTCAGAATGTATCTCCAAAAGGCCTTTCAGAAGTGTATTGGATGTGTGGTATCTGACTAGCAATTTTTAGGTGTGCTTACAAAGGAATGGAGAATACCATAGTTAGAGCTTTTTAGGTAGGTACAGTGGAAAGAGAAAGGAGCTGTGGATTTGAGATGGATCCATTTGTGATGAATCATGGATTTCAGCCTGGATTGGCAGAAGGAAAGGCCAAGAGGTGGCTGATATACTCTAGGAAAAAGGCCTAAGGGAACAGAGGCCTGGCCAAGTTCAGAGAGCAGCTGTCAGGTAGTGAATGGTCAAAAGATAGACAGGAAGGGAAATTGTGGTCAGACAGTAGAGGGCAAGGTTTTGAGATGGGTACGCCAGGTTCAGGGTTTGTGCAAAAGTGTGGGTGACTCAAGTGGAAGTGGAATTGATGTCAGGGAATCAGTTGTGAGCTAAGAGTTTTGAGTGGATCCATCCACATAGCTATTGAAGTTGCCAGGGTGGAGAGAGCGCCCTCAGGGAGAGCCTGGTGTGTGTGAGGGCAGGAGATGGTGCACAATTCTGTGAAGAGTTTGAAGATGTGGGGTAGTTGCTTTACTGCAGAGCTGGGGCACTGTGGAATCGGTTGAAAGCTTAGCCAGTGGTGGAAGAAGACAAGGTGAGAAAAGTGCAAGACAACCATTCTAAACAGTTTTAAATGTATTGTGCTCTGTTGGACATTGCTGCCCACTGGTTGGAGTGGAGGAAATTAATGAGGTAGGGGGTTAATACTGAAGAGGAAAAGAATTGTGATACATAGGTGGGGTTGAAGCAGGAGCCCTTGAGAGGAAATGCAGTGAGCCCCTCTTCCTGTTTTATCCCTGAGGGATCCCTTTGCATAGTAACCCCAATGCTTTTCTGGTTGGGGTTTGTTTTGGTAGGTAGTCTTTGTGAAGATCTGTGTTGCATTCTTTACACTTCACTTACAGGGTTTGGATGGGTTGAGTAGAGAAGGGGTGGCCGTCCCTGAGTGAAGCAGTGGTCCAGAGAACCCACCCCAGCATTTTCTTGCTGCTGGCGACCACTTCCCTCTTAAACATCTAGAAAGCCCTTGATGCCCAGGACTAAAGGTAGAGTGACCCCTTTTCTGAGCACATCATATTCCAAACTTTGTCTCTAAACTACCAGGGAAGGCATGCATGTCTCCTAGGTAATAGCCATCAAACTTAGAGGAAAGAAGCACATTGTAGGTGTCAGAGTTTTGGAGAGCTTTGATTTCAAAAAGTCGTGGATTTGTAGATGAGCTAGAAATTAAAACTTGAAATAATTCTTCTTCTCAAAGATAGTGTCTCTTGAAATAATTCTTTGAGAATGATCATCACTGAAGGAGATGAGATTAAAAGGGAGTTGAGAGAAAAGAAGGCCTACCTGGCCAAATGCCAGCATCTCCTGGATTCTGAAGCAAACAGGAGTCTGTGCCCATGGACGTTAGACGTGGGATGATTTCTCACTATCTTGCCAGACACCTGTGTTTAAGGGAGTGACTGACCGACACACTTGCTTACGTGTTTTTATGAGTTTTAGTGTTGAGAGAAAAGTTCTCCTCTTAGGCTATGTTTAGAGTTCACTTCCTGCTGAGTTTACTGGTGTGTGTGCAGCAGAAATGCCAGTTCTGGCCTGGCATGATGGCATGTGCCTGTAGTCCCAGCTACTCAGCAGGCTGAGGCGGGAGGATCGCTTGGCCCAGGAGTTCAAGTCCAGCCTAGGCTGGGAAACGTGTCCCTGTCTCTTAAAAAAAAAAATGAAAAAGAAAACTGTCAGCTCTGCTTTATGCATCTTCTCCTTGAGGATGATGATACTTACTTACATATAAATCTTGCCTTATAGCATAGAGCATATTTTCATATACATTGTTTCTTCAGATTTATATCCTGTCCTCTCAGAGGAGAAAATTGATGTGTCTGGCTGCAGTTGACATAAAAACACCCTACTGTACTTTCCATGGCATAGTGGAAGGAATGCGAATTTTGAAATCAGTCCTGGTTTGAATTGTGGCTCCTCCTTTTACTAGCTGTATGACTTGGGCCTTGGTTTTCCTGTTTGGTAAAATAGAATTGGTAACATTTACCTCATAGGATTGTGTTACAGTATTAAATGAATTAACATAATTAACACCTGGGAACAATGCTTGGCACACAGTAGATAACTGGTAAAGAGAGGCCATAGTCATGTTAATAACATAGAAACAGAAATAACATCAGCACCGAAGAAAAGGAGAGCATGCAGCTGTTCTAATCTTGTTTTTTTTTGTTGTTTGTTTGTTTGTTTTCTTTGAGACATTGTCTTGGTCTGTCGCCCAGGCTGGAGTGCAGTGGCGCAGTCAAGATCACTGCAGCCTTGAAGCCTCGACCTCCTGGGCTCAAGTGATCCTTCCGCCTCAGCCTCCTGAGTAGCTAGGACTCCAGAGGTGCACCACCATGCCCAGCTAATTTTTAAACTTTTTGTAGAGATGGGTTCTTGCCATGTTGCCCAGCCTGATGTCAAAGTCCTGGTTTCAAGAGACCTCCCGCCTTGGCCTCCCAAAGTGCTGGGATTACAGGCATGAGCCACCATGCCTGGCCTTCCTAATCCTGTTCATTAACGTGATTGCTGTGAATGGCCTTCTCCTTGGCAGTCAACATACCACTTTCTCAAAGGACAAAGTTATTTAAATGAGTTTCATGTTTTAATGAAATTTATATGGATATGTAAGGCAATATTGAATGATATAATAGTAATTTTTACTTTTTTTAAACCAAGAAGTATGTTTTATTTATTTATTTTTTTCTTGTTTTTACCACTACAGCGACAGTTTCCTTGCTATTTTTATAACCAGTGCTTATGCAGTCTTGGTTTTCTATAGCTCTCACAGAGACTGCAGACAAAATGCAGATGTTTTACATGAAATTGCAACTTAGTGAAAACCACTCTGTGAGGAGCTGAGCTAATGACATCTGTGTAGCTTTCAGGTGATCTGCTAGAAAATGGAGCCTAAAATATGCAGGGGCATGGATTTATATCATACCCCTTAGACAGTCTTCCTTAAATATCACTTCTTTCAGATGGAATTTTGTGAAGAGTTGGACAGTAATTCAAGACCCCGAGTTCTGTAATAGCTTCTATATTCTGTATTTCCAACTAAAGGCAGACCCATAGACTTTGGAAAACAGGTAAAAGGATTGACTTCCTACCAGCTAGAAATTGGAGCCAAGTTAGAGCCATGTAACTTGTATTCTTGCTTCTATTAGAACATTATTTTGTTTAATCCTTATACTAGCCTGGGAGGGAAGGGGGCTGACCTAACAGTTAATTCTTTCTTAAGTATCAGGTATTGGCCTTTCCTTCCATGTACAAATGGGAGGCTGGCTCAGTGCTGAGGGACCAGGTGAAGGAGTGCATTCCTCCCTTCTCTTCTCTGTCATCTCTTGGGTCACACATGCTAGGCAGGAGTTGCCCTTTGCCTTATCTGTGCGACTGCTCATGATCTGGAAATGACTGCCATCACTCCTAGATAACACCAGCCCTGGGCTTTTGCGGAATGAAGCCCACATTACAAATCATGGGATTATAGTGACCAGGGAGAGGTCCTACTTGGGAGGGAGTGATTCTTCCTGAAGGTGAAAAACAGCAGGGCAGGGAGGCGACTACCTTCATGAAGTGCTCCTTGGTCTGTATCCTCCTTTTCGGTTAGAGGCAGGAAGAGTGAGGGGAATTTCAGCCACAGAAGAGTTTGCGTGTGTGTCATTTTATCCTCTGGTGACTTTTCCTCTTCGCAGCAGTGATCCCAGAAAACAGGAAAAACTGCTATGATCACAATCAGTTTTTAATGTAAAGAAAAGCTGATGATGGTTTTTCATTGACACGGCAAATTCAGGATTTGGGGCCTGGGGATGAAGCTGACGGTCTGTGAAAGTGCAGGCAGCCAGCTCCTTGGATGAGGTCCAAGTCCAAAAGCCTAGGGGTAAAAGTAAAAGGATGGCTTAATTTCAATGGACACCCGTGGCATCTTAGATGTTGTACCTTCCTGTGGCTTCTTAGCAACTACTCTACCATGTGGCGGCTGTGTTAGAGGGGGTACTACATCCAGAAAGAAGACACGTGCCAGTAGAACTTCCATGCTGCATCATAGGTGGCCACAGAGCCATTACTTCCCTGTTTAGTTTCAAGTTGTAGATGTTTCGTATTTGCCTAAACACAAGATCGGCTTATGATTACCCGCTGGCTTACCAGCCCACTTTTTTTCTCACTCTGTTTCTTTTCTTTTTTTTTTTTTGAGAAGGAGTCTTACTTTGTCACCCAGGCTGAAGTGCAGTGGCACAATCTCGGCTCACTGCAGCCTCCACCTCCCAGGTTCAAGCCATTCTCCTGCCTCAGTCTCCCAAGTAGCTGGGATTACAGGCGTGCGCCACCACGCCCAGCTAATTTTTGTATTTTTAGTAGAAACAGGGTTTCACCATGTTGGCCAGGCTGGTCTCGAACTCCTGACCTCAGGTGACCCACCCGCCTCGGCCTCCGTAAGTGCTGGGATTACAGGCATGAGCCACTGCACCTACCCATCTGTTTCTTCAGCTTCTCATTATCTCACCAATTCTAGAGAAACAGAGTTGCTGGTTGTGTAGGCTAAACTAAGGCCACTGTGATGTCATTGCTTTTGTCTCCTTTGACACCCTTTTTTTTTTTTTTTGTTACTGGGTCTTGTTCTATTGCCAAGGCTGGAGTACAGTGGCACAGTCACCACTCACTGCAGCCTCGACCTCTTGGGCTCAAGTGATCCTCCTACCTCAGACTCCCAAATAGCAGGGACCACAGGCATGCACCTCCCTGTCCATGCCTGGCTAATGTTTTTTTTTTTTTTTTTCGGTAGAGATGGGGTCTCCCTGTGTTGTCCAGGCTATTGGTTACCTTCTTTATCATAGTTCAATCCTGAGGGTGTTTCCTTGGCCTTCTGAATGTGTATGAGGGATGGGATCTGAAAAGTCTCCTCCTCTGGGGCTGATCTTATGACAGACTTTATGAAGTTCTACCCAAGAATCTTTCCTTCGCTCACACACTTCGCTCACCAAAGGAGCTGGTCCTGTGGCAGGTTCAGAATCTGTGAAGTGAAAAACGTATTAAAATTTTGTATGGAATTTGAGAACTGTGTAGTTCTGTCTGTACTCTCTGCTCTTCAGTCACAAACAGCTCTCCCAGCTGTCCTCCTCACTCTTGCCTTCTTTGTTCTTGTTGCTGAAAATGCCCAACCTGGATGAAAACCTCTAAGCCTTGCTCTTCCTCCTGGCTCTTCGTTTCGGTAGAGCTTTTGTTATACTTCTGTCTATGATATCTCCCTCTTTTTCTGCTTACCTTTTCCGTTATTTCAAGTAAAACTCATCTGCTATTACCAGATTGTCCTTATTTTCTTTTTGCGTGAAATTAACTAGCTTTATTGATTTTTCTAATAAAAGAAATACATGCTCATTGAGGAATATTTGGACAATAACAAAAAATATTAGGAAGAAAGTAAAAGTCACATAATCCCCTATAGCATAATTATTGTTAATTTGTGGTGTATCTTGTCCTTTGGGATCTTCTTCATATGTGTTAACATATATTGCTTTTTCCCCCAAAGTGCCATCATTTTTCACTTATATTTTGTAACCTACTTTTCTGACTAATATTACTTGGATATATTCCACAGACAGTACATACAGAGCTACTCTATAATGTTTAATGCTGCATAGAATTACATTGTATGGATGAATTGTTATTTAGTTAACCTGACGATGGACTTTTGGGTTGTTTCTGTTATTAATAGCTATGTGGGCCAAAGCAGGAGGATTGCTTGAGGCTAAGAGTTTGAGACCAGCCTGGGCAACGTAGTGAGATGCTATTTCTAGAAAAAAGTAAAAAATTAGCTGGTGTGGTGCTACATGCCTGTAGTCCCAGCTTTTCAAGAGGCTAAGGTGGGAGGATCACTTGAACCCAGGAGTTGGAGGCTATGTTGAGCTGTGATTGTGCCACTGCACTCCAATCTGGGCAATAGAGCGAGACCCCATCTCTTTGGGAAAAAAAAAAAAAAAAAAAAGGTAAGTGGTGGCAAATATCTACATATCTGTATAGCTGTGCCTACTTGTATAACTTCAGGATAGTTATTGCTAGAAGTTTCTAAAAATGGAATTACTGGTTCGAAAGCTATGTAATATACTTAAATTATTTAACAATATCTTTTTTTTTTTTTTTTTTTTGAGACAGAGTCTCACACTGTTGCCCAGGCTGGAGTGCAGTGGCGTGATCTCGGCTCACTGCAAGCTCTGCTTCCTGGGTTCATGCCATTCTCCTGCCTCAGCCTCCCGAGTAGCTGGGACTACAGGCACCCACCCCCACGCCCGCCTAATTTTTTTGTATTTTTAGTAGACATGGGGTTTCACCGTGTTAGCCAGGATGATCTTGATCTCCTGACCTCGTGATCTGCCTGCCTTGGCCTCCCAAAGTGCTGGGATTACAGGCGTGAGCCACTGCGCCCGGCCAACAATATCTTTTAAAACTTGGAAAAGTATATGGAAAAGTGAAAGGTTAATATAATAAAAATCTATGTACCCATCATCCAAATTTCATAAATGTAACACTGTACCATATTGGCTTCAGATCTGTTAACATAAATTTTTTTTAAGTTTGACAAATATGTACTCATGCTTGGAGGCTCAGGAAAAAAAATTGGACAAATATGACTAAAGCTTTCTGCAGTCCTTTCCTCCTCCTGATACTGATAAAAGCCTCATTACTGTGCATATCTTATCCTTTTACATACATGTGTCCATAAATAATGTATAGTATTGTGTTTTAAAATGTTATACACATGATACTATTCTTGCAGGCAAACCTTTTGCAGGTTGATTTTTTTTCATTCAAAGTCATTTCTAAAAAGTTTTCATGTGTAAAATCATTTGGTTTAATTGGTGTATAATGCACCATTATATGGCAGTGAGAAATGGTTAAAGTCTAATTTTTGTGTATTACAGACACTATTGTAATGACTGTGCAAGAGTTTGTGTACGCCAGCTACCTAGGAATGGAAGTGATGTGGTGGGGAGTATGATTCTTTAGCTTTACTAGGTAATTCCAGATTGTTCTCTATAGTAGTTGTTATGTGTTTACCACCAATGTATATAAGTGTTCATTTCCCCTTATTTTTGCTAACACTTGGAGATCCCATGCTTCTCAGTATTTTCCAGTCTAAGTATGATATAATATCTCATCACTTTAATTTGCATTTTCCCAATTTATCAAAGAGATTGAGCAATATTTTATTTTCTTTGAATTCTCTGTTCATATCTTTTACTTATTTTTCAGTTGGGTTTTCGTCTTTTTCCTTTAGAAGTTCTTAATATGTTCTGATTTTTAATCACTTGTCAGTTATGTGCTCTGTAATTATTTTCTTCCTGTCTGTGGCTTATCTTTTAACTTTGTATAGGTTATCCTTGTGAGGTTATGTGTGTGTGTGTGTGTGTGTGTGTGTATTCCTAAATTGTTTTCCAGAAAAATTATACTGGTTTACAGAACATCCAACAGTATATGAGAGTGCCCAGCTTGCCACACCCTGCCTGACTCTGGGAATAGTTTTATCATCTTGCCCAGTGTAATAGACAAAAAGTGGTATTGCCCCTTCTTTGGTGGCTTTTCCTAGAACATTCCTACCTCTTTGTTATAGCCAAAAGCTGGCTTTTCCCTGAAGATCTTACTTTCCTTGTGACCCTCTCCAATGAAGCCACCTCACCTCCTCCCAACTCTCGCTCTGAACTCCCCACGTTGCTTCCAAGCCCGGGCTGGCAACCTTTCCCATGAGAAGTTAGTCCCTCCTCTGCTCACTCTTGGTGCCCTTACCTGCCTATTGACTTCAGGCTAACTGTTAACAACCTTCTTCATATGTCCTCTTTTTGGCATAATTAGGATTTGAGGATTCATACTGAGAATCCATCAATGCTCCGGCCTCACAGTCCCTCCATCCTTCCAACTCTAAGGACTTCGTCTTTATTCCTCTTCGGGTACCTTTGGCTTTATCACTTGGAGCAGTTTCACTTTTAGGATGCTGAACTCGGAGATTCCCTTCCCTTCCCTGGTCTCCTGTCTGTTTCCACCTCCCACTCCTTCGCTGTCCCCTCCCAAGAGCTGGCTCTCCAGCTCTTCTCTGCCTGTGTAGCCTCTTAGCCACCCTGGCCACTGCCTACTGATTTTTCTGTTCAGCCTGAGCTTCAAAGGTAGAAATTCTCATCCTGCACTTGCTGCTTACCTCAGTTCTCTCTCTCCCTTGTCCCTCCTGTGATCATTAGCCCTCGTGGACCACTTGAACAGATTTTTCTGCCGTAGCCCCTAGACCTCTGAGTATTGCTTCATCTTTCAGAAGCATAATCTCTGACCCATCATTCTTTTCTCAGAAAACTTCTGTGATTCCCCAGAGAAAAACTAAGATCCCTGATTTGGCTCTCAGAGGCCTCTAAGAGCCGACATGTCTCTGTCTTTCCAACTCTCTTTCTCCCTGGTCTACTTTCAATTAAACTCCCATCAGACTGACAAACACTTTGTTGTCCTTCATACGTCTTCTGCTTTCCTGCTTCCAAGCCCTTGTGCATGTAGTTCTATCTGTGTAGGAATACCCCTGTATTCTTTTGCCATTTGATCTTCCAGGCCTAGCACAAGGGTCACCCTCTCTGTAAAGTGTTCTTGATCCTTTATTTGGAAGTAATCTCCTTCTACCTAAGCTTCAACATTGTATCTCTCTAATGGCATCTCTCTAGTGGCACTTAATTTCATCTTTCTAATGGCACTTAAAATAGTCTTCCTGGTATTTATGAGATTTATATGTCTATTGTATTCACCCTACAGAGTGGAAGCTCCTTGAGGATGGACCCATACCTGATGCATTTGGTGTCCAAACAGCACTAAACATATTGGCTTATGCATGGTTGGTGTTTGGTGTATATTAGCTGAATGGATGCATGACTGTAAGTATGAATGGAAGGAGGAAAGATGGTTGTCCTGGCTTCCAGGAACCATAGTTACAATTTCATACTGCCCCCCTTCTCCTGCTCTAGCGAGAAAAGAATCAGACTCACAGCTTGACCCAGGCCAACACAGGAATAGTTCAAGCTCCTGGCCCACACTGCACCTGGGGGAGCCTGAAGCTTGTCCTACCGTGGGAGCAGGAGCCTTGAGTACCAGGAATTTCAATGGGATGTTTTTGAGTTTAGGAAGTTAGGCTGGCTGCATTCCATGACATGCAAGGGAGAGGATTTTGGAGTAGCACAGAAAATGGAAACCTTGGCCGGGCGTGGTGGCTCACGCCTGTAATCCGAGCACTTCGGGAGGCTGAGGCGGGGCGGATCACCTGAGGTCAGGAGTTCGAGACCAGCCTGACCAACATGGAGAAACCCTGTCTCTACTGAAAATACAAAATATTAGCCGGTGTGGTGGTGCATGCTTATAATCCCAGCTACTCAGGAGGCTGAGGCAAGAAAATCACTTGAACCCGGGAGGTAAGAGGTTGTGGTGAGCCGAGATTCCACCATTGTACTGCAGCCTGGGCAACAAGAATGAAACTTCGTCTCAAAAAAAAAAAAAAAGAAAGAAAGAAAGAAAGAAAAGAAAGAAAAAGGAAACCCCGAGCATGCTTTTGGCAGAGGTAGGTGCAGAGAGGCTGGAGAGCATGGTAACCCAGAGGGGAGGGTTCTGTTTTTACCAAGTCACACCACTTTCCTTCCTCCATACCTGCTAGGGCTGAGCCTCAGTTGAATGTGAGAAAAACGCTATGGGTGTGATATTTGCCACTCTCTCTGCCTTGGGACCTTGAGTCATAGTCTCATTCTTCATCTCAAACAGTCTTCTGTCTCATTCTGTCCAGCTACTGTTTGTCCTTTACAGTCTGGCTCACATTTCCTCTCCCACAGAAGCCCCGTCCAGAGCTGCTCTGTCCCCTCCACCACTCCATTGTCCTGTCTTTCTAGTTTGTGTCCCACACTTGCATCGTTTGCTGTTGTGTCTCAGTGCCCTACATTCGTCTGTGAGCTCCCCACATGTAAGAATCACATCTCATGTTTTGTTCTCTCAGCTAAAACAAAGTGGTGATCAATAATTACTGTCAATGTTATTAGGGAGCCTGCTATTGGAACTTGGAAGATTATCAGTAGCAGAAAAACTGAAGTGGGAATGGAAAGACGTGAAAGTAGAACTTAGCCTGGGCTAGTTCTCCAGAGTCTTGAGTCTGGGGAGGAACTGCCCTTTCATCTTTACCATGGGTTTCTTGAATTCTGGCTTCTGAAGCTCTGCCTTTCGACAGTAATCAGCATTTAGGCAGGTGACAGAATCAGGTGTTCAGGGTGTGCCCTCCAGGGAAGAAGAGAGAGAGGTGATGGCCGGCACCCCATGCAGCAGTGACTAATGTGGGCCAAACTGGCACCATGCCTCCCAGCCCCCGGGTACGTGGGAGCTGTAGGCACACATGGTAGATTGGAGCTGGAGGGATCATTTACCAGCCCTTCCCTGAGCTGGAAGCAGGCGGGGAGCAGCAAGCCAATTGGCAGACTTGCCTTTTCTGCCTTAAAGTACTTTGTTTCTGTTGCTAACAACAGACATGGGTAGTATAAATAAAACACAGACACACAGGCACATAGACACATGTGGAGACTGAATATTTGAGCTGTCAGGGGCAGGGGGAGGGTGGATGTGGACGGGGACTGAAATGTGTGGCTAAGCCTCTCAAGATAGTGTGCACTAGGTCTTCTCTTCAGCCTTGGAGATGGGTGTAGTGTAAGGGGTGGCTGTGTGGAAGGCCCCCTGAAAGCAGTCAAGTAGGAAGTGATACTGTCTGGATGCCACAGGCTTCAAAGACTAGGTGCTCGTTATGGCTGGATGCAGTCCTCATTAGGCAGACTCTTTCGAGCTAGTTGCTGGTGATCCAAGGGCCAATGGTAACTTCTTTCCTTCTGTTCTGCCCTTTCAAGGCTTGACTCATTGATCCCCGTTAGTGCTCACATGTGGTATAATGGTCAGCAGCTGCTGTGGCCTTTCTGGCTGACCTGAGCTGTACAAGCCAGCATGCCTAAATATGTGACTGTTGTTTTGGGTAAGCTCCTGAAGGATGTGAGCTTCCTTAGTAGAGACTGAGACCCATTCAGCCTCTCTGGAAAAGATGGTCTTAGTAGGAGGCTGAATAGTTCATGCTATAAAAAGCAACAGCTAAGTCACATGTGAGATAAGCTTATTCAGAGACTTGAGGTTCAGGTAGATTACAGGGAGGATGGATGATGAGGAAGACTGTGAGTCTCCACTGCTGGAAATATAAGTAGGGATGGGTTAGGTGTTCTCTCTTTTTTTTCCCTGGGTTGAACATTATATTCCCTGGTATCTAAGATTACATCAAGAGAGCCTCTTCTGGTTCTGGGAAAAAGAATAACTGTATTGATAGGAATTTTAGAGCACTCCCAATGTGTGTAGCTTTGAGCACTTGATTCACAGATATCTCTGACACTTGGGATGATCATCTGATGGTGTGGGCATTTGGAGTAGCTCTTAGCTGGTCTCTCTTTTCCATCTTACTGCTTTCTTGGACCATATGTGACAGGCCTAAGGAATGTCCAACAGGAGGTACCTTTGGTCCATATGAATACCAAGTCAGTAATAGTTCCAATCTTCTAGAAGCAGTGAGACGCCACTCCAGTCTGAGGGTGAGACATGAAAAATATGTGGGCCTTTTCCCCAGTCATTGATATAGCAACATTTGTCTCCCCTGGGCAGGGGGAAATGAATTAGGATTACCCTCTGGGTTGAGCTTACAAGTCTGTCTTAGGATCTCTTTTTTACCGAGGTAGCCCTCTTGGCTATCCAAGGTGGGGTGCCTGGGTGGGGGTGGCACACTGGAAGCTCATAGCAGCTGCTTCTCTCCAGGCACTGTAACTCACTAGCAGCTTAGGACTAGATGTGAGGCATGTATCACGTGGCATTTGTTACTACAGGAGTTAAAGGACCAAAGTAATCTTAAATGGGTTACCTATTCTTATAATTTAGAAGGTATGCAAGATTATACCTATAATAATAGCAAGCCCATTCACTCTCTCATAAGCTTTCTTAAATAAGAGAGGGAAGGGTGGAGTTACTCCTATGGTCAGAATTGCAGATTACCCTTTTTCCCTAAAGAGGCCTAAGGGTTGGCTCCCATGTGACCCCCATCATCTCTGTAGTCAAGTAGCATCAGGCCTAGGAACCCCTAAGGAGATCATTCTCTCTCTGTTCCCTGGCTTAGGGCAGGGATGTGAGGCTTTTGCCTGGCACTAAGGAGAGGTAGTTGACCATGGCTATTATTGAATGAGGTTGGACCCAGCCTAGCTGATAAAATTCTAAAGCAAGATGGGGCAGTGCTACCCAAGGTGGTCACAGAGAATGAAGGTTCTTATAATAGAATATATTCTAAGCCACTAGGCCGTGGTGGCTTCTTTGAAAGGTTGAAGTCTTGAAAGGTAAGAAGACCCCATCTAGCTGGGTTTCATGTGCTGCCCTCACCTTACCCCTACAAGTGGCACAGCAAGCTGCCTGCGATGTCTGGTGGTTGACTCTGCTGCCTGCATGGTTCAGGTGAGCAGAGCAGTTCATGTTGAAGCCCCTCCCACCGGTCAGGAGCCTGTAGGACTGTGTTGTTTTCCTTCCTGTGTCCTCAGTGACTGGGCTAGTGTCTTGCACAAGGCAGGTGCTTGGTCATTGTTTGTGGATTGAATGGCTTCTCAGCCTGAGCTTCAGGGGACCTTGGCCTGGGCCTTGGAGCATACTAGGAGTTGGATAAGCAGAGAGGAAGAAGGAGAGCACTCCAGGCTGCCAGTGATTTGAGCCCAGAAACATGGGGCAGAAATGGACACGTGGACATGTTTGGAGCAGAAGGTGTCCTGCCTGGAGAGAGGTAGGTGTGTGTGTGTGTGTGTGTGTGTGTGCGCGCGCGCGCGTGCGCGCACGTGCGTGTCTGTGTGCATGTGCAAGTCTGTGTATCTCTGTGTGGGCAGGTCTGGGGAGGGTGGTAGGGCCAGGGCTGGCTGAAGAGGGAAGGAAGAATTGGAAAGTGAGATTGGTTGGAACCAATTAAGGGAACCTGAGTCTGGTGTGATTGGCGGTTAAGGAGCCCAGAAGAATGACATGATGATACTGACATTCCAGGATGCTTAGTCTGTCACTTATGAGCAGAGAGGACTGGAGGTAGAAGAATAAAGGGGAGCTTGTCATACAATAATACTGTTTAACATTTATTTAGTGCCTCCTATGGGCTGGCACTGGATAAAGTGCTCTCTGTATAACCAGAGACCATTGCAGTAAACTAGGTATGAGGTGATAAAGTGGAGAAAAATTTCAAAGAAGATGACATTGTTTCTTCATATTTGGCTATATTTGGCTCTTATTTGGTTAAAGAAGAAATGGCTCCAAGGACGTCTTCCTCCTGGGTCCTGCTTCCGGCAGCGTGTCCTTGAGCATGGGGCTGTTAATCTGGCCTGGTTGGAGCTGCTGAGATTTTGCATGCTCCCTGCCAGGAACCAGTGTCCTTGGGTCTCAGCTGGGGTGTGTCCCCACCCCAGCCATCTGGAAGGTCAGAGGAATTAGCCACTAGAATGTGCCCATTAGTGGCTTTGAGGGGTTACAACCTGTCAGTGGAATCTGAAGCCCGGGAACTGCCTCTCTCCCAGGGCTTTTTGGAGTTGGAACAGCCTGACTGTTCTAGCACTGACTGCTCCCTTATTTGGACAGTAAATTTTCAGGGTGAGATTGGACTTCTCTTTTGTCTTGGGAGAGTTTTTTGTTTTTTTAAGTATTTGACATTCTTGTGAGTGATTTTCAAGGAGATAACACGACATCAGAGCTATACCTTTCTTCACCTGATTCTTTCCTTGGTCTCTAGTCCATCCACTTATAAGACCCAGATGGGGGCCAGGCACAGTGGCCCACGTCTGTAATCTCAGCCCTTTGGGAGGTCAAGGCGGGCGGGTCACTTGAGGTCAGGAGTTCGAGACCACCCTGGCCAACATGGTGAAACCCCGTCTCTATTGAAAATACAAAAATTAGCCAGGTGTGTTGGTGGGCCCCTGTAATCCCGGCTACTCAGGAGGCTGAGGTGGGAGAATCTCATGAACCTGGGAGGTGGAAGTTGCAGTGAGCCAAGATCACGCCATTGCACTGCAGCCTAGGCAACAGAGAGAGACTCTGTCTCAAAAAAAAGTGAAAATAATAATTAAAAAAAAAAAACGAAAAAAATAAGAAGACCTAGATAGGGTTCCTAGACTGCCCACTCATCTCAGTCTCCCCAGGGGAGAAGCAAGTAACATCATCCTATAGACAAGAGGCAAGGTGTCTGAGGCCCCGGGGTTGGGCTTCAGGGCCTGGGGGCAACTTCCTGCCCAGCCTTGAGACATATGTCTTGGTTTTGGGGAACTTGCTGTGCCCCTTGACTTGTGGATTTGTAGTTTATCAGCCCAGCTTCATGTGGGGCCAGGATGGGAGCAGGGCACAGCCAGGAGTTGGGGTGGTGGTGATGAGATGGTGGATGGTAGTGGTGCTACTGAAGGGGAAGAATCTTCTGTGGCGATTTTGAGAGCACACTTCCTCTCTGTCAGAAGCGCAACTCTGTCAGCTTCTGGCTTTCCTTCTGATGGATCCCTGTAACCCTTAGGAAAGTCATTCAGCTAATGGCAGTGACACTAGATTCTAATGGAGGAAGGGAAAGCAGGAAGGAGAACATGTTTCTGTCAACAAAGGTGTGCTTTCACTAGTCAGAACTTGCTATAAGGCAGCCTTCAGCCTTTCAGGTGATTACTGTGCTTTGGGATTAAAGTGTCCTGCCGTTTCTGGAAGAGACTGCTAGTCATAAAGACAGGTAGGGCTGAAGGGTGGAGGTAGGGTCTCCAGCTGCAGTTGTCAAGAACCCAACGTGAAGGCTGACTGAGCAGAGAAACTGCTGCTGCCCAGAAAGAAAGCACTTTTAGCAGTGGTAAGTCCTTTGCATGCACTATCTTACTCAATCTGTACAACAGCACTTCGTGGTTGGAACTGTTCTCTCCATTTTACAGATGAGAAAACTGAAGCTTACAGAGGGTAGGCAACACATCCAAAGCTTCATAGCTGGTAGAGGCAGAGTTTCATACCCAAAGATCACCCTTTTCCCATTGTTTCTTACAGAGGAAACTGTGATAAGCCATTATTTTTTATAAATGTTACATTTTAGAATAGTTTCAGATTTACAGAACAGTTGCAAAGATAGTACAGAGAGACAGAGAGTTCCCATAGACCCTGCAAGCCATTAATTTTTTTTTTCCTCCTTTTCTGGTCCATTTTATGAGAATTCATTGGGGGTGGGGAACAGATTTGGAATGAGGACATTTTTTCCAGAGATTCCAACTTGGTAATTTTTTTCAGTAGGATTTTTTGAGCGTCCATCAGACTACATTATTTCTTCCCCAGTTCTGCTCTGCCTCAGCTCTGCTGGACTGGGCTGGGCCTGGCTTTGACATCTAGTTTCAGAGTCAAATGCCCCACTTTCTGACTCTGTCTCAATAGGGTCAGATGGTAATTGGGTTTCCGAGAGTTAGGAAGGCAGGTAGGTGTGGGGAGGATCTTTAGCAGCTGGGCTTCTGGATACTCTTCTGTCTCTGATGGGGCTATGACAGGGGAGTGTTAATATTTTCAGCTCATGTTTGATGGCATGGAGCCAGAGCCCTCCCGAGGGTCAGAGGCAGCGTCTCTGGGGTGAGGCCTGTTTGCTTGGATGCCCTCGAGTCTGTCCTTGTATGGTGCCAGAGTGGCTCATGGTGGTCGCTGCTGTGGGCCCTGGCCGTGGTCTGCAGGCAGGCAGGCTGGCTGGCTGTAGGCAGGAGAATATCCCTAGGTAGCTGGTGTGCTTTGCTTTGGGTCCCAGGCACATTCTCCATTTAAGGGAAAGGGGTCTGCAGTCTTCTTGGCTCTGGGTGTGAATGGGCTGGCCTGAAGTCTGCTCATGGCCTTTGCTGGATGTGCTTTTTCAATGAGATCATTCCAGAATTACATTCCTATGAAATTATATTTCACTCAAGATGTAAAGCTGGATTTGTGTAAAAGCACTGGCACTAAAACTCAGGGCTCAGAGCGGGGCAGAAATGAGAAGAGGGATAAACAGCTCTTCTTTAGGAGGAGGGGAAGGAAAGACAGAAAGAGAGAGAAAACAGTTGTTAAAGGATTTTGCATTGAAAATTGGTGCGCTGTAAGCATACCCAAGGAGTTGGGATTGCCACTCACCCCTGGAAAGGCAGGCTTGATGTTTGTTGTCCCAGCTGCCTGCCACCCCCAGGCAGTTTGGAGGGAGATGCCCTTGAGGCTTCAGTGTGTAAGGTTGCTGGAACGCTGGAGCCGCCCAGGTGTCCCCTGGTCATGGCACTCTAGGCCTATCCCTGCCTTTCTAGCCTCATTTTGCACCATCCCATATCTAATTTCTTTCCCTGTCTCTGTTTCCTTCTCTCTCACACACACCCACACTCTCACACTCACTCTACTATTAGTATGATATATTGCTACTCACAACACTCCTGACACCAAATGTGTGGGGTTTTTTCTCTCACATTTGCCAATTTGCCAAACTTTCTGGACACCAACTGGGGTTTCTTACAATTTAATTCAATTTTGACACTACCTGGAGCTAGCATAATCTCCATAGATTAAGTGGGGACAAGACTGTCCCCACTTCAGATGCTAATCACAAGTCAGGGCCACCCATACTTTTGACCAACTCACTATAAAGTTGGAGGGATCGGTTCCCACAACCCCCTCCTCAGGTTTGGTAATTTGCTAGAATGGCTCACAGAACTCAGAAAAACAGTTGACTTACTATTAACCCTACTATTAGTATTATATTACTATTAGTTTATTAAGGATACAACTCAGGAACAGCCAAATGGAAGAGATGCATAGGGCAAAATTTTGGTGTGTGTGTGTGTGTGTGTGTGTGTGTGTGTAGAGCTTCCATTCCCTCTCAGGGTGCACCACCCTCCCGGCACCTTGATGTGTTCACCAACCCGGGAGCTCTCTGAACTCAGAAGTTTTGGGTTTTTATGGAAGTTTCACTATGTCGGCATGCCATATTTTGAATGTCCCCTCCAAGACTCATGTTGAAATCTGATTGTCATTGTGATGGTATTAAGAGGTAGGACCCTTCAGAGTGATTGGGCCATGAGGGCTCCACCCTCATGAATGGATTAATGCTGTCATTGCTAGAGTTTGTTTCTGATAAAAACAAGTCCGGCCCCCTCCTGCCCTCTCTCTCTTTTGTGTGTACTGTTGTGCCCTTCTGCCTTTCTGCTATGGGATGATGCAGGAAGAAGGCCCGCACCAGATTCAGCCATCAATCTTAAGACTTCCAAGCCTCTGGAACCGTAAGAAATAAATCCTCACTTCATTAGCATAAATTCAGGTATGGTAGAGGGACTTGTTATGAATCACAAAGTAGGCTCCTCTCACCCCCATCCCTCAGGAAATGCCAAGGGTTTTTGAAGCTGTGCCCAGAACTGGGAAGAAGGCTCTCTCTCTCTCTCTCTCTCTCTCTCTCTCTCTCTCTGTATATATATACACATATATATATTCCTTATTATATGTAGAGAGATATCTATATATATTCATTATTTTATATATGGAATACATAGATATATTTATCTCACAGTAACACACATGTGCACACACGCACACACACACACACTCACAGCCCCTGCATGCTGGTAGTGTGAGATTGTATACCCCATACTCTATATGATTCTGCTTTGTATTCCTTTGTATATACTGTTCCCCATAGCGTGGAATGTCCTTTTCTCCCCTTGTCTGCTGAGAGCACTCTAGTTGCTCTAAAACCCATTTTAGCTTTGCCTCCTCTGAAATCTTTTGTGCTGCCTGCTGACGGTTACTTTCTGGCGTCTTTGTGCTGCCACAGCTCCTTGTGCATCCCGCTGCTCTTGCACATTTCATTTGATATGTTTTCGAGGAAAAGCCTCTAGTATGGGGCTTAGTAAAGGGTAGGTGCTTGTGAAATGATTGTTGAAGAAAGAAACTAAATGAATGAAGAATTGGATCTAAGTGAAGGTCATGTACTGCAGGCAGGGCAAACCACAGAAAGGTGTCTAACATGGCATAAGTGCTATCAGAGAGGCTAGGAGATGAGTGTCAGACTGGCAGAAAAGGTGGGGTGTGCGTACTTCCCTGTGCACACAAGTATGGAGTCGTTCGTGGAGTGGCAAGATAGAGTCTGTGCAGTGGTGCACACCTATCATCCCAGCTACTTGGGAAGGCTGAGGCAGGAGGATCATTTTAGCCAGGAGTTCAGGGCTGCAGTAGCTATAATGATGCCCCTGCACTTCAGCCTGGGTGACAGAGCAAGACCCTGCTCATAAAAAGATTTTTTAAATAAATTAGAAAAAAGAAAAAAAGCCCAGTGAGTTCTGGGTTCCATAGACTGACTATAGGGATTAGGTCTGGACTCACTCAAGGTGAGATGAAACTATTTTCTGAGCAAAATGCAGCAGGATAGAAGGAAAAGAGCTGTAGCTTTGGAATTGAGGATTCTGGGTGGTGGTGATTATACTGTTAATAATGATAACATAGTCCTAACTATGAGCCAGACACTATTCCAGGCACTTTACATATGTTAATTCATTTATCCTTATAATGTCTCTATGAAGTAGTGACTACTAATTGTTGATTTATGAAGATTGCAGAGCAATTCTGGACTTGGTTCTACTCTTACTAATTGAGTGAACCGAGGGCAAGATGCTTAGCCTTCCTGAGCCCCAGCCTCCTCCTTTGTGAAATGGAGAAGATACCTTTTGCATTTAATCCTATTGGGCTTATTGGTAGACTCAAATGAGATAATACGTGAAAGTGTTTTTGAAAAGTATAAAGTACTCTAAAGTACTTTGCATTGGGGAAGAAGGGAAACTTGCAAAGTAATTGTAGTTTAGATACTGGGCTCATACTTAATGCAGATGCTGCTCTGAGCATGGGCCACAGTTGCCCTTCACAGCTACACAAGGTGGGCTACTGGCAGTCTCTTTGATTAAATGCCAGGATTTGAGCTGCTGTTAAAAAAATCAAGAAATCTTTTTTTGCCCCTTTCTTTCTTTTTTATGTTTTGTAGAGATGGAGCCTCACTATGTTACCCAGGCTGGTCTTGAACTCCTGGGTTCAGGTGATCTGCCTGCCTTGGCCTCCCACAGTGCTGAGACTACAGTCATGAGCCACCGCACTTGGCCCAAGAAATGAGTTTTATTGGGGCCAAATGTATATGTGAAATGTCATAAGGGACAGATTTTTTGTGCTAAACCAGTCCTTCTTTCCCAGCCAGGGGAACAGTGGTAAAGCTGGGTGGTAGGCATTTGCATGGGGGAGGATTAGGATCAGTGTGGCCACTGCAACAGGTGGCAAAAAGGCTGGCTCAGAGCGGAGGCACAGCAGCTGACTGCAGGGTCCCATGAGCAGCAGGTGTGTGACCCCTTTTTTCTAAGACGAGACGCTTATGGGAGTTTTTAGAAGTTGCTTTATGACCAGGCGCAGTGGTTCACACCTGTAATCCCAGCACTTTGGGAGGCCGAGGCGGGTGGATCAGTTGAGGTCAGGAGTTCGATACCAGCCTGGCCAACATAGTGAAACTCCGTCTCTACTAAAAATACAAAAATTGTCTGGGAGTGGTGGTATGCCTCCCATACCTGAGGCATGGGAGCCTGTCATCCCAGCTACTCAGGAGGCTGAGGCACGAGAATCACTTGAACCTGGGAAGCAGAGGTTGCGGGGAGCTGAGATCGCACCACTGCACTCCAGCCTAGGTGACAAAGTGAGACTCTTGTCTCAAAAAAAAAAAAAAAGAAGTTGCTTTACGTTGCTGTTACCTTGGCAGTGGAGACTGTGTCCCTCAAAGTGGTTCTCTGCTGGCACTAGATACACAAATGTGTCAGCACTTGGGCTTGGCAGGCATTGCTGAGTCAGGCAGTGAGTGATAAGGGAGATGAAGGGGACATAGGGGGAGTGCCTCCAAGAGCAGCAAGGAGGGGCAGTGTGGCCCTTCTAAGCCACATTACTACAGTATTCTCTGGAGCTTCTTAGAGCCAAGTGGCTTCTTCCATGAGGTTCCTGCAGGCCTGAGAGTTGCCTGGATTGACCATGATGCCTGAGTGTATAATTATAGGTCACTGAACAGAACCCCTAGTCAGCTACATCCCTCAAAAATGCCTAATTGTAGGCTACAAATATGAAAATATACAAGAGCTTAGAAACATGTCATACCTCATTACAAAGAGCAATGGCATGAGTCAGCTGTGACTTGGGTGGCTTTAGTGTGCTTGGTGAGCATGCTGACTAGTCCAGAAGAGGGCAGGAGGCACATTCCCCAAGCTTCCTACAGGGAGATTGAGGACTTTGGGAAAAGGGAGAAAGTATAAGCTGTGACCATAGCCTGCTAGTCACATCTACTAAAGGGGTCTGCTCACCTGATGGTAGATTTGATTCCTCTTTGGGAATTGTTTCCTGACCAGTTTACAAACCACATTAGAAAATAGCACATTTGGCCAGGCACGGTTGCTCATACCTGTAATGCCAGTGTTTTGGGAGGCAGGAGGATCACTTAAGGCCAGGAGTTTGAGACCAGCCTGGGCAAAATAGCAAAACCCGTATCTCTACAAAAAATTTAAAAACTTAGCTGGCTATGGTTACATGCACCTGTAGTCCCAGCCACTCTGGAGGCTGAGGCAAGAGGATCACTTGAGCCCAAGTTTTAGGCTGCAGTGAGCTATTACTATATCACTGTACTCCAGCCTGGGAGACAGAGCAAGACCTAATCTCTAAATAATAAATAAATAAATAAATTAAAGATCCTTGAGGGAAGTGAGGTCATATGTAATACCTTATATTACCTAACTGGGCCATACAGATTTTATTGCTGGGTTGAGGGAGCCCACTCTGTCTCAGGGTGGGGAGGGGTACTTGGATAAGTGCCCAGCCTGGTTGCTCTCGTCCGGTCTGGCAGTGCTTTCTCACCGAGAGGCCTCTCCCAGCTCAGAAAGAAGGAACAGCTCGATCTAGATCTCTTTCTTTTGTCCCTCCCTGTTCTCCCAACTCCCCTTGGTATAGATGAGTCTATACACACCCTTGCTGCCAGTGGCTTGCCATTCCTTTTCTGAGTCACTGCCCTTCATTACCAGATCTCTAGTGGTGATAGTAGAAGGGAGGGTTAATCTGTGGCCCTTGGGGTACTCTTTCCTCTCAGTTTTAAACTTTTTAGTCAACTCTAAGAATCTAGGAATCTCAGTATTGAAAGCGACCTTAGGTGCCACCCATGCCCATCTCAAAGGCGAGGGGGTAGACTAATCTTATCTACCTTTACTGTGGTATTCCCAGCATGTAACTGAGTGGAGTGTGGTAGGAGGTGCAAAAAATACTTGCGGAATGAGTGAGTCCCTGTAAATAGCAGCAGCTTCACAAGACCACTGTCATTGCCTCATTTGTTCATTTTTTTGACGAATATTAGTAAGCTCCAATTATGTGCCAGTTCCTTTTAAGTTCTGGAATACTGTGATGAACAACACAGTCCTTGTCCTCTGGAACGTATTCTGTAATTGAGAAATAAGGAATTAAAAAGAATTGATAGTCTCCAAATGGAATTTAAGAATTAAAACTTCTTCTTCATTTTGGCCTCTCAGGGTCTCTCATTTTCTGAGGTCTCCTTGGGGGACCCTAGAAAACACATCTAATCCCTTTTTCACACGAGAGCCTTTCCGAATTCCCAAGCCAATGATCACCCTCCCCGCTCCACAGCCTTCTCTTCTCCAGGGTAAACATTCTCAGTTCCTTCCGTCATTTCTCCTGTGACATGCTTCTGAGTGCCCTCTCCATCCTGGTCACTGTCCTTAGGACTCAGTCCAAACTGATAGTCTGTCCCTCTGCCAGTTGGGAGTCCACAACAGAATACCACCTCCCACGCATTAATTTCCAGGGAGTGTTCCAGCCTGGAGCCTCTCCTTACTCTGGGCTCAGGCGATAGGTGAGGGAAAGAGAAGGTCCTGGACTTGGCCAGACTGAGATCATCTTCATATTTGGCCAATCCTGGAATTCGAAATTCTTTTCTTTTGTCTCCTCCCTGCCTCCCCACCATCCTTCCCTTGGTATAGACGAATCTACACACAGCCTTGCTGCCAGAGGCTTGCCTTTCCTTTTCTGAGTCACTGCCCTTCATTACCAGGGAAATTAGCATGAAAAAGCGAATTCCAGTTCTATAACTGTATTCTATTCTTGTCCTCTGTCACATTCTCCAACCCAGCACCCCCACCTAAAATGACAAAAGTTGAGTCCTGTGACATCACAACAGTTGACTATTGTATCAACAGCTGTGATGTCACCAACAGAGGATTATGACTTCAAGGAAGAATGGAGGTGGGGCGCATAGCTGGCAAGAAACCCCGTGGGAACAAAGAAGGTATTTTCGTGCAGATCTTCACCCAGAAAGCCTGAGTTGGCCTTTCAGTGGATGGTCTGTCAGTGGAAGCCCTCTCCTTGGTTCCCATTGCTCCCTGTCTCTTTGGATTAATGATTTGGCTTGTGGACATTGCCCAAGTCTGAGCGTGTGTGGAAGACCCCTGCTGGCCGGCAGGCTTCTGGGCTGTCTTTGGGTTTTATTCATGAGGTTGGAGCTGAATAGAGCTTTTCAGGGAGGGAGTTCAGAGGGGTGCCTGGGAGCCTAGGGTGAGGCTGATGTGGATGTGCAGGCGCCTGGGCTGAGGGATAACTGGTGTGCAGGCACTTCTGTTCAGGCAGAGGGGTTATTCTACCAGCCACTCTGGGAAGCCTGAGTGTGCTGCCACAGGCCTGAATGTTGACTCCTGCCCACTTCTGGGGCTGGGTTGGGCCTGCCCTGGGAACTCCTCTTGGCTCCATGAACAGAGACTTAAAAACACCTGCTGCAGAGACTCCCAAACTTTCTTAGTTCATGGGCCTTAGTGTTTCAGTAATTTTTTTTTTTACAGTGTCCATAGCCCAAAATAAATACCTAAGTTTTCTTTTATAAGTAGGTTTTTTGTTTGTTTTTATATGAAGTCTCACTCTGTCACCCAGGCTGGAGTGCAGTTGTGTCACTGTATCCTCCGCCTCCCAGGTTCAAGTGATCCTCCTGCCTCAGCCTCCCTAGTAGCTGGGACTACAGGCAGGCACCACCACTTCTGGCTAATTTTTTGTATTTTTAGTAAAATTAGGGTTTCACCATGTTGGCCAGGCTGGTCTCGAACTCCTGACCTCAGGTAATCTACCCGCCTTGGCCTCCCAAAGTACTAGGATTACAGGGGTGAGCCACTGTGCCTGGCCTTAAGTAGGTTTAAACAATTGAGTATTTATATCCTAACAACTGAGTAGCCATCTGAAAAAAAAATGATACAAGAAATTGAAAGGAAAAATATTTATATTCCATTCTTAACCACACTTACTAATGGGATGTACTAGGTACTGCATAGCATATCAGACCTTGGAACCAGATTGATTAGTGCCATGCTTATTTCCTGTTCCACATTGCTTTTCACATGGTATTTGCTTTTTATCACAGCAACTGCTGAAAACCCAGCCTCAGAAAGAAATGACATCATCGAAAAGAATGTAATGCAGTCTGTTGTTGAAGCTGTGAACTCATGGGGTGTTCAACAAATGTTGAGTGTTGCTCTGTTTCCCTCAAAGATTTAAAATATTTAGCAGTATCCCTGTGAGTTCATCATGGGGCTTTGGGGCACCTCAGCACACAGTCTGAGAAGCACAGACCTGAAACTGCCAAGTAGCACTTGCTCTGTTTAAAGGAGGAAGAAGAGGCAAGTTCGGTCATCATCATGGCCCTTAAAGGAGTTGGGCAGGTGGATGGACAGACTCTTTCTCTGCAGTCTCAGCTCCAGCAGACTGCATTGTTAGGGGGAAGGTCTTTGTTTGACCAGGGTCTGTGTGTGTGAGCCCCTTTCCCTAGATGGGGAAGAATGATGATAGGCATCTCTTACGCTTATTTGTTGTTGACTCAGAGCCTTCTGAACTAGATGGCTTAAAGAAAAATGGGATTTTGACAACCAGAATTTAGGGGCCAGGCGTTGGACCTTCTGCTAATATCCTTTTCTAATTCTTTTTTTTTTTTTTTTTTTTTTTGAGACAGTCTCACTCTGTCACCCAGGCTGGAGTGCAATGGCGCGATCTCAGCTCACTGCAACCTCTGCCTCCCGGGTTCAAGCGATTCTCCTGCCTCAGCCTCCAGAGTAGCTGGGATTACAGGCACCCACCACAACGCCCAGCTAATTTTTGTATTTTTAGTAGAGACAGGACTTCACCATGTTGGTCAGGCTGGTCTTGAACTCCTGACCTCCCAAAGTGCTGGAATTACAGGCGTGAGCCACCATGCCCAGCCCCTTTTCTAATTCTTTATCCAGATAGAGTGGGGCTGCAGGGGTGTACTTGGGATGGAGGGTGGCTTCCTGCCACAAGATATGACAGAGACCAAAGGACTAATGTGCTCTGGTATCACTTCTAGAGCCTCATGCCAACCTCTCCAGACTCTGGGGTCTGCTGCTTATGAAACGCTAGGCAAATTACTTAACCTTTCAGCCTCAGCTTCTTCATCCATAAAATGGAGATAATGGCATCTATTTCACATAGTTGTAACTAAGATTACACAAGCTAAATATAAATACATGCATAGAACCAGCAGAGCCTGGCTATATAGGTGTGCTTTCTTCTCCTACTTCCAAATTTGAGGAAAAAAGGGTTTTCCTCCAAAGGGAAATTGAGCCCTAATGATCTAAGATCTGTAGTTCCAGTGTTACCCTCTACCCTCTACTGCTTCTTTTTTCTTTTCTTTTCTTTTGTTTTTTTTTTGAGATTGATTCTCGCTCTATTGCCCAGGCTGGAGTGCAGTGGCGCGATCTTGGCTCACTGCAACCTCCGCCTCCCGGGTTCAAGTGATTCTCATGCCCCAGCCTCCTGAGTAGGATTACAGGCACCTGCCTTCATGCCTAGCTAATTTTTGTATTTTTAGTAGAGACGGGGTTTCACCATGTTGGCCAGGCTGGTCTCAAACTCCTGACCTCAAGTGATCCACCCACCTCGGCCTCCCAAAGTGCTGGGATTCCAGGCTTGAGCCACCACACCTGGCCTCTCTACTGCTTCTTAATAACTTTGCTCTGTGGATCCAGTGTTCCCAAATCTGCTGAGCTCTGTATCCTGCTTGCTATATTAAACTTTTTAATGAAGTATATCATACAACATGAATGTATATATGTATCCAAGTCAACAAATTTTTACAACTGAACCCATGTAACCAACACTCAGATCAAGAAACAGTCTATTATCAATATCCCAGAATCTCCCTCTAGTCTTCCTATGGGTAACCACTCTCCTGACTTCTAATAGCATTGATTTATTTTTGGGTTTTATTGTTTTCTATAAATAGGCTCATCTAGTATGTATTCTTGGTTTCTGGCTCTTTTATTCAGAATAATGGAGAGATTTATCCATGTTGTGTGTAGCTGCAGATGTTCATTCTCATTGCTGTATAGTAATCATTATGTAAAATACCAAAATTTGCCTTCTCTTCTTCTGATTATGAGCATTTGAATTTTTAGTTTATAGCCATTATGAATAGTGTTGTTATGCACATTCTCATACTTGTCTTTTAGTATGCATGTGTATGCATTTCTGATGGGTATAAAACTAAGAAAGGAATTGCTGGGTCATGGGTTATACCTATATTTAGCTTTAGTATATAATACCCAACGTTATTCCAAAGTGGTAGTATTGATTTACACTTCCTCTGTCAGTGTTTGAGAATTCCAGTTGCTTCACATCCTTGCCAACAGTAGGTATTTTCTTTTTCATTTTATCCATTCCAGTGGGTATGTTAATGGGTATCACATCTCAGTTATAATTTGCATTTTGTTGATGACTAATAAAGTTGGATACCTTTTCATATATCTCTTCACTGTTTGGGTATCCTCTCTGGTGAAGTATCTGTTCTACTTGTGCCATTCTTCTTTTGAGTTGTTTTTTATTTATTTGTAGAAGTTCCTCATATATTCTGGATATGAGTTCTTGGTTGGATGGTCTACTGAGTACATTGTCTTATACTCTGTTGGTTTGCTTTTCACTGTCTGTATGGCATTTGTTAAATGAACAAAGTTCTTATTTAATGTAGTCTAATTTGTCAGTGTTTTTCATTATGGTTATCACTTTTTGTTTGAGATGCAGTTTCGCTCTTGTTGCCCAGGCTGGAGTGTAATGGCGCGATCTTGGCTCACCGCAACCTCTGCCTCCCGGGTTCAAGCGATTCTCCTGCCTCAGCCTCCCGAGTAGTTAGGATTACAGGCATGCGCCACCACGCCTGGCTAATTTTGTATTTTTAGTAGAGATGAGATTTCTCCATGTTGGTCAGGCTGGTCTCAAACTCCCGACCTCAGGTGATCCACCTGCCTCGGCCTCCCAAAGTGCTGGGATTACAGGCATGAGCCACTGGGCCTGGTCTTATAAGCTTTTCAGAGAGCAATTTTAGTTGAGTTCTTGGGCTGAAGCTACTCCTGCCCAGAATCGTTTGGGTTTTCACAGGGGGAGGCCCCCTTTTGAATTTTCTGAGTGGTTGTGGTTGCTGTAAGTGGGTCAGACCCTTCACTGGGAAGGCCAGAGGTAACTAGAGATGGGCCTGGACTGTGGAGCCCAACTGCTGTTCACCCTATCTAGGGAGGGCAGTTCTACTTACAGGGTACAGCAGGTGTGAAGGCCCTGGGGTAGGAACACACCTGGTGTGTTTGAGCACATGGTATCGGACAGTGTGGCTGGAGTGGAGACAGTGAAGGAGAAAGAGTAGTTGAAATGGGGCCAGAGTTATAAAAGGGACCCAGACAATGGAGGGCCTTATAAGTCATTGTAAAGATTTTGGTTTTTACTTTGAGTAATGGGAGCTATGGTTTTGAGAGTTTTGAATAGATGGGGTGACAGGAGCCATGATGCTGGTGGGGAGTACATGTGATGAGTGTAGCTCATTGAGGATCTGTTCTTAGTGGAATCGGAAGCAGAGGCAGCTAAAAGAGTGAGGATGAGGGAGGAGGTGTTGAAGTTGAGAGCTGGAGGGAAAGCTAAACCCCAGCCCGGAGACTTCCAGTAGCACTGGGCTCTGAGTACCCACTGTTCTTTGTAGATGGCTTCTCATTGTTCTTTGTGTTCTCATTATAGAGGTGGAGTAGTCTCCGTAAGCTATCTGTGGTAAAACGGAGGTATTAGGATTTTGCCCAGTCCCTTTAGCCTTTATTATTTCCTAGTCTTACTCGGAGAAGGTGCAGCTTGTGGATGATAAGTTTCTTCTAGAGCAGAGGAGGCAGCTTGCCATCAGTCAGGTTGAGCTCAGCTAGACCAGAGAGCGTGGGAAGGGTGAGAAGGAGGTCAGGACTTAGAGTCAGGAAGAAGTTGACACTTGAACTGGATATTTAAGAAAGAATGGGGGGCAAGGGACACTGAAAATCAAAGGAATTGGTTGAACAAAAGCTTGGCGGCATGAACATTCCTGGCATGTGCAGGAAATGTCATCCAGTGAGATGTGGCTGGCCAGAGTGAAGGTGCTGCTCTAAGATAGGACTATGGCCTCTGGATCATCGAAATTGCAGGACCCACCATGTTCTCCTTGCCAGAGCGAAAGAGGGCAGTGGTTGGTCCCCAGGAGCAGGGTTTTTTATGGATCAGGCTTCCAATCTGCCTCCTTTTTCCAAGTGGTGACAAGATATTGGGCAGAGTAGGTGCCATAGTCTTGACAGAGCTAGGATAAGCCACTTGCTGAGAGGCTGAGTTTCCAGAATGGCAGAAACAGCCATGTCTAGGTTTTTAAAACTATGTGAGAAACAACTAGATTTCCTTTGGCCTGAAATTGCCTAACAAGACCTCACTCCAATTCAGGCTTTCAGGAAGTGTGTAAACCCAGCTTTAAACCTCTGCAGGATCTGCACTGAAGTGGAGAAGGACCATCTGGCAGGAAAAGGGATTGAAAAATGGTTGAGGTTGAAAAAGCAGACTTAAAGGGCTTTCTTTGAGGAGGAGGGTTGGGAAGGAGGATGTGGGAATGATAAGTGGACAGTGAAGAGATGGAAAAAGTTCTTACTTTTTTTTCTGATTATTATGCAACAACAAAAAAATTGTCTTTCCTGTGGCTGATTGAGGGAGATTTCAGCCTCACGGGGGCCTGTAAAAACACCCACCTATCCTCTGACCTCCCAGCAAAACAAATGTTGGTTCCTCTCCACTTGACCAGGCTCACTATCCCCATTACATTTTTCCTTGAAGGGCTTTCTGGACCTGGGGCTGGAATGGAGAAGATCTAAGATTTACAATGTGTATAGAAGTAGTGAAGGAGAAAAGGGTTTACTGTTTTGTAGGGAATGGGACAGTCTTGAGAAAATCCTTCCTGGTATTTCTTTTCTCTTCTCTTCTCTTTTTTTCTTCTCACAGGGTCTGACTCTGTCACCCAGGCTGGAGTGCAGTGTCATGATTATAGCTCACTGCAGCCTTGGACTTCTGGGCTCAAGTGATCCTCCCACCTCAGGCTCCCAAGTAGCTGGGGCTACAGGTGTGCATCACCAACCTCCTGCTAATTTTTTATTTTTAGTAAAGACAGGGTCTCGCTCTGTTGCCTAGGCTGGTCTCAAACTCCTGGGCTCAAACAATCCTCCTGCCTCTGCCTCCCAAAGTGCTGGGATTACAGGCGAAAGCTCACATTTTTGAGAATCTTGGTTTGGGTACTTACAAGGAACTTAATCTAAGGTTACTGAAGCTTGCAGCGGCTCTGGGTTGTGTGGGCAGGTCAGGGGAAGGGAGGTATGGCAGGGAGAGAATGGAGGCAGCACTGAGAAGATAGAAGGAAAGGGGCTCAGGTTCTTAGTATGTTTCTAGGAGCCCTTTTATCCCTTAGAGAACCAGGCAAGTCGTCGATCTGTCGGGAGGTTAGGCAGAGAGGGGCTGTGCCTTTTGCTTATAGCATTGGTGAGCTTAGCTCTTTCTAGGAAGCAGGGGAGCTTTTCCACAGGAATTTAGCAGGAGGCCTTGCTGCTTCAGGAAGAACAGGGGCTGATGGGAGGATCCAGAAGACACAAGTGCTGAGGGTGAGGTTGAAGTCCCATGCGGAGAAGGATCATCCTGATTTAGTTGCATTTGTTAAGCTCCTTAGAATCTGAGGGCCAGTATTGGTTGCTGAGACTCTTGGCAGCCCTCCTCTGGGGAGCTGCCAGTCTGTTCCTCATGTCCTTGGCCAGGGCCCATGGATGAGGAGAGGTGCAGGAAGGAGTTGGCAAGAAGGTAAAGAGGGTCTGAGGAGATGTTTGCTGGGCAGGATGAGTAGGCAGGTTGGTCCCAGGGCAATCAGGCCACAGCTGCACACTGTTGGGTCACTATACTGTCACTGTATTGCTGGCCCTTTCCTGGCTCTCACCATGTTCTCAGAACACACACAAGAGCTCTGTTCCCATTCCCACCTTCTCTGTCCCTTTAGGCTGCTGCCTAAACTTTGACTTCCACGTGAGCAGAATTGCTTAGGAGAGTAGTGGAACATAGATGTAGCAGAAATTCTCTCATGTGGTTGAGAGGTTTCCTATTTTCGGGCATCTTGACTTCTTACCTCGGCTATAAAGCAGAGTGCTGGGCAATGTTTACGTTTCCTCTCAGTGGTGACATTAACCTCAGCAGAATGGGAGGCTTTCCTCCAAATGCTTGCATTTCTTCCTCTTCACTCAGGGCTCAGCTGTCTCCTGCTTCAAGAGCAAGGCATACTGTCACATCCACATTTATGCCTGCAGAAAAGTATCAGACAGACATTTAGAAATGTCACCTAAACAAGGACAGACAGGTTTTTTGCTCTAGGATAGGAAGGTCCATTCTTAGAGGTGGGGCACCCCTCAGAAAGAGCTCCCTTCAGAGACTGACCTCTCATCGGTCCCTTCTTGGACCTTTGAGAGAGCCTCTGTGGATCAGGTGATGGGATCGGGTCAGAGGGAGAAAGGGCACTCAGGATGGTAGAGAGTTGTCTGGTGAAGGCTGGACTGAGCAAAAGCTGTCAGCCTTCCGGGAGGTCTGTCCTCCTGTGGCAGTGAGGGGAATTGATGGGGGTTTCAAGCAGCCAGGAGGCTGTGCCCTGCACTGCTCCTGCCCAGCCGTCCAGGAGGTTTTGTGTGGCTGTTGCCAATGCCGTGCCTCCTAACCCTTCCTGCTGGGATGCAGGCTAGAGAGCTGCGACACTTACCTGCTGGTTGGGAGGTCAGGTTAGAGCCGAGTGGACCAGGTGGAGGCCATGGATGAGGAGGCACAGCGCTGCGGTGGAGGGAGCCGCGGCATCTAACTGGGCCACTTGTGCTCAGCTCTGGCCCACTGTTGTCATATAGGAGTGCACACAGTGATGGTAAATTTTCTCATTTTTCAAAAGAAGCTAGAATCTGAATTTTTCTTTCTATTCACCTGCTTTCTTAAGCTTGACAACTAATTCAAATTATTTAAAAATAAAAGGAAGGCCAAGTGAGACATGTTTTTGCTTCTGCAGACCACCAGTGTATGACTGATATAAACTCTTTTTCCCAGGAGCTTAGAAATGAGGAGAAAGCAAGCAAAGGGATCAGGGTGGGTGGCAGGAAGAGTAATTTCAAAATACAGGAAGACGGAGCACACCTGGAGACTGACGAAATGGCTTAGATGAGCCATTGGTAATGCTTTCACTGGATCCCGTGGTGTGTGCGTTCCTTTGTGGTTGAGGGCCAGTGGTTCTCTGTGTGGTGGAAGAAGCTAATGGGATGGGGGTAGGAGGAAGAGGGGCTGAGTGCCATCTTTTAGTTGCACATAGCTAGGCAGATTCTTGGGAAGATGGTGAGTCGTGACTCCATTAAGTCCCTAGAGAACATGCTGTGGGACACAAGTTTTTGCACTTAAGGGCATATAAGCTTGATTTAAAGCGCTTACTAAAATGCAGATTCCTAGGCCCCATCCCCACAGATTCCCGTTCAGTAGGTGGGGCCTGGGACTCTGCATTTTAAAGCACCCCATCAATGTTAAAGAAAATAAGTGGACAATGGAGTGAGACAGAGCTGGGTCTACATTCCTGCTCTGTTCCTTCACTAGGTGAGTGATCTTGGTCCAGTCATTTAATTTCTCTGAATTTAAATTTCCTAATCAGAAAAAAGGAGACTGTATTATCACTACCTTGTAGAATGGTGAGAACTAAATTAGAAGACAGTTGGAGGCAGTACAGGGTCCTGGCCCAGAGCTGGTGCAGGCCACCTGGTCATAAATCCCTGCCCCTTTCTAGCCGTGTGACTTGGAGCAAGCTAATTAACTGCTCTCTATCTTGGTTTCCTTGGTAAAGTGTAACTAACCCTGTGAAATATTAATAGTACCCACCTCACAGGGTTGTTAAAGGGTTAAATGACTTAATACACATGAAGTGCTTGTAACTTTAGCTGTTATAATTACATGTTTAAAAGTCTAGCAGCGTGTCTCATAATAAATGCTCCTTTGCTTTTCCTTAGGTCCCCTTACTGTGGGTAACAGATTAAAGCTTAATCCAAATGTCACCTTCTGATGAGGCCTTCCTGGAGTCCACTTTTTACTTTCTTGTCTCCCTTCACAGTTAGCTTCTCCAGGGCAGGGACTGTGTCTTCCATGTTAATATCCTAGCACCTTGCACAGTGCCTCACATAGGGTCAGTGAATGGAATGATAGTACTAGGGAGTCTGAAAGATGACTCAGACTTGGGAATGGAGAGGTTGTCTTCCAAATACCTAGGGAAGTGTGATCTGGAAGAACAAACATTTTTTAAGCTTCTATTGCCAGACAGGGCAATCATGGGAGGTAGGTCATATTGCTATTATGGCTGTTATAGTGACAAAGTGAGTCTTTGACACTCACTGGAGCAAGGTCACATAACTAGCAGTTGTCAGAGGCAGGGCTGGACTCAAGGCAGGTGTTTTTCCACTGCCCCTCGGGGCCTGCGACTGTGCCTGTTTGTCTGGATGCAGTTTGTAGAAAAGTTCCAGAGGTACCTTATTCTATTCCTTTCTCTGGATTGTTACTCTTCAGATAGTTGTCTATAATTTGTCAGAGCTGTGTTTTTGAGGAACTTTGGATGGATGGTATATGCTAATTGAACAATTTCCTTTTCTAAACATGCAGTTTCTGCCTAGACTTTGCCATTGAGGGCCTGGGAACTAGCAAAGAAGCCTCTCATCATGCTTGAGTCTCTGCTCCATTCCCATGGGCATTTCCTCTGCTTTAGGAGTGTCTTCTCTCCCTGCAGTCTGACTAGCCAGGATATCAGGCTAAAAGCATAGATGAGGGCCTGGGGCTGCTTGTAGGAGGTGGGGAGAAATGGTGTAGCCCAGGAAGCCAGAATGCTGAGAGTCCTCAAGCCTGAGCTTCAGGTGTAAAGGGTTAACCTGGCCTTCAGCTCCTCAAGTCCCAAATTATTCTCTGATCCTGATAGACCTGGCCCAGAGAGAGCAGTTGGTGGGGAGGCTGGTGAGTAGGCATCTGTGTTTCTAACCTAGTGCGCCCCTGTGAGGTTCTCAGCAGTGCCAGCTCAAGATGCCTGAATTCCCAGGCCACTTCTGAGAATGGCAGCTGCACTCTTGGAGAAATGTGACTAAGGGTCCCTGTCATGGGCCTGGAAGCAATTTTGTTCTGCTTCTTTCTTGGTTACATCTTCACAGGATTTTTCTTCTTAGCCACCCAGATGTCAGAGTCAACTACATTTCTCTTTCTTAGTAAGTTGGCTCTGTGTTCTCATATACAACTGCATGATAGCATTTCAGAGCAGTGAGTCTACCCTCCTGAAAGCAGAAATTCAGGGAAAGAAAGAATATGTTTTTCATCATGTTTTTTTAACATGTTTCAGTTTCTGGTCATGCCACAAATCTTTTGCCTTTTCTCCAAGGGCCTGCCCTGGAACTGATAGAGCAGGTCAAATGTTGTTTTCATGGATGGTGATGGTTACTGTGATCATTGCTACAGTTGAAAACTGATGCTTAGCAAGTTGATTCCTATAGCACTGTGCTTCCTGAGGACCCTGAAAACTGGCCTGAGAAAATGTCCAGAGGTTGCCTTTTCTCTCCCTTCTCTGTTGTACATATAGCAATATGATATGCCAAGCACTTTACTTGGCACTGGGCTGATACAGGTAGAGAGTATCTCACTAGAGCCAGTGTGCGTAGATGCCCTGGGGGCAAGATTGACTTTATCATCATCATCATCATCACCATCACTAATGTTATGCTATTAATATAGACTTAAATTTATAGGGCCAAGCATGGTGGCTCATGCCTGTAATCCCAGCACTTTGGGAGGCTGAGGCGGGAGGATCACTTGAGACCAGCAGTTCGAGACCAGCCTGGGCAACATAAAGAAACCCCATCTCTACCAAAAAGAAAAAAGTTAGCTGGACCAACTCCATTTTATGAAGGGTAAAAGTGAGGCTTAGAGTTGGTTTCCTTTTTCCAGAAGCATCTGCCGTATTCACCTTGGAGGGATGTTTCATTGCTGTCACCATCAGCTAATCATCCCCTGCCTACTGGCTGCTTCCTCTCTTTCCAGTTAACATACCACTCCCTATCACCATCACTAAAACCACAACCCTGAGAGCTTATGCGAAGTTAAAATTAGAGCTAGTACATTTCATCTTGAGATTAGGAAGGAAGTATAAATGCTATCAAGAATTAGGACTTGACTTATTTTTATCATCAAAACCAATCACTTATTTGCACCAAAGTAATAAGTAAGATGGTCTCCAGGATTAAGGTCATCAGTGGCCATAAATAAATATGTTTAACTTTCACATCCAGATATACTTCATTTTGGCCAATGTGATGGAGGATACCAATCAGAGGGAGAGAACTACTGTTTGTAAACTGTTCAGCTTCCGTGATGGTGGTGTTCGCCTAGGCTGTGGTGCACCTTGACATTGGAAATATGCTTGATGTGTCGTTTGTGTTGTCACTCACACCCACTCTCCAAGGCACTTAAAAAGATTTATTTAGCTCTTAAGTTTTAACGTCTATATTGAGATGTAATTAACATGCTGTAAAATTCATTGATATAATGTAATGATTTCTAATATATTCACAAGAGTTGTACAACCATTACCACTATCTAATTCTAGAACATTTTTGTCACCCCAAAAAGAAACCCCGTACTCCTATCAGCCATGTCCCATTCTGCCACCCTCAACCAGTGCTAGGCAGCTCCTAGTTTACTTTCTGTCTCTGTAGGTTTGCCTGTTCTGGACATTTCACAAAAGTGGAATCAAGGTTTATTCATGTTGTAGAATGTATCAGTACTTTACTCCTTTTTATGTCTGAATAATATTCCATTGTGTTGATATATACCACATTTTGTTTATCATCAGTTGATGGACATTTGGGTTAGTTCCACTTTTTGGCTACTATGAGTAATTCTGTTATGAACATTTATGTACAAGTGATTGTGTGGACATATATTTTCATTTCTTCTGAACAGATACCTAGGAGTGGGTCATCCTGGTTTATATGGTAACTCTGAGTATAACTTTTTGAGGAACTACCAAATTGTTTTCCAGAGTGGCTGTGCCATTTTACATTTCTACCAGCAGGGAATGAAAGTTCCAATTTCTCTACAGTCTCACTAGCATTTGTTTTTATCTGTCTTTTTTTGTTATAGAAATCCTAGTGGATGTGAAGTAATATCTCATGTGGTTTTGATTTGTATTTCCCTAATGACTAATGATATTGAGCATTGTTTCGTATGCTTATTGGCCAAGTTTATACCTTTGGAGAATTTCTGTTCCAAATCCTTTGTCTAATTTTTAATTGGGTTACTTTTTTATTATTGAGTTGAAAGAATTCTTTATATATTCTGGATACAATTTTCTTAGGAGATACATGATTTGCAAAAAATTTCTCCCATTATTTAGGCTGTCTTTTCACTTTCTTGATGGTATTGCTTACAGCACAAAAGTTCTTTTCTTTGACATAGTACAATTCATGTCCTTTGTGTGTGTGTGTGTGTGTGTGTGTGTGTGTGTGCGCGCTTTTGGTGTTATATCTAAGAAACCATTGCCTAATCCAATGTCATAAAGATTTACTTCTGTTTTCTTCCAGCGTTGCTTTTGTAATTGTAGCTCTTACATTTAGGGCTATACTACATTTTTTACTTTATTTTTAAATATGGTATGAGGTGGGGCCCTACTTTATTCTTTTGTATATGGATATCCAGTTTTCTCAGCACAGTTTGTTGAAAAGACTCTTCTTTCCCCATGAATTGTCTTGGCATCCTTATTGAAAATCTGTTGACCATAAATGTAAGGGATTATTTCTGGACTCTGGATTCTGTTGTGTTGATCTCTGTTTCTGTTCTTATGTCAGTACTGCACTGTCTTGGTTACTTTTTAGTATTTTTTTTTAATTGGCAACTCAGAGTCTTCTAACTTTGTTCATCTTTTTCAAGATTGTTTTGGCTGTCCTGTATCCCTTGCATTTCCATAAAATTTTAGGATCAGCTTGTCAATTTCTGAAAAGAAGCTAGCTGGCATTTTGATGGGTATTCTGTTGAGTCTGTAAATCAATTTAGGGAGAATTGCCATCTTAACAATATTAAATTTTCTGATCCATGAATATGGTATGTCTTTTCATTTTTTATGTCTAATTTCTTTCAATGATGTTTTATAATTTACAGTATACATGTCTTGCATTCCTTTTATTTATTTCTAAGTGATTTATTATTTTTGCTGCTATTGTTAATAGAATTATTTTCTTAATTTCATTTTCAGATTGTTCGTTGTTAGTATATAGAAATAAAATTGATTTTTTTTTCTTTTTGGAGGCAGAGTCTTGCTCTGTTACCCAGGCTGGAGTGCAGTGGTGCAATCTTGGCTTGCTGCAACCTCTGCCTCCCAGGTTCAAGTTACTTTCATGCCTCAGCCTCCTGAGTAACTGGGATTACAGGCATGCACCACCACACTTGGCTAATTTTTGTATCTTTAGTAGAGATGGGGTTTTGCCATGTTGGCCAGGCTGGTCTTGAACTCCTGGGCTCAAGGGATCTGCCTGCCTTGGCTTCCCAAAGTGCTGGAATTACAAGTGTGAGCCACCACACCTGGCCCAAAATTGATCTTTAATATTGATTTTGTATCCTGCACATTTACTTGAAGTCACTCAGCAGTTTAATAGGTTTTTTAGTGGAATCCTTAGGATTTTCTACATACAAAATCATGCCATTTGCAAATGGAAATAATTTTACTTCCTTCTTTCCAACCCAAATGTACCCTTAAATTTTAATCTTCATATTCCTTTTATTACTTGGCATAAAATAGTGTTCCTGAAAGGGTAGTGCATTTACCATGGTGATATATTAGCTAAGAATATATGGTACATGAACAGACATTTTTTACTTTTAAATATTTAAATACCTTAATGTATATTACTTTTATTTTAATGGGTATTAGAAAAAATGATGAGCACTTCTAGCTCTCAATTTCATGATGTGTACTCAAATGTTACTTTATCGTAATGGTTTTCCCTGAACATCTTATTTAAAATAAGATACCCTCTTCACCACTCTCTTTCCCTCTACCTTGCTTAAGTTTTTTTCTCTCTTTTTTTTTTGAGACAGAATCTTGCCCTGTCACCCAGGCTGGAGTGCAGTGGTGCAATCTTGGCTCACTGCAACCTCCTCCTCCCAGGTTCAAGCAATTCTCCTGCCTCAGCCTCCCAAGTAGCTGAGATTACAGCTGCCTGCCACCACACCTGGCTGATTTTTGTATTTTTAGTAGAGAAGGGGTTTCACCATGTTGCCCAGGCTGGTCTGAACTCCTGACCTCAAGTGAACTGCCTGCCTTGGCCTCCCAAAGTGCTGGGATTACAGGCGTGAGCCACCACGCCCGGCTCAACCTTGCTTAATTTTTTTTTATTCCACTTACCATCACCTTACATATTATACACGAAGGTACACTTATTATCACACACGTGATAATTCATGTGTGCTCATTGTCTGTTTTTCCCCACTGGGATGTAAGCTGCATGAGGTCAGAGACTTTGTATTACTCTTCACTGGATCACATTTGCCGTGGACATGGGTGCTCAGTAAATATTTGTTGAATGAATAGTTTATTGTTTAGAATGAGGTGACTTTTTTCTTTTTAAGAAAAGGAAGTCAGTTTCAAGTATATTCAAGAAAAATATTGAATAAATAGTATGTCAGGAGATATGCAAATATGGCAAAAACCATGGACTGTATAGAATGATAGAAGTTTAAGGAAACTCTAACTTAAGGAATGAGGAGAGATGGATGGAGATGGAGTTTCTTGGGCTTCTTTGTTTATTTTGTTTTCTGTGAAATTGTGTCCGGAATTGGTGGGTTCTTGGTCTCACTGACTTCAAGAATGAAGCCGTGGACCCTCGCAGTGAGTGTTACAGTTCTTAAAGGCCGCATGTCTGTAGTTTGTTCCTTCTGATGTTCGGATGTGTTCGGAGTTTTTTCCTTCTGGTAGGTTCGTGGTCTCGCTGGCTCAGGAGTGAAGCTGCAGACCTTCGCAGTGAGTGTTACAGCTCATAAAGGCAGTGTGGACCCAAAGAGTGAGCAGTAGCAAGATTTATTGCAGGGCGAAAGGACAAAGCTTCCACAGTGTGGAAGGGGACCCGAGTGGGTTGCCACTGCTGGCTTGGGCAGCCTGCTTTTATTCCCTTATCTGGCCCCACCCACATCATGCTGATTGGTCCATTTTACGGAGAGTCGATTGGTCTGTTTTACAGAGAGCTGATTGGTCCTTTTTGACAGGGTGCTGATTGGTGCATTTACAAACCCTGAGCTAGACAGAAAAGTTCTCCACCTCCCCACTAGATTAGCTAGATACAGCCTGTGGACTGATGTATTTACAAACCCTGAGCTAGACACAGAGTGCTGATTGGTGCGTTTACAAACCTTGAGCTAGATGCAGAGTGCTGATTGGTGTATTTACAATCCCTTAGCTAGACATAAAGATTCTCCAAGTCCCCAGCAGATTAGCTAGATACAGAGTGCCGATTGGTGCATCCACAAACCCTGAGCTAGACATAGGGTGCTGATTGGTGTGTTCACAAACCTTGAGCTAGACACAGAGTGCTGATTGGTGCACTCACAATCAAATTAGCTCACACTCCTCCGTATTCCAGGCCAGGGGTTTCTTGGGGTCTCTTAAGCTGTAACACATGGAGTTAAACATTAAGTGGGAAAGCAGTTTCTACTACCTGCCACAGACACCCTCTTGGCACTTTTGGAGGTCATCTGGAAGATGTTCAAGGTGCTTTTGGCTGCCTATAGAAACTTGGCTTACCGGCATTGTCGTCTTTGCAGGGCTCTGGGTTTGCAGAGAGCCGAAATGACCATGACTGCCAACAAGAATTCCAGCATCACCCACGGAGCTGGTGGCACTAAAGCCCCTCGGGGGACTCTGAGCAGGTGGGTAAGGGAGCACTTGTGGGAGGTGGCATCAAGGGACCTAGGTCCTGGGTGGGATCCCTCCAAAATGTAAATAGTCATCATCTTGACTGACAGTCATCCAGGTGACTGGTCTAGGCCAGCTCATGCTGACCATTAGGCAGAAGATATTTTCTAGTTCTGTAAGTTTCTATGTGATATAGCAAACAGTAACCCTAAAACAAGCCTTGCTTTGTGTCTAGCATTCTAAGGATGGGGCCAGCAAGAAGCAGCTGATGTTCTTCTGGCTTGTAACCTTTTCCCATGGTGGGGAGAGCTTGGGGCCTGTGCCTGAGCTAAGCTGCACTGTAGTGAGGGAGGCTGACCACATTGGGCTAAGGGTAGAGAGGCAGTTACGCATATTAGCACAAACTCCAAGCAGCAGCCTAGGCTTTATAGGAGTTTAGAGAAACCGTGGATTTTGGAATCATGGATTTGGTTCAAATCCAGGTTCTAACCACTTACCAAATAGCGAGCTCTCAGAACGTTTCCCTGTGCCCTATAAAATCTTCATTATTTCATCTATAAAATAATAATAGTAGTTATCTTACAGAGTTTCTCTGAGGACTAAATGAGATAATATATGTCAGTGCTTAGCATTATGGCTGACATAAAGCTACTCAATAAATTTTAACCCCCTTTTGAGGATGAGATCAAAGCTTCCAGAACTCACAGATGCACAGATAGATGCACAGTACTCTCACCAGGGCTTCTCTGGTCTTGGCCAAGGCTGGACACTGATATCTTAAAAGAACCTTTAGTCTTTTTTATTAAAGCTGTGTACCTCTCATAGCCCTTTCTGCTGAATGTCAGGTGGACAAATTTGGCTTTTGGGGCCTCTGCCTCTAAGATGGATAGCTATGAGAAGGATGCTTAGCTTTGGTTTGGATAGGGCTAGTTCATTCCTGGATATCTGGCTGTGCAGTGCTAGGCTGAGTCCAATAGGGTCTGGTCAGAGTTGGTGGTAAACATTTGGTTCATTCAGAACTGGAGTCCAGATATAGTTGGTAGAATAGTGCACGGGATGTAGCCCCTGGGGAGTGACTGTCATGAAGGAGGCAGGGGTTCCCCACACCATACATACAGGACTTTGTCCCAATAGAAACAGTCTGGATGGACTATGCCAAACAGGGTTTGATGGACTCTGACTTGTTAAGTACGTAAGATCCTGGGACTTAGCCAAGCAAACTGACTATCCACTTGCAGCAGCAAGACTGATAGGAACACCCCTTGCCCAGGCAATCCCTCTCATTTAGACTGGGCTTGGTGGCATACCAGCTTCCCTGTACTGAGTGAGGCTGGGAGTGGCAAGGAACAGCTTCTTGGGCAAAGCAGGTGGAGAAACTGACCTCCTCCAGAACATGTTGGTGTCCAAGGTAGAAACAAGTCAAGGTCTCAGAGTCTTTATCTCCCATTGCCTGCTCCTGGGAACCATGTTGTTGGGCTCTTGTCAGCCTAGTGGCATTCTTACCATGATTGAGCTGGCAGATGGGGCTGAAAACTAAGGTTCCAGTTTTTTAGAATATCACACTACTGTAGGAGTGAAACAAATATATGTGATTGTGTCATTTTATTTGTAATTTTAAAGAAATTGTATATTTAGGACCTGAAATGGAGATTACCATTCCCAGCAACCCTCAACTCCTTTAAATATTCTTTTTTTTTCCTTCTAATTTCCACCATACAGGAATGGGGTAGAGGGGTGGGAGGGGCAGTATTTACATCAAGTTTCAAAGCAGACTCGAGACTGCTGACAGGTGCTGCAGTTTCTATTTGGAGTAAATGCCTACTTACTTCTAAGTGTTTTCAGAAATTGCTCTTCCTTTAGCTTCTCAGCATGCTTGCCATCATAACATGCTAGATGGTGTTTGTAAATATCTGAGCCTCAGATGTGCCTAAAAAAAGCACCTTTCCTGCCTCCCTTCTAAGTCTTCTCTTCCTTCCTACCACATTTCCGCTTCTCTCCTTCCTTCCCTCCCCCCTTTCTTTCCTGGGAGCCTGGCTTTTGGTGTGAAGTTGCAGGCCTCTGTGGCTAGTGACACCCTTCTCTCAGAGACTACCCCTGGGGTGTAGGTATTATTTAGACATTGTGATCTGGTGGTTTCTTTGGCTGCCTTCACCCCTGGCCACATCTGGGTGTGTTCTTTGGGCTAAGGCAGTAAATCACCAGTTCATTTAGGAAGGCATTGTCGGTGAACTCAGAGGGTTCTCCTGGGTGCCAGGCTCTGTGCTGGGCACTGGAGGGCAAAGAGGGATGATCCATTCTCTTTCTCCAAGGTATTTACAACTTGGATTGATGATCTTGGCACCTGAGTTTCTTAGTTTGACCTTTCAATAGGTGTTTGGTAGTGACCTGGGGCCCTTTTATCATTGCCAGCACATGAATCCAAGGAGGAGACTCCTCGGTGTGACCAGAGCTTTAGTTGGGGAGGGGAGGGTGTTGGGGCCTTGGAAAGCTGGGCCTTTGACACTTTGGCTACGTCGGGGACTTCCACATCATCCACATGAAGGCAGAGGAACCCAGTGGTTCTAAGACGCATTTGTATCCAGCTTTGGTGGAAGAGGGAGGTCTGGTCAAGGAAAACTGGCGGGGGTGGGCAGATGGGACCCTGTGTAACTGTCAAGGTGTGTATTTGAAGGACTGTACCCTTAATTTGTGTAAGACTTCACCTGGTGCTACCACCAAGCCTGTCTGGGTTAAAGACCCTGGATTCCAGTCCCTAGGTTTTCACAGGTGTGTTGCTAATTTATTCCCTTCCTTTTCCTTTGCAGCTTAGTCTTGATTTGGCAGGAATGTGTAGGAGGGGAAAATCTAAGCCTTTCATGTGACTGCCTCAGTTTTGTTCTTTGCTGTATCTTGGTCTCCTGGAGCAGGTTTCCTTGTCTTCGCTTTTGTTGATGAGGCCGAATGAGCATACTGTTCATCCTTACCTGCCAGATACACTCTCCCCACAGGCTGTTCCCATTTCAGCTCACAAGATATGGCTGCATCCCACTCTGGGGGTCTGGGGTGGGATTCTCAAACCTCTTCTGAATTCTAGAGGTCAGCCTTTACTGTGTTGGTGTTGATGACCTGGGGTGGGACTGGAAGCAGGTTGGTAACTTGCAAAAAAGGAAGTATTATGTTTAGAGCTAATTCAGCTGTGTAGATAGGGTGAACTTTGCCACTTACTGCTCTCAGGAGATTTCACTTTTGCAGTAAGACCTGGCAGGCAGCAGGGGCTCTTCTCTGAAGACCTGCTGATTTCCTCCACAGCTTCTTCACTATGAAACTCCAGCACCTGGGTCATTGCAACTTGGAAATAACAGACTGTATCAGCCTTGAGTTTGAGAACTTTTGCTTGTGGTGGGTGCTGAAAATCTGAGTGTGTGAGAATATATAATTCTTGAGGGCAAGGACTTTGATGTCTTTCTGTGTGCCTAGAGCCTGGAACAATGCCTGGCACGTAGAAGCCATTAGCTATTTGTTGATTAGTCAACTAGATAGATGGGAGAGCAGCCTCTTAGAGCATAGGCTGTTGTACTACTTGAGTCCTTATAGTACCTTCCTAATGGGTCATCTTAGCTTTGGACTCTGTTTTCATCTAGTCTGTAGTTTCTTAGAAAGGTAGAGCTGAAAGGGGGCTTTGTAGCTCATTCAGTCCAACCCATTTGATTTACAGATTGGGAAACTGAGGCACAGAAAAGAGGAGGTACTCCTTAAGGATACAAAACTAGTAGGAAGAGGTACTCAAGCCTGCCTCTCTTCATCCTTCTGTTATTTTATTATCCCAACACATTCCCTTCCTATGAGCACTCCTGGGATCTTCCTGCCCCCAAAGTACTGCTATCCATGATAAAGTCAAACTTAGCCTGGTTTGCAGGGCTTTTCATGATCTGGCCCTGGTCTTTCTTTCTGCCCTAATAGTTCACTGTTCTCTAATGCAAACCTTACATTTCTGCCAATCTGGATACAATTATTCACTTCTCTCCCAGTGTTTTTCTTGACCACCCAACTAAGACAAATCCCTCCCTCCTCTGCATTCACTCAGAATCTTTGGTTCAAAACGGCCAAATGGCACTTATCATATAGTATCTCATAAAGTGGATATTTGTGTGGGTCTTATTTCCCCTACTCAGCTGGAACTCTTTGGAGGCCCGATACATTCTCTGTTGGGATGTTAGAGTTGGAAGGGATCTTGAGATATATCTGGCTCAGTAACTTACATTACAAATGAGGAACCTGTAAGCCCACACAGCTAATTGGCAGTGGAGCCCTAATTTCAACTCATATTTGCAGGTTTTTATGCAGAGGGTGGCCTCAGTTTGTGATACAGTGAAATCCAGAGATGTCTTGAGGTTCCATGGCCAATGTAGGCACAGATTTGGACCCTGTGCCTTAGATCGGGGGAAGCTAAGAGCCTAAAGAGAAGAAAAATCTCCTGAGTAGCTGTGGGTAAAAGATAGTGCTGCAGGGCCTGTCCTGGCCGTGGCAGGCCCCCCTTAGGAGGCCCTGTGGCCTCAGCCCCTGTTACTCGAGATGCTTCCTAGAATCCAACCATGATGCTGTCAGTACTGGTCTGGTTATTTATTGCTACATAACAAATGACCCCAAACTTAGTGGCTTAGAATAATATTTATTTTGCCCACCAATTGCAATTTGGGTAGGGCTCAGCAAGGAAAGCTTGTGTCTGTTCCTTGCAGCATCAGCTGGGGGTAGCTTGAAAGTTATGGGTGACTCAATGGCTAGGGGCTGAAATCATCTGAAGGCTTACATGTATGACAGTTGATGCTGGCGGTCAGTTGGGACTAAAGCTAGGGAACACCTGCACGTCACCTCCACACTTGGCAGCATGCCTTCATAGCATGATATCTGGGTTCCAAGAGTAAGAATCCCAAGAGAACAAGGCAAAAATGCGTGGCATTTTAATGAGCTAGCCTCAAAAGTCAGATAGTTTGTCTTCTATTGTGCTGTATTGATTAAGACAGTAACAAAGGGCTGCCCAAGTTCAAGAGAAAGGAAGATAATTTCCACCACCTGCTGAGAGGAATCTCAACATCTCTTTATAAGAAGGTATGTGGAATGGGATAGGTTGTGGTTCCTGTCTTTGGAAAATACAGTCTGCCCTCTGATTGCAACAATTCACATCTTTCCCAGATGCAAAATACACTCACTCTCTCCCCTAAAATCTCAGGTCTTCTCTTATTCATGGCATCAGCTTGAAGTCTATTACAATGGAATCTTGTCACCAAAATCAGGTACAGATAGGGCCGGGTGCGGTGGCTCATGCCTCTAATGCCAGCACTTGGGGAGGCTGAGGCAGGCAGATCGCTTGAGCCCAGGAGTTTGAGACCAGCCTGGGCAACATGGAAAAAACCCATCTCTACAAAAAGTACAAAAATTAGCTGGATGTGGTGGTGCACACCTGTAGTCCCAGCTACTCTGGAGATTGGGGTGGGAGGATCACTTGAGCCTGGGAATTCAAGACCAGCCTGGGCAACAACATAGTGAAACCCCCTCTCTACCAAAAATAAAAAAGTTGGCTGGGTGTGGTGGTGCATGCCTGTAGCCCCAGCTCCTCTAGAAGCTAAGGCAGGAGGATTCTTGAGCCTGGGAGATGGAGGTAGCAGTGAGCCAAGATTGTACTGCACTTCAGCTTGGGCATAGACTGAAACCCTGTCTTAAAAAAAAAAAAAAATCAGGTCTGGATGTAGATGAGACTTTTGGGGCGCAGGTTCATTCCTTGTGTGCAGCTCCTTAAGTACTGTTTCTCTTGCTGTGAAGACCTGTAACTTAAAGAGAATGTATATCTGCTACCCAAAAGACACTGGTGGGACAGGCTTAGGGTAACCACTGAATAGGCTTCTTTTCAAAAAGGGGAAAATAAGAGGTACCCAGCAGTCACTGGTTTGATGTATTTCTTATATTCAGTGGGACAGCTGTTGCTAATTCTTTGACTAGGTGTTGACTCATTTACCTTGTCTCTAGCTGCACCCTCTGGGCTTTTGGTTCTGCTCTCTGACTCATCTTTTCTTTTCCATAGAAGTAGCTCATTATTGCAGGTGAGTAGTTTCTCCATCTGCTTCATGCCCATAATATGTTAAGGGCCCAAAGTCTTTTCTTCATTTTGTACTATCTCTGCTCTTTTTACTCCAAGCTGATACATTTCCTTTAAAAACTTCATGGGTTGGCTGGGTGCGGTGGCTGATGCCTGTAATCCCAGCACTTTGGGAGGCCGAGGCGGGTGGATCACCTGAGATCAGGAGTTCGAGACCAGCCTGACCAACATGGAGAAACCCCATCTCTACTAAAAATACAAAAATTAGCCGGGCATGGTGGTGCACACCTGTAATCCCAGCTACTTGGGAGCCTGAGGCAGGAGAATCCCTTGAACCCAGGAGGCGGAGGTTGTGGTGAGCCGAGATCACGCCATTGCACTCCAGCCTGGGCAACAAGAGCAAAACTCTGTCCCCCAAAAAAAAAAAAAAAACTTCATGGGTTTCTTATGAATCATTTTATAATCCATTATAATAGCAAAAGGCACACATACAAATCACTTCAAGATAAGCCCCTTGGCCAGGTGCAGTAGCTCATACCTGTAATGCAAGCACTTTGGGAGGCTGAGGTGGGAGGATTGCTTGCACTCAGGAGTTCGATACCAGCCTGGGCGACATAGTGAGACCCCGCCCCCATCTCTACAAAAAAAAAATTAATCAGGCATGGTAGTGCATACCTGTAGTCCCAGCTCCTCTGGAGGCTGAGGTGGGAGGATCGCTTGAGCCTGGGAGGTCAAGGCTGCAGTGAGCCATGATGGAGCCACTACACTCCAGCCTGGGGGCCAGACTTTGTTTCAAAGAAAAAAAAAAAAAGGAAGAGATAAGCCCCTCTCCACTTCGATTTGGATTTCTTGGGAGATTGCTATGGGACAAAGGTTTTTAAGATTCTTAGGAGCCTTACTGTCTTCAGAGAGGATTTACAGGACCCACTCATAAGATTCTTAGGAGGCCTTTTGTCTGTCTGTCTGTTCTATGAGGCAACACTTTAAGTAATTTAAAAAAAAAATTTTTTTTTTTGAGACAGGGTCTCACTCTGTCACCCAGGCTGGAGTGCAGTGGTGTGATCTCGGCTCACTGCAGCCTCTGCCAACCAGGTTCAAGTGATTCTCCTGCCTCAGCCTCCCAAGTAGCTGGGATTACAGGCATAAGCCACTACATCTGGCTAATTTTTGCATTTTTAGTAGAGACGGGGTTTTGCCATGTTGACCAGGCTGGTCTCAAACTCCTGACCTCAGGTGATCCACCCGCCTCAGCCTCCCAAAGTGCTGGAATTATAGGCATGAGCCACCGTACCTGGCCAGTTTTTGGGGGCTTAACAAAGGGTTTTTCAGTCTCACTTTAGATTTTTTTTAAACAGATTTATTGAGGGACAATTAAAGTACAATAAATTATATAATTTAAAGTATACAGTTTGAGTTTTCACACACACACTCACACACACACACATACTCAATAAAACCATCACCACAATCTGGAAGCCATTTCTCTTCTTTTCTTTTTCTGAGATGGAGTTTCGCTCTTGTTGCCCAGGCTGGAGCGCAATGGCGCGATCTCATCTCACTGCAACCTCCGCCTCCCGGGTTCAAGTGATTCTCCTGCCTCAGCCTCCCAAGTAGCTGGGATTACAGCCATGCACCACCATGCCTGGCTAATTTTGTATTTTTAGTAGAGACAGGGTTTCTCCATGTTGGTCAGGCTGGTCTCAAACTCCTGACCTCAGGTGATCCGCCCATCTCAGCCTCCCAAAGTGCTGGGATTACAGGCGTGAGCCACCGTGCCCAGCCACCACAATCTGGAAGCCATTTCTTAATTTGAGAATGTTTTCCTGCCTAGAGGTACTGGAAGTGAAAACCAGCAAGCCCTTTCTCATTTGTGATTCCTTTAAATTTTAACAACGAAACAGCTCCTTCTTAGTTTACCTCTTTTCTCTTTTTTACTGTAGGCAGCTAGAGCAAGTCAGATGGCACCTTCAGCACTTTGCCTGCAAATCTCCTTAGGTAGTTCATCAGATTTATTAGCTGTATTTCCTATTATCTATGTTACCACAGCTGACAAGCTTTTCAACACTATAAGGGTTCCTTCTTTTCTAGCTTCTAATAGCATTTCCTTACTCTCCTTTATGCCCCTACTGACAGCCCAAAAGTCACTGTTTTAAGATTTTGTTTCAGTAGCACCTCTCTTGCAGGCGCCAAAATATATTCCAGACATCTACTGCCAACCACCCACCTCAAAAAAAAAATTTAATGGCATAAAACAACATGTTCTTATGCTCCCAGACTCCATGGATTAGGAATTCAGACAGAGCACTGCAGGGATGGCTTGCCCCTGCTCCATGATGTCTGCCTTGGCTAAAAAGACTTCAAGGCTGGCTGGGCGCAGTGGCTCACGCTTGTAATCCCAGCACTTTGGGAGGCTGAGGCATAAGGATCACTTGAGCCCAGGAGTTCAAGACCAGGCTGGGCAACATAGCAAGACCCTGTCTCTACAAAAACTAGTAATAATAATAAAATTAGCCCAGTGTGCTGGAATGCACCTGTGCTCCCAGCTACTCACGAGGCTGAGGCGGGAGGCTCGCTTGAGCCCAAGAATTCCAGGCTTCAGTGAGCTGAGATCTTGCCACTGCACTGCAGCCTGGCAACAGAGTGAGACACTGTCTCTCAAAAAGAAAAAAGTAAAAGACTTCAAGGCTTGTGGTGGGGCTCAGTAGCTAGGGGCTGGTATCACCTGGAGATGTCTTAACCCCACGTCTGGGGGATTCTAGCTGTTGCTGGGGCTTTACCTGGGACTGGCAGCCAGAACACCTACATGTACCCTTTCCACGTGGCCTGGGCTTGCTCCTAGCATGGTAGACAGGAATTAGGAGCTGCTGATTTTTTTAGGCCTGGGCCTGAAAAGTAGCACCACATCACTTGTATTGTATGCTATCAATCAAGCAGTAACAGAGCCCAGATTTAAGAGGAGGGGTTATTTTGACTGGAGGCATGTCAAAGAATTTGGGGACCACGTTTTAAAACTACCACAAGTGCCATTGGCATGGTTTCCTGGAATCGGATTTGCCTCCCTCTTGGCTTTGTCTAATGCCTGGCTCTGCTTTATACAGCAGCCCAGTCTTTACTGGACTAGGGCACTGGGGATGTTCCTGTCAGGGATCAGTAACCTCAGAGGGGGCTTCTGCAGTGTCAGTATTCTCTCTGTGTTCACTTGCCACTGCTCCTTAGAGAGTTCATCATTCCCTCCCGGAGAAGAGCTCAGCGGTCCACTTGGTGCTTCCTTAGAAATCAGCTTGGGGGCAGACAGGTGTGGCTTCCATAGATTCTTAGATGTGCTTTCTGGAATTGAAAAGGCAACTCAATTTATGCTGTGACTCTCACTACCTTTCACGTAACTCTGACAAGCTGTAGGGACCTGGAAAATCTCTATAGATGGTGGCCTAGATATAGCCCCAGTTGGGGGCTGAGGCTGCCCTGGACCCTGTTGAGGGCTCACAACTGTTTGAGATGCTTGCTTTGGGAGCAAGAAAGCCAAGTTGTGAGTATCACCCTGTCCTTTGGCTTTTTCTCAGGACTTTTCTGGAATGGGATGTCTATGTCTTGTTACTGGGCAAGTTTCTGCTCTAGGCTGGGGAACAAACTCTTGGACTTGCTGACTGAGGCACTCTTCCTCCTTTTTCTCCTCCACGCTCAAGAGTATGGCTTTAGGGTAGCGCAGTGAGAATGCCATCCCCAGAATTGGGGCAGTCACTGAGTGGCAGGAGGATGGTGATGCCACCAAGCCAACAGGGCCCTTAGTAGAGAAGCCCGAGAATGCTGAATGGCCGGCCACCTTCCAGGCAGTTTCATTTGAAGCAGGCTAGACATTGCTTAGTAGGGATGGAAGCATTTTGGACACTGAGCCCTGTATAACCTTCACCTGCAGACAGGCTCACTTCATGGCACTCATAACACTCATGGCACTCATGGTACCTCTCAGGCTGTTTCCAGGACTACTAGGACTTTTTCCCAACTAGCTCCAGCTTAGTCCCTTCTTGTTACTAACACTTGTAGTAGCCCTATAACCAGAAAAAGCAGAGCAACTTGGAGCATGCCAAGTTCATCAAGGACTAAAGACAGCCTTCCCTCCAGAAAAGTTCCTCGGGGCACCTGACAATATATGAGGCATTCCTTAGCACAAATGCTTCTTGTGTTACTGAAGAGGGGCCTGTGTTACTGAAGAGGGGCCTGTGTCACTAGCCCAGGGATTGGGGCGTGTTCCTGTGAGACAGTGCCAGAGGGAATATTTATTATGCACTTTAACTCTCACTTTCTGTCTATGTGCATGCGCACACATACACATGATGCTTTTTCTTTTCTTGTTTCTTTTTTTTTTTTTTTTAATTTTTGAGACAGGATCTCACTTTGTTGCCCAGGCTAGAGTGCCATGGTGTAACCATGGCTCACTGTAGCCTTGACCTCCTGGGCTCAAGGATCCTCCTGCCTCAGCCTCTTGAGTAGCTGGGACCACGGGGGCATGCCATCACACCCAGCTAATTTTTAAATTTTTTTTTTGTAGAGATAGAGTTTTACCATGTTGCCTAGGCTGGTCTCCAACTCCTGGGCTCAAGTGATCTTCCCACCTTGGCCTCTCAAATTGTTGGAATTAGAGGCATGAGCCACCATGTCTGGCCCACAATACTTTTTCTTTAAATTTATTTCTCTTTCCATACCTTAGCTCATATTCTTTCCATCCTAATTATGTGTCTTACATATTTGTGTGTGTGTGTGCATTTATGGTGCTCTGTTTCTTTTAAATGTCCTTTGCATTCTCCCCTGCTTTCTTTTATCTGTTCATCTTACTTCATCTCTCCTTAAAATGTTGGTTTTGGCCAGTTGCATGCTGCAGTGTTGGCATCCATGCCTGTGTTGAGCAGCAGAACTGGCTGCCTGCTGACAAGGCCACGGCACAAGTGCCCAGTTCTACAGTGTCTGCCTCCCAGGGGCATACTCTGGGATTGTAGAATAACAGAGAGATGATAAGAGCAGTCTTGGGTGTCTGATGGCTGCTTTGTATTTACTTTTAAAAATTATTTATTTTACCTTTATGGAATGATTTATAGTGTTCAAACACTGTTAGAGATTTGCGTCATCTTAGCCACACAGCTGGTGTGTGAGGACACTCAGAGTAAGTGTTGTCTGTGTTTAAAGAACCTGAGGCACAGAGAACTTAGAGGGCTTGCCCATGAGCACACCCAGAAAGTGATGGGACCAGGACCCAGCCAGTGTGTAGCTTTCGTGCCTAGTGGGAGAGGGCTTCGGGGGCTGACGGCGATACTGGGCTGCACCGAGTGCTTCGTGTACCTTTCTCTGTTGTTCTTCAGCTCATACACCACAAAGAGAAAGGCGAGGAAGTCTGCAGACAATGTTGTGAGCAGGCATACAAGAGGCCTAGGTTTTTAACTATTTACATTTTCATTCATTTAGTCATTCAACACAAATAATAATTCCTTTTAAGTTCTAGGCACTTTGCAGGGGGCTATCAAGATTAACAAGATACTGTTACCACCTTCAGGTGGGCTCACTCATAGTCTAGTAAGGGAGAGGAAACAGTCTGGTGCAATGCAGTGTTATACATGCCATCACAGATGTCTCCCCAGTGGAGGCCTCTGCATAGGCCATCTCTACCTGAAAGGGGGTAGGGTGTGAAAGAGCTAAGAGTTGGATGTGCCTAAGGGTGGGATACAGGATTGATAAGGAGGGAAAACAATGTGGGATAATGAAGGGGAAAGTAGGCAGGGACCAGCTCATGGGGTCCTCATCAACAATGCCAGTGAATTTGCATTTTATTCTGTAGATATGAGGAGTTTCAAGCATGATCAGTTTTTCATTTTGGGAAAATGTCAGAAGATGAGAGGATGGATCAAAACTGCTTTAACACTGAAGGCAGAAAGAGGAGTTAAGAGACCAAAGAAGTAGCAGTAGCAGCAGGGATGGGGAGGAGGGGGACACATCTGAGAGATGTTAGGAAGTAGAATTGATAGGACATAGTCATCAAGTAGATCAATGTGTTTGGGGAGAGGGCTGGATCCAGATGCTTGAAGCAGGAGGGGAACAAACTCTGACCTTTTCTCCCCCCTCTGGAATGAGTTTCTCTAGAGCGTTAAGTGTAGCTAGAGAAGTCCAAGCGCTGGGACGTTCCAGTGTTTTGAGGTCTGGACGAGGAAGAAGAACTAGCCAAGGAAACCGACTGAGAAGAGCATTTAGTGAGAAAAGAAGAAAACCATGAAGAGTGATGTCCTGAGACGCTCAAGAAACAGGGAGTGATCAACTGAAGCGTAAAGCAGCATAGGGACGAGACTGTGAGAGCAGACGTCCAGTGCAGGCACATGGGAAAGTGGGTGCTAGTATAAGGCCAGCCCTTTTAGACGGGCGTTGGGTCCCCACCTCTTCGTTGCCTACTCAAGCGTGTTATTCCTGCATTTGTGCCCTCTGTATCTGCACTGACAACCTTTCCCTCTCTACTGGATCATTCCAATTACAGTCACAAGGTTGGCATGGTGGTTCATGCCTGCAATCCCAGCACTTTGGGAGGCCAAGGCAGGAGGATCACTGGAGGCCAGGACTTCAAGACCTATCTGGGCAACATAGTGAGACCCCCATCTGTGAAAAAAAAAAAAAAATTAGCTGGACCTGGTGGCATGAACCTGTAGTCCCAGCTATTCATGAGGCTAAGGTGGGAAGATGGCTTGAGCCCAGGATTTTTGGGTTACAGTGAGCTATGTACTCCAGCCTGAGCGACAGAGCAAGACCCTGTGAGAGAGAGGAAGGAGAGGAAGAAGAGGAAGGAGAGGAAGAGAAGAAAGAATGAAAGAAAGAAAAGAAAGGAGGGAGGGAGGAAGGAAGGAGAGAGAGAGAAAGAGAAAGAAAGAAAAAGAGAGAGAAAGATGCTTCCATTATGCCATATTCTTCTCCAGCTACCATCCCATTTCTTTGTTCCTTTTTTAGGAAAACTCTAAAAGAGTTGTCTGTACTCTGTCTCCACTGCTTCTCCTCCCTTTTCTTGAATTTTTCCAGTCGTGCTTCCCTTCCTACCTCTCTACCAAAACCTCTCTTCGTCAGGTCACAGTGACCTCCATGTTTCAAATCATTTCTCAGTCCTTCTCTTACTTAGTTGTTGGCAGGTTTGACTCAGTTGATCACTCCCTGTTTCTTAAGTGTCTCAGGACATTGCTCTTCATGTTTTCTTCTTTTCTCACTAAATCCTCTTCTCAATCGGTCTCCTTGGCTAGTTCTTCTTCCTTGTCCAGACCCCAACACACTGGAACGTCCCAGCACTTGGACTTCTCTAGCTACACTTACGCTCTAGAGGATCTTATTTGGCCACATGGTTTTAAATATTTCTATATACCACTAATGACTCCCATATTGAAATTTATAACCCAGACTCTATTCTACCAGTGCTCAGGCCAAATATCCTGATGCTGTCCTAGACTTCCCGTTTGTGTCTCACTGCTCATCTAACCCATCAGCAAATTGCATTGGCCCAGCCCTCAAAGTAGATCCGTCTCTACCAGTACCCTTCTGATCCGAGTCATCATAATAATCGTTTGTCTGGATTGCTGCAGTGGCATTCTAAATAGTCTCCTTGTTGCCACCTTTGTACCCCTGCCTGTCATCCTCTGATGTGAAGTCAGATTCTGTCACTGTCCTGCTCACATCCACTCAAGAGCTTCCTTCTCTTGAGAGTGTAAGCCCAAGTCTTATCAGTGGCCCATGGGGCCTTCCATAATGTGGCTTCTGGTGTCTCTCAGGCTCATCTCCAGCCCACACTTCATTGTTTCCCTCCACTCTGGCCACACTGGCCTCCTTGTTGCCCCTGGAATACAGTAGGCATGCGGTTATCTTTGCCCTACTGCACTTTCTGTCTGGAACATTCCTCCCCTGGATAGACACATTGCTCACTTCCTTTGGGTTGTGTTCATGTGTCCCCTGGCAAGAGGGGCTTCCCTGACCTCCCTATGTAAAACAGCAACTCATCTCTACTGCTCATCTCTGATCCCTTTCCCCTTCTTTATTCTTCTTTATTGGCCCCCAAACCGTCTCACAGAGTTGATATGTTACCTGCTCACTCTAAACAAATAAGGCAACTTGATGTGTGTCTACCAGAATGTAACCTATAGAAAAAGAGACTTTGTCTGTTTTTAGTCTCTGCTGATCCTTTTTTTTTTCTTTTGAGACAAGGTCTCACTCTGGTCTCACTCTGTTGCCCAGGCTGGAGTGCAGTGGTATGATTGTGGCTTGCTGCAGCCTTGACCTCCCAGGCTCTAGCAGTCCTCCCACCTCAGCCTAAAATAGTGCCTGGAATAGACTTGGTGCTCAATATATCTGGTTGAATGGATGGAGAGCCAAAATGTATCTCCGGCCTGGTGGGGTTGCACACTGTGGTCTTGGTGATAGGTGGCTTCCTTCGTTCAGATGCAGAGAAGGCTAGCAAGGAGCTGGCCTAGGAACCATGAAGAAGTGAAGCTAGAGACTGTCAGTGGCTTTGCTCCCATGGTGGCATCCGAAGGCAGGCCCTGCCCTTCTCTTGGCCGTGGTCTCCTCTTGTCCAACAGGGGAGAATGATCTTACTTTCCCTCCGAGTCTCAGTTTGAGGAACTAGGAAACAACTAGACAGAGAGGAACTGAAGCCCAGGAATGAGCACTCTCTCCCATCCATGCCAGGGGATGACACCTGCTGTGCAAACTCTTTGTCACGAGGATCTAGACATCCTGACACCTGGCTCCCATTGTGTCCCTCCTGAAGCCTCCCTAGTGTTCCCTCTCTAGGTGAGACTCTCCTGACCCTCCTTCAGCCTGGGAGCAAAGACTGGTGGAAGCTGATTCTTAGGGTGGCTGAACTAGCTCCACTTCCAGGGGGTGCCCCCATAAGAGCATCAGAGCCTGTAGTAGTGAGAGAGAGATCCAATCCAGACATCATGGAAGCTAAGCTGGCCTGTGGGGAAGTGGGGAAGGAAGGCCAGGGCAGTGGCTCTGCATTGGGATGGGATGGGCCAATGATACGCAGGCGTGGCCTTTCCCACCTGCATCTTTTTACTGCTGCCGTGGAGCAAATCACCCCAAAACTTAGTGGCTTAACACAGTTGATTGTTTCTCACATTTCTGTGGGTTTTCTGGTGGTTCTCTGCTGGTTTCCCCTGGGCGCACTCATGTAGCTGTGTCCGGCTGGGTCTGGGTCCAAGGTGGCCTCATTCATGAGTCAGGCAGTTGTAGGCTGGCTATTGACAGAGGTGCCTCGGTCACATTCCATGGGACCTCTCGTCCTCTAAAAGACTAGACTGGCTTCCTTATGTGACGGTGTCAGGGCAGCATTCCAGGTGGGTAAAGGGAGAAACTACAAGGCCTCTTGAGGCCTCAAGTTTAGAATTTGAACAATTTCAATTTCCACTGCCACATTGTATTATACTCAAAGCAAATCACCGAGATCAACCAAGATTCGAGTGACGGAGCAATAGACTCCACCTTTCCATAGCCTGAGCTGCTGAGAATTCATGGTCATATTTGATTTACTCCCCGCCCTCCCGCCCCCCTGCCCCGACAGCGTTCAGGATCCATTGACAGTGGCAAACTGACCAAATTTCCCAGGTGATTACTCTGAAGAGCCAGCCCCTTGTGAATATGAGTAATTATCAAGCTAAGATGGAACACTGTGTGTTAGGCCCCAAGCTCAATGCGCGACAGGTACTATTTCTCACAGGGATTCTCTGAGATATGTGATCTTTCTTTTTTTTTTTTTTTTTTTTGAGACTCTTGTTTTCACTCTTGCTGCCCAGGCCGGAGTGCAATGGCGTGATCTCGGCTCACTGCAACCTCCGCCTCCTGGGTTCAAGTGATTCTCCTGCCTCAGCCTCCCGAGTCACTGCAATTACAGTTGCCTGCCACCACGCCCAGCTAATTTTTGTTATTTTTAGTAGAGACTGGGTTTCGCCATGTTGGCCAGGCTGGTCTTGAACTCCTGACCTCAGGTCATCCATCTGTCTCAGCCTCCCAAAGTGCCGGGATTACAGGCGTGAGCCACTGCACCTGGCCGAGATACGTGATCTTCCAACACCCATTTTAGAGTTAAGGAAACTGAGGCTTAGGGAGAGAAGATTACTTGCTCAAAGTCATGAAGCTTATAAGTGGCTACACTGAAACTTGAACCCCAAGGCTGTGATGTTCTTACCCTCTCTTGAGACTGACTGGCTAGCCATAACCTGATAAAAAAAAAAAACAGTACTAATGATAATGAGCATTTTGCATCCATGGTCTCATTGGCTCAATATGACAACCCTGCGATGTAAAATGGAACAGTTTTGAAGAAATGAAACTGGATGTTCAGAGTGTGAGTCCATTGCTAATAAGAGGTAGAATCAGAAACATGCAGACAGATAACAGAGAATTCTACCCTCAAGTGAGAATGTCACCCCAGGAGGGCAGGGCCTTATCTTTATTGTTTACCAGACCTTGGAATGAGTGACTGGTGCCTTCTCTGTGATATGGGGCTTCAGGTCAGCACAGGCAGGTTCCTCTGTGGTACAGTGCACTGGGCCTGGCCTGTGTGGGGAGGCTGGGGCAAGGGTAGCACGTGAAGCCGTGGGTCCCAGGTCAGCAGTGACACCAAAGACAGGACCTTCAGAGGAAAGGGCCAGTCTACTCTCTATTTTATGCTGCATGAGAGGGGAGAAATGAAACCTCAGTTGAAGCAGGGTAGGCATTGAGAGAAAGTTCTTAACCTGTGAGGATTTATTCGTGCTGGAGCCACTAAGGGAAGTTATAGAATCACTCTTTCTGAAAGCATGCTGGGATCAGATGGACCAGAGGACCTGAATCATTTTCCTATCCCAAGGAGCCATGCCCCACACTACCATAAGTAACAGTGGTTCCATGGACTGGTGAATTCTCTCCTGGGCCGCTGGGGAGACACAGCCCTAGGGAACCACATATCAAAGTGCCTGAGCAGGTGAGGCATGTATAGTTTAAAAAGGCTTCCCAAGAGATTGTGAGTCTCATTAGGTGCCTGCCATCTCCCAGTAGAATATAAGCTTCACGAGGACATGAATTTATGTCTGTGTTGTTTATTCTTGTATCTAGCACCTAGAACAGGCCTAGCACAGAGTAGGTGCTCACTAAGTATTTGTCGAATGAATAAACAAATGAAATTGTCCTCTGTCAAATGCATCTTCAGTTGAGAACTAAAACAGAGTCCTTTGTGTAGCACAGACACTCATTCACTTAGGGGCTAGACTGATGACCTTTTGTATTTATGGTTCTATAAAATAAGAGAGACCTAAGGCCTCCATGAACTGTGAGGAAGTTGGGATCTCCCCCCGCCTCAAGCCTGGCGACTTGCCCTGCCGCTCCCTACCCCAGGGAGTGCGGAGGCTTACTCTGTTCACACCTCCTCACTGAGCAGAGCCTCTTTGGTCATTGGCTTGGCTTGGCACTGAATTTCTCTCATCTGTGCCCATATACACATGGGATGGCTCTTGTTTGACTTGCCCTTTGAAAAACAACTTAAGCATGTTGAGGTTTCCTGTTGATTGGGGGCAGCCAGAGGCCTGTGACCCAGCAGGGAATTGTCAGCCAATCCCTGACTCACCCAAACTCCAGTTTTCTGTGTGTGAGCGAGCAGTGACAGCAGCCTGGCTCAGGGGCAGCTGGCTGCCTTCCTGTGGATAGCATGGCATTCCGGAGCCTGAGAGGCTGGGCAGCCCAGAGCTGAGGGCCACGGCCTTAGGGTCAGGTAGGCCTTGTGCTGTGCAGTGTTGGCAAATCCTGCTGTTTTTGAACTGAAACTGTTTGGAAAGAATTCTGAAAGTTGACAGTGGTTACTCTAGTAGACAAGTAGAAAAGTGTGCCCAAGAGGAAGTATGCTCATGGTGCTCTTCAATAAGCTCACCTTTCCCTTCCTTTTGCTCTTCATCATTCACCGAGCACCTTCCAGACACTATTTGTTTGTCCCTGGGCCTAGAAGAAACCATGGTCTAGTAGGGAAGACCAAGAAGTCCCTTGATACTTACAAGTGCTGTGGCAGGGGTGTGCTGAGTGCTGTGGGGATTTCTCTTGAGTTGCCTCAGGGCCCTGGCAGTTCAGAAAGTGGCAGAGGCACTGCTTCCTCTTCAGAGAGTCAGCCCAGTGTAGTGGAAGTTCACGTCCTGGTTTCACTTACCAGCTGAGTGACCTCGGATGAGATATTAAACCTTTCTGTGCCTTAGTGTTTTTTATTTGTAAAATGAAGATAATAAACATGATAACCTCATAGACTTTTCAGGAAGATTAAATGAGTTAACATATGTAAAAACATTTATTCAGAAGTGTTCCTTGTAGTTGCCAAGATCTGCATATGGATTTGGAGCTGGGACATGGTAGATGCCAATTATTGGATGTGATGCCACTGCTGGAGGGTGGAGCTGCCTAAGGAGTTGGCCTCCCCACCCCATTGGCTTCCTCAATGATAGAGTGGAAAAGACTCTTTCCTGAGGGGCGCTTCTGACCTGTCTGAGGCCCTCAGGGATTCTAATTCTGGTCAGAACCCAACATGAAGAAGTGAGATGTTATGTCTAGTAGCAGAAGTCCCAGGGGAGACAGAGGCTTGTTAAAGGGAAAGATCAAAGGGTCTGAGTGTATTTGGGGGCCACTTCAGGGAGTAGTGTTCAAGAACCACCTTGCACCAGTTCACAAGAGCTGATTAGTGGCATCTCTTCTCAACTCCACAGCCAGTGACGTCACATTGGTAGCTCAGCCATAGTTGGAATATTTATACTACCAAAGTTGGCAAGTGCTACCAATCTGCTGTTGCCCCTAGAGAGCCGGTTGTTCAGACTTGTTTGGTTTTGGGGTTTTTGGTCCCTTTTTCCCTCTTTTTACCATACACAGAGTCTCACTATGTTGCCCAGGCTGGTCTTGAACTGCTGGGCTCAAGCGATCCTCTTGCCTCTGCCTCTCTAAGTGCTGGGATTACAGGCATGAGCCACCACACCTTCTGAGAACTGGTTGTTAAGCATGTGGCAGCACACCACTGGGCTTTCTGTCCTCTTACTGGCAGATGTTAGACTCTTGGGATGCTCTCGCTTGGCACAGAACAGGTGTCTGTTTCAGACATTACTCAGGGTGCCTGGGGATGGTTTGGGCAGAGAGGCCTGTTGAGTTTGGCCTGCTGTGATTAAGGAGCTATTGCTCTCCTTGAAGACAGCCTTCAAGGTATATTACTTGAATAGAATACTCTTTGAGAGTCCTCCAGGAAAAAGATGCTGAGTTCTGTAAGAATAAAACAGGATGCCACTGGTTGGTCAGCCACTCACTGCCATTTTCTTTTCTTTTCCTTTGTTTTGTTTTGCCCCCAGGTCTCAGTCAGTCTCTCCACCTCCAGTTCTCTCCCCACCAAGGAGTCCCATCTACCCGCTCAGTGATAGTGAAACCTCAGCCTGCAGGTACCCCAGCCACTCCAGCTCCCGGGTGCTCCTCAAGGACCGGCACCCCCCAGCTCCTTCACCCCAGAATCCTCAAGATCCCTCCCCAGATACTTCCCCACCCACCTGTCCCTTCAAGACCGCCAGCTTCGGTTATTTGGACAGAAGCCCTTCGGCGTGCAAGAGAGACGCCCAAAAGGAAAGTGTCCAAGGCGCAGCCCAGGATGTAGCAGGGGTCGCTGCCTGCCTCCCCCTTGCCCAGAGCACGCCATTCCCGGGGCCAGCAGCTGGCCCCCGGGGCGTCTTGCTGACCCGTACCGGTACCCGCGCCCACAGCCTGGGCATCCGGGAGAAGATATCAGCATGGGAAGGTCGCCGAGAGGCGTCGCCCAGGATGAGCATGTGTGGAGAGAAGCGGGAGGGCTCTGGGAGCGAGTGGGCGGCCAGTGAGGGCTGCCCCAGCCTGGGCTGTCCCAGCGTGGTGCCGTCCCCCTGCAGCTCTGAAAAGACCTTTGATTTCAAGGGCCTCCGGAGGATGAGCAGGACCTTCTCCGAGTGTTCCTACCCAGAGACTGAGGAGGAGGGAGAGGCGCTCCCTGTCCGGGACTCTTTCTACCGGCTGGAGAAACGGCTGGGCCGGAGTGAGCCCAGCGCCTTCCTCAGGGGGCATGGCAGCAGGAAGGAGAGCTCAGCAGTGCTGAGCCGGATCCAGAAAATTGAACAGGTCCTGAAGGAGCAGCCGGGCCGGGGGCTCCCCCAGCTCCCCAGCAGCTGCTACAGCGTGGACCGGGGGAAAAGGAAGACTGGAACCTTGGGCTCCTTGGAGGAGCCGGCAGGGGGCGCGAGTGTGAGCGCTGGCAGCCGGGCAGTCGGAGTGGCTGGTGTTGCGGGGGAGGCGGGCCCACCCCCAGAGAGGGAAGGCAGTGGTTCCACTAAGCCCGGGACCCCTGGAAATAGCCCTAGCTCCCAGCGGCTGCCATCGAAGAGTTCCCTCGATCCCGCTGTGAACCCTGTCCCCAAACCCAAGCGCACCTTTGAATACGAGGCTGACAAGAACCCCAAGAGTAAGCCCAGTAATGGTCTACCTCCTTCACCCACACCTGCTGCTCCACCTCCCTTGCCCTCCACCCCAGCCCCGCCAGTCACCCGGAGACCCAAGAAGGACATGCGTGGTCACCGCAAGTCCCAGAGCAGGTAATGCATGCCCCTCCGGTGTGTTGTAGCTGAATACCGTGGCTTTCTTTTAAATGGACAGTGCAAACACAGATTGTAGGATGGGTCGCAGTCATTAGTGCTTCGTAAGCTCTGAAGTGCTGAATAATTGTTAGGTGGTAGTTGTGGTAGTGAAAAATGAGATTGTTCTGCTCTTACAAGATACTTGGACATGAGTGGGAATGCTTACAGGATACTTGGGACCTGAGTGCTGGTCACTGAAGGTATTGGCTGGGTTTGGCCTTTGGGGTAGAGCTGGGCTGTGTCCTGCCCCTGTTGTAGCTTCCTCAGTCTTCTGTTGGGAGTAGGTAAAGCAGGCAGTCCTTTGCGGAGTAGTAGGATCTTAGCCTCCCTACCACCTGAAGTACCAGCATTAGAAATTAATTTCTTTGAATGAAGCATTATCTGAATACTGCATTTTATCATTAACATGGTAGTGTCGGCAAATTTAACACAATTCCTTCTCTCCTGAAGGCCTCCTGGCCATATACGAACCCTGGGCCTATATCAAGAGGGGATTATTGGGAAGATTGATGAAAAAAGGAGTAAAACAGGAATGAGCCTGTTCCGAGGCTCACGTTGGTTTCCTGGTCAGTCTCAGGATTTCTAACCCCAGATTACCAAGGGCTGTCTCCCCGGTAACTTGGAGCTGGAGCTATTGGAATTGGTGAAAGCTGGCAGGCGTCTTGTTCTCTGAATCAGGGTAGGCTGGGAGTGAGCTTCCTTGGGAATACTTATCCTCCTACACCTTACTGCCATTCTCATCTAACCCCACGACTGATGGGTATTCAGGTTTGTTTCACTTCTGGGGATTCTTTAGTTTGTCCCCACACTTCAGGCTTCATCTAACATATCCCATCTCATATATAAACTTTCCTGCCATGTGCAGAAAGGAAGAAATTTCAAAGATTCAGACCCCCGAGCCGGAACAGCCCGTGGCTAAGGGTAATCCCGTGTTTGAGTCCACCCCAGAATGCTCACTGGCTCTTTAATTCTTAAACGGCCTGCCAAGAGTGTTTGCTTTGTCCTTGTTCATCCATTTCTATAAACATTCTTCTAGAGCCTGCTGTGCACCAAGATTGTGCTGGTCAAGAGGATGCAGAGGCAAATAGGACATGGTTCTTCCATTCAAGGACTTCGTGGTCTGGTGCACAGATAAATCATAGATAATGTCATACGTGCCATGACTCATGGCAGTGCAGGAGGCCGCAGAGACCCAGAGAAGGGGCATCTGAGTTAGATGGGGGAGAGAAGGGAGGCTCCTCATAGAGGGAGTTGCTGAGCTAAATTTAGAAGAGCCAAAAGCAGTTGGCTAGGTGACCAAAGGGAGTGGGGGGGAGAGTTCATCAGCCTGAAGGTTTTACACATATTCCACCCCACACTGCATTTATATATAATATATACACACGTATACCATATATGGAGGAGTCCCTTCATGTAAGAATTAACTTAGCAAACTTAAATCTGTGCTCTTGGAAAAAGAGAAACAGTTCCAGAAGTGCAGTCTGTTCTGTATGCCATTTCACACAGTGAACATGTTCCATGAGGAGTAGAGATGGTAAGTTTGTGTCTGTTATACCAAGTGTGATTCTTATATTTAATATACTTTTTTATTTTAAAAAAAATGCAGTCCAGGTGAGGTGGCTTACACCTGTAATTCCAGCACTTTGGGAGGCTAAAGTGGGAGGATCATTTAAGACCAGGAGTTCGAGACAGCCTGGGCAACATAATGAGACCTCATCTCTACAAAAAATTTAAAAAATTAGCTGGAGTGTTGGCATGTGCCTGCAGTCTCAGCTACTTGGGAGGCTGAGGAGGGAGGATAGCTTGAGCCCAGGAGGTTGAGGGTACAGCGAGTATGATCACACCACTGCACTCTAGCCTGGGCAACAGCACAAGACCTTGTCTCTCAAAAAAATTTGCGTGTGTGTGTGTGTGTGTGTGTGTGTGTGTGTGTGTGTGTGTGTTTGTGTAAAATGCAAGCCAAGCCAAATGTTTCTTCTGGCATTCAGCCAAAAAAAAAAAAAAAAACCTGGGGAGAAACTATTAGTTTTAATGAGAGACAGCATGTTGGTCCTCAGTGTGACACCTTCCTGGGGGATTTTCAAGGATAATTTGACTGAACATGATTTGTGTCTTATTTACTGACTTGAGGGCTACCTGCATACGATGCTGAGTCTACTGTATATGCCAAAGAAAACTTGCTCTCACACTAACTCTGGTCCTGGGCCAACATTTGCGAACCACTGTGCTCAGCCATTGGATGTTTAACTAGTTGAGAATCTCTGGGCCAAAGACAGAAATCTGGGAGTCATCAAGATAGAGATGGTAGATATGGCAATGGCCCATGGATATTTGGTCCCTAGAAAGTGCAGAGTGAGAAAGAGTTTTTAAGACAGAACTCTGAGAGACCCGGACACTTAAAAGGCAAATGGAAAAGGAGAACCCCTCACAAGAGTCTGAAAAGTAGTGGCCAGAGAGTTAGTTGAAAGCCAGGAGGGAATGTGTCACAGAGGCACACGGAGGAGATGTCAATATAAAGAGTGTTCGGTTGTGTTGAGTGCTTGGGGCGGGGCAGGGGCAGGCAAGCTAAGAACAAGCTGTAGCCTTCAGGACACTTTTAGCCCTTTACCTACACCCTAGGACTCTCAGGAGAAGCTGTTAGTAAACAAGAGAAAAAGGGCTTTATTGGCTGAAAGGTCTGATGGTGCCCCAAAGAAGAGGGAGGTGTTCATGGGTGGGAGGAGGGATCCAGTCAGTGCCTTTCCTTCTTTCCCTCCCCAGGAGCCTGCGGGGACTTGCCTTGGAGAGGGAGAGGGTACAGTTGGGGTCTCAGATGAGGGACGTACCTCTCTCATGAAGGAGAGGGGCAGAGAGTGCTGTAGGCTCAGGGTGTCTTAGGAGACAACAAGCTGTGGTCTTGAAATTATACAGTAGAGAGGAAGGTTGTCCAAAGGATGGAAAGGAGCAAGCTAGCTGAAGGGAAGCCTGGTCTTGGAAGCAGCTTCTGGCTGCAAATTGTCCTCCCAGCTCCACCTTGGCAGTGGTCTTATTTGTTTTAAGGGCTCAGCCCTTCCTGCTTCAACAAACCACCCAGCAACAACTGCTTTTCCAACCCCCTGACAGCCCTGAGTGGGACCCTCCCAGTGTTGAGCCTTCCTACCTGCTTAGTGCAGTGGCAGGAGTCCCCAGCTAGGATGCAGATGAGGATGTGAGACTCCAGAGGCAGACCAGGCACTCAATTCCAGTGGAATCACAGACACTTCTCAAGGAGGATATTCTCTAGGGCTCAAGGCCAAAATTATAGTTAAGAGCTCAGGCCCTGGAGTGAGACGTCGCCTGGGAGAATCATGCCTCTGTCACTTCCATCTCCTCTTTCACAAGATGTCCCAATACTGGTGGCACTGTTGTGAAGATTAATGAGATAACACATGTAAAGGTGGATTTGACGCAGCACCTGGAACAGCATGCTTTTAAGCTGGGGTAGTTGTTATCTAATAGCGGTATTATTCAGGATAAGGCACATTGCAGGCACCCAGGCTGGGGCCTTTCAGACCATCTGTCTCTTCATTTGGATGGTAAGTTTGGACCCACCTTGATGCTCTTTCAGAAGCTGCCTTTGTAAGGAGGGCCTATGGTCTTTGCTGTTGCCATGGACATTCCCCAGCAAGGCAGCAGAGATCTGATTCAGCAGGAATGACTCTTGCTCTTGTTATCCACAGAAAATCCTTTGAGTTTGAGGATGCATCCAGTCTCCAGTCCCTGTACCCCTCTTCTCCCACTGAGAATGGTACTGAGAACCAACCCAAGTTTGGATCCAAAAGCACTTTAGAAGAAAATGCCTATGAAGATATTGTGGGTAAGCAATGGCAGAGGTGGCACCTGGGTCATCTCAGGGGGCTGCAGAAGAACAGGAACAGGAGGAGACACCTAGATTGACCTCCTTCACTGTGGGCAGGCATGGTCCCACCTTCTGGAACTCCTCCTGGAATGGGACATCAGGGGAAGCACCTTAGCTTAGACAGAGTGGCTTTGTGATTAAAAGCCTGGCTCTTGAATGAACTGAAATCCAAAGGACCTTTGGGGACACGAGAAGGAGAAAACAACATCATTCCTTTCCTTTATTTTTGGAAGGCTTTGAAGTCCAACAGGCCCTCTTCCTTAGCTGTGTGCCCTTAAGGCAAATCACTTAACTTTTGTGAAGACTCTGTTTTTCTCTTATAACATGATGATGTGACTATATTAACAACAACAATAATAGTAATAATATTTCGAGCCGGGCATGGTGGCTCGTGCCTGTAATTCCAGCACTTTGGGAGGCCGAGGCTGGTGGATCACCTAAGGTCAGGAGTTCGAGACCAGCCTCCATCTCTACTAAAAATACAAAAAATTAGCTGAGCATGGTGGCAGGCACCTGTAATCCCAGCTACTAGGGAGGCTGAGGCAGGAGAATTGCTTGAACCCGGGAGGCAGAGGTTGCAGTGAGCTGAGATCGTGCCATTGCACTCCTGCCTGGGCAACATGAGTGAAACTCCGTCTCAAAAAAAAAAAAAAAAGTAATATTTCATAAGGTTATTGTTAGAATTAAATAAGATTGAGTGTCTGGTGCAGGCCTGCTACCTGGTCAGAGATGGCCATCTTCTTTCTGTGTTCTTACATGGTGGAAGGGGCGGAGGGAGTTCTCTGGGGTCTCTTTTAAAAGGGCCCTAATTGGTGAAGGCCCTGCACTCATGACCTAATCACCTCCCAGAGGCCTCACCTGTGTTTCCACATAGGAATTTTGGGGGACAGAAACATTCAGTCTATTGTACAAGCTAACACATTTCATTGCCCCAGTTTCATGGTGCTGGCAGAAGACACGAGACCCCTGGGTCGCAAAGGACTTTATTACTTATGGCACAGTAGGCAGCATGAGCTTCGTGTTCACACGGGTTTCCCCTTGTGCCTAAGTCCCATGGGGCGGTGTGGAGAAGGCCCAGGTGGAAGCTGCACACACTGCAGGTCCATGTCCCAGCTGGGGAGCCCAAGCGTAGGAAACCCCAGTCTTTTCAGAGACTGCTGGCAAACCTGCCTAACCTTTGTCCTTGGAGGAGACATTATCTTTATCACTCTGGTCAGGAAACAAATCTGCCTCTGCCCTGAAGGGAGACACTATCTCTGTCTTCCAAGGCTGTTTGCTGTATAAATACCCTTTAAAATACAGTCTGGAACTGTCAGTTCCTCTTGTTCAGAAGAAGGGCAGAAATGCGAGACTCCATTGGGATTTGTCTTCCAACAGGTGGGAAGACATGGTATTGGCAAACTTGTGTTCACAGATCAGATGAAAGATAGAATGCTCTAGCCTGGGTTGCATTTGTTTTGTTTTTTGGCGTTCATTTCAATTCTATTAGCATCCTCATCAGTAAGGGGCTTTGATTCTGCCCAAGTGAAGTGTGCGTGTCAGTGTAGGTCAGTGAGGAGGAGAGAGGCTGTGTGCTGCCTGCTTGCTGGCTCCCTCTCTATGTCCCTGTCTTGCCTCTGTCTTGGGCCTTGAATCTGAAGAATGTGGTGTTAGTTAATACATGAGAGAGAGAAGTGGCCCAGGGTAGAGGGAAACCTCCAGATTATCAGAAGCCTGGAATCTTTTTTTTTTTTTTGAGACGGAGTCTCGCTCTGTCACCCAGGCTGGAGTGCAGTGGTGCGATCTCGGCTCACTGCAAGCTCCGCATCCCGGGTTCATGCCATTCTTCTGCCTCAGCCTTCCCAGCAGCTGGGACTACAGGTGCCCGCCACCACACCTGGCTAATTTTTTTGTATTTTTAGTAGAGACAGGGTTTCACCGTGTTAGCCAGGATGGTCTCGATCTCCTGGCTTCATGATCCGCCTGCCTCGGTCTCCCAAAGTTCTGGGATTATAGGCGTGAGCCAGAAGCCTGGAATCTTATGAAGAGAGGGCCATCTGTTCCCTCATTTGATCTGAGCCATTGGTTTCACAGCCGTTTCCTTACCACTTGCTGGGCCATTGTTTCTGGGGAGACAGCAGCCATGCTGGGATGTGCAGGGACACTGCTTTCCCAGGAACAGAGCGTATAGTATGTAGCCATGCAAAACTGGGTCACAGCAGGAAGACTGTGGGAATGAGGTCCCTAGAACCGCAAAAGAGTTTGGGGAGGGAGGCCCTTTCCCTTACCACTGGGGAAAAGACAGCTTTGTACCTATAGGCCACCCAGAGCAGAGGTCAAGAGCTAGGGGCATCAGAACAAAAGATCCAGAAGCCAGGTGGGCAGTTAAGGAAGATGCCCCAACTGCAGCCCATACCCCAGTTCTACTCAGCCACCCAAGAGGCAGCCAGTGCTGTTCCTGTATTTCTCACCTCCTTATGCAAGACTAACATCCCAGAGTGGAAGAAAGTCCTCCCGAATGAGTGAGTAGGCAGAGGCCTAGACACACTTGCCCTCCTCTTTCCCTTCTCTCAAACCTGACCTAAGAAGGCCTGGGGAACAGCTGTGTTGCCCAGAACAGTTCTTCCAAAATTCTGCCCCCCAAACATTGCCCCAAAAAATCCTGAACAGAGCCCTGGATGGTGGAACTCTGGACAGAGAGAAATGGTTGAAGCCGTCCCTTTCTCAAATTATTTCAGTTCAGATGATCCAAGAACGTATCCCCACAGGAAATCCTTGTCAGATAATAGAGAATGGGAGGACCACAGGATTGCCAGCACCCAGCATAGTCAAGGGACATCAGAAAAACACAGCCCTCTCTGCCCACGGCAGCAGCCACACTGGGTGCTCCCAGGGTCCTGGGCAGCAAACTGACACATTGCAGTTTCTGCCAAACTAGAATGTACCCTGCAACAGGAGGTAGGGAGGGGGTGGGGCAACAGAGCTGCCTCCCCACTCATTAGGGAGGACTCTCTTCCACTCTGGGTGTTGCATGAGGAGTTAAAAAAAATATGGGAGCACCTTGGCTGCCTCTTGGGTGGCTGAGTACAGCTAGGGGTCAGCGCTGTGTGGGCAGAAGGTAGAGGTAGCTGCTCACCTGGCTTCTGGATCTTTGGAGCACTTAGAGAACAGGGAAAGAAGAGAGGGGGAGGATGCAGGAGAAAGGGAGGGGAGCGACCCAGGCACCAGTTTGGGAATATACTGCATCGGATGTTTAGGTTTTGCTTTGGCCTCGTGGGGTGGTGGGGGTGGTTTCCGGAGTCTGCAGTTAGGACAGTGCCCTGTGCGTGTTTTCCCTTTTTATGTCCCCATAGCAGCCCAATCTGAATTTCTGGGACCTGACTAGGGAGGCCAGAGGGAAATACAGAGGAAAATACTCTCTTTCTGTTAGATTCTGGTGGGTTTCCTTTTCCTTCCCTGGGGACAGGCCCGAGAGTTTGGAGCTCCCCACAAGGCTTCAGGGGGTGTCTTATTGCTGAACTCAGAATGGCAGTTTCCCGTCTTGCTTAGGACTGATCAGTGGCTCGGACTTCCTGGGAGCCGTCTCTCTGGTCTTGGCCCAGCCTGTGCTCTGTGGGGTGAAGGATGACTCTGACCCCGCTGGATCAGGCTCCTGCAGGCATGCAGGAATGGAGCTGTTGGGAGGCAGAGAGCCTAGTGCTCATCTCCATCTTGGGTCCTGGTGATTGGACTGGAGTCCTGTCTGTCATAGGTGGAGGGCCAGTTGGCCCCAAGACAAACATGTCTGTCTGTGAACAGTGGACTCGAATGGGGGTTGTGGAGGGTTTGCTGGCCTCCTGCCTACACTAGGCATGATGCCTGAGGAGCTGGGGTGGGGTACTCCCAAACATACTGAGGTTTACCTTGCTAACTTGCAGAAAAGGAGTTCGGAAAGAAAGTTACTGCCTTGCTGCTTCCAGGGCTGCTATTTCCCGCCTGTCCCATCTCACATCTGCCCCTGGAAGATGCTGCTATTCTACCAGGCCTTATGTTTGCATTCTGAGCCTGACACTTAAAAATGCACCCAAGGAAGCAGCTTGTTAAGGAATTATGTGGAGTGGCCTCGGCGCCTGAGCTGCATTCCTGCAGATTCCCACTCCCATCAGCTAGCCTGGGCTGAGGGAGCGTTTCCAGGAACTTCAGTGGGATGCAAGCCGGGGACCGGGCCAGTCAGCCTGGACTGCAAAGTCTTTTGAGCCTCCACTCTCTCTGGTTGCTTCCCTTATTTGCCCCCAGGCTGGGAAACAGTAAGGAGCAGAGGGCACCCACTGGGATGGAGGTTGCAGTGGGAAACAAAACAGCCAAGAGGTGCAGCCCAGGGAAGGTGCCGGGGCTGTCGAGAAATGGTGTCAAGGCTTGGAGGGTGGGCAACAGCCAGCCCCTTAGAGGCCCCAGTCTGATCTGTTGCCAGGGAGTTGGGCTCTTATCCTGGCCCTTTCTGTCCTGTGTGAGAGAGGGAAAAAGGCTGAGAACCAGGAGAAACAGCTGGTTGGAACCGGACGGAGGTTGTTGGGGAGGGAAGCTGCAGACCCAGGACCCTAGTAATGGGTGTGGTCCAGGAAGCTTAGGACTGTGTTTGGAGAAATTCTCAGTGCCTGTGCGTATACACACACCCCTTTCCTAACTGGTTTTTCCAGTTAGGTTGGGGCTGGGGGAGTGCTGTATGTGTGGTTAAGACCAAAGGAGTTATGGGGAGGAGTGAAAGGTTGTGGAGAGGAGTGGGAGGTTGTAGGGAGGAGTGGGAGGTTGTGGGGAGGAGTGGGAGCAGGGCCCAGAGGGGCTGGATTCTTCCTTTAAGAGGATTTGTGTGACACCTTTGGGCTCTGATAATCCCCTTTTAGAAGAGTGCAAAGCAGAAATTCTCGGTGATGCCTTTTGTCCCTTATTTCATCATCCAAGCTGGGAAAGGTTGAGACCTCTGGCTTCTCCAGCTGGGCTTGCTGAGGGCCAGGCCTTCAGGGAAGAGGGTCCACCTCTTCGTCCCTCTCCAAGGGTCATGTGGACTGTCCCAAGAAAGCTGTGTGGGCAGGAATGCAGGTAGAAATTTGCAGTCTGCCAGGCTCCCTGTCTCCCATTCATGCCCCTGCTGAATCTCCCATTCAGCCTTAGCTCCTTTAGCTCTGTCCTCCCTAGGATGTTCTGCACACCATTTCCCAGCCTACCGTCTCCTCCAACTCTGAGCCATTCCTTTGATACTTATTTGCTCTCAGCTGGTTCAGTTTAGTGGTCCAGGACTCAGGGTCCACTTGTCTCTGTACATCTCCATCCCCTGGTCCCCTGTCCACCTGGAGAGATGACTGGGAGAATCTATTTGAGACAGCTCCTCCGGGGCAGTCAGGAATGGTCCAGGAAGCTGAGAGATGAGTTAGGGCAGTGAAGGGACCAAGCTGAGGCTGGGGAGGCAGCGTGTGGGCTGCAGCCAGCCGTCTATTTGCTGGAGAACTGATTAGTGGCTTTGTTACATTAGACAGGATGTTAAACATTGCTGGAGAAGAGAGGCTGGCACAAGGGGCTGGGGAGGAGCAGGCCTTCCTGAAATTGAGTTTCCAGAGACAGGACCTATCTTGAGAACCTGATGTTGCTGGCTGTTTTCCCCTGGGTTGTCAGTGATGTGCACCAGGCTTGTACATCTATTACTTCCCTGGGCCTCAGTATCCTATGTCTTTTTCTTGGAGCTTTGGATTTTGTATCAATATTCAAAGCTCTTACTGTAGGGAAAAGAAGGAAGGAAGGAGGGAGTGAGGTGAAGGAGGGAAGGATGGAAAAAAAAGAGGGCTAGTCTTGGGACTCATGTCACACTCAGAAGCCATTGGAAGTTTAGAAAGCTCTATCTAAAGCAGTGGTTCTCAGTTGGGGGACAACTTCACTCTTCCCTCCCTCCATTCCTGCCTCCCTCCCTCTCTCTCCCTCCTTCCCTCTGTCCGTCCCAGAGAGCATCTGGCAGTGTCTGGAGACATTTTTGGCTGTTATAGCTAAGGAGATGCTAATGTCTCCTGGTGGATAGAAGCCAAGGTTGCCACTAAACATCCTAAAAATGGACAGGACAGTCTACCACAACAAGAATTATTCAACCCCAAATGTCAGTGGCTTGGAGAAACCCCTGGGATTGGGACAAGGCTTCCTATAGGTTGGGGATGACAATAAAGGCCCTGGCTGATCATGCAGTCCAAGGCAGTTTCGATTTGTTGAGCTTGGCATAAATGTTCTCCCTGCCGTGATGTGGACAGTGATGCTCTGGTCCTGTTTTAGGGGATCAGAAGACTGTGTCCTGGCATTCTCCCTTCTTAGTTCCCCCACCTCCTCACTCCTGCAGGGCATATGTTGGGGAAGGATCAAGAAGTAGAGAATCCATCCCCAACACCTCCCTAAGTGCCCCACAGTGGGGTAGGCTGGAGAAAACATGCAGGGGGTGCCGGGTTTGCTATTTGGCTTCTTGCGACAGGGCTGCTGGGCCAGCTCCGCTTAGTCAGGGCTCTGGAATGGAGACAAGTCATTTTAATAGCATGACTGTGTTACAGGAAAAGGTCTGTTCCATTGCTGGGGACTCTGCTTGGAGTTGGGAATCACTTAATCCAGTCCCAAATCCCAGTGACCCATCTTTGACTCATAAGTTTACAGAGATTTATATTGCTCCCACTGCAGTCTATTTAGCTGTCACTGAAATCCCTCCTTCACACCCACACCCTAACTCTGTTAGAGCATTTCCTAAATTCGTTGTGGTTCTGCATAAGTAGATGCCACAATGTGGAGGGAGCTCCACTTTGGAAATGGAGGAATCTGCAAGCATATAGGGATTGGCTCTTCTCCCGTGTCCTCTCTAGGAAAGCTTCACTCTCAGCAGCCTTTGTTCCTCGTCCTCCAGCTCCTTCTTCTGCCTGCTTCCTGAGGAGTGGGGTCTGAGTTCCTCTGGGGCGTAAGGCACATTCAGACATCTGTAGAACAAGTGTGGGACTCAGTGGCACCCAGGCTCAATCCTGCTGCTGAGCAGAGGTGCTGGAGTGAGTCCTGCTCTGCAGCAGGAAAATAGGGAAAGGGGTGCAGAGAGGGCTGTGTTCTGAGTTCCCCAGGGACCTGTTCACCCCACGGATTCTGCCACCAGGATTGAGCTAGGACTGACCCGGCCCATGGTGTTACTCTATTTTAGAAAATGTGTGTGTTGGAGGGGTGGGGGCAGGAGATACAGCTTGTGGAAAGGAGTGCCACTCAACATCTTCAAGGGCAGGGATTCTGTTTTGGACTTTTCTGAGATTTTCTGGTAATGCCAATACAATGCCCGCTGCCAGAGATTTTAGAACTAGTCCTGAGAAGCAAGAACTCCCCTCACCCCCACCCTTTGGCCCAGACTCCTTCCAAGCCTTTCACACCTCCCCTGTGTCACAGCAGGAGAGTTTGTTCCAAAAGGGGAGTGTTGATGGTTCTCTTTTTGCTGAGATCAGCGGTAGAGGGAATAGACACTACAGTAGGAGAGTCATCGAACAGATCATTACTGAACACTTCCTCCTTGCTAATCACTGTTCCGTTCCGAGGTTGCCTCAGTGAACAACACAAAACCCTGCCCTAAAAGACTTGTTGAACGGCATCGTAGGTGAGAAGGGGGCCTGGCGAAGCCCTGCTCCCTACGGTTCTGTGAGTTCCTCCATGCCCACCCTCCAAAGTAGGTCCCCAGGGAGATCCCCTGAGAGTTGGGTGAAGGGACAGCCATGTGACCTGAAAACCCTTCCTACCTTGAACTGTGTTATCTCTGGGGTGTTTGCAGCAGAGGGAAGGGAGCCAAGGAAAGACTCTTGTTGCTGGCTTTGTCCTCTGGCTGGGCACAGGCAGGGGTGGCTGAGCCAGTCTTGTGCAATCCCTGAATTTATAAAGCAGAGGCCAGGCTGAGCTGGGCTGGGGGTGGGGGGTTGGGGGGGGTGGGGGGGTGGGTCTGCTTCTGGACTTGGAGCCAGGATCTGTTTGTAGCCTCCCCACTGCAGACGGGCAGCTGCATGACTCATGAGCTGAGGGGCCAGGCAGAAGCCATTCTCTTTGGTTCACAGGAATTCTGCTTGTTTATTTGTGTGTGTGTGAGTTCGTGTGTTTCCTTCTTCCCTTCTCCCCCTTCTCTAACTCTTCCTCCTCTGCAGGAGATCTGCCCAAGGAGAATCCATATGAGGATGTGGACTTAAAGAGCCGAAGAGCAGGACGAAAATCCCAGCAACTGTCTGAGAACTCCTTGGACTCTTTGCACAGGATGTGGAGTCCTCAGGACAGGAAGTACAACAGCCCGCCCACACAGGTAACTCAGCCCTGACATCGGCCTGTAGGGTTAGCGTGAGGGCCACAGTGGGGGCCTGCTCTTCCAAGACTTGGGCCCAGCTTCCACTCAGGCTTTTACCCTCACTAGTACTTGATAAAGGGTCTACGGCCATACCACCCTGAACGTGCCCGATCTCGTCTGATAAAGGAGGTCTCCTCAGCAAAGGACTGTGCACTCAAGGATGTCCACCATGTTGAAACCTCTGTGGACAATTGGCACCTGCTCTGAGGGGCATCCTGTCCTATCTTCTTTCCCTTCCTACACAAGCTCTGAGCTGCAAAACTCAGCCAGGAGCCCTTGCAGTCTCCTCTCTGATTATTTATCACCCTGTGGGAAACAGGAAGACAGGGCCCTAGTGGGAGTCTTGGCATTCTGCAACTCTGCCAGAAGTCATCTCAGTACTGGCATTAGGGGGCTAGGTGTAGGTCCCCAAACCACATTTGGAGAGCCAGACAGGTGTCTGTGACACCTGGAGCCAGTCCTGTGGGAGAGAGTAAGCATGAATCTTTAAGGAATGGATGGGGAGAAGGCAGAATGACAGGAAAGGTGAAAAGCCAAAGGAAGCTCTTGGACTTCAGCTCCTTCTGTCCTTGTCCAGGATGTCAGGAGGCAGGTGGAGAGGCTTCTCTGACCTCCCCAGGTAACTCTAATTCTCTTTGCAAATGGAAGGACCTGGATATTATATAGCATTGGCCAGATAATATAAAATGATAATATAAAAATGATTTCTTCTGCCTTTGGAATAAGGTGTTTGTTTTTATAAAAGATTTACCCCATAGCTGGGAGTGGTGGCTCACGCATGTAATCCTAGCACTTTGGGAGGCCAAGGTGGGCAGATCATCTGAGGTCAGGAGTTCAAGACCAGCCTGGCCAGTGAAACCTCATCTCTACTAAAAATACAAACATTAGCTGGGCATGATGGCGCACGCCTGTAGTCCCAGCTGCTTGGGAGGCTGAGGCAGGATAATTGCTTGAACTCGGAAGACGGAGGTTGCAGTAAGCCAAGATCGCTCCACTGCACTCCTACCTGGGCGACACAGCGAGACTCCGTCTCAAAAAAAAAAAAAAAGATTTACCCTCTAATTAGGACTCTTTTCAAACAGGCTTCCCCTGAGTTTGCATTGCCAGATTGATTGGGTGAGAACAGGAAATTGGGGGCTGTGGAGGAAGGAGGATTTGCTGAGGAGTGAGGAGAGGCAATTCCAGAACCAGACAGTGGTTGGGTGTCTGTGGGATACTTGCCTCCTGACAGGGTCCGCGACAAGGATGGTGCCCTGGGATGAGAGGTCAGCGCATATGGAGAGAGGCAGAGAGTAGATCAGGGCTGGGGAGAGGGCAGCCAGGGCCTTGTGGGTATGGGATCCAATTCAGTGTGAGGCCTGCCTGGCCCAGCTTTGGTGGTCAGAGCCCAGAGCCCCTGTGTTCTCCATGGGAGCAGTTAGGAGGGCCAGGCTGCAGGATCTCCCAGCCCAGCAGGCTGGCCAGTAGGTTATGGCCTCTGCTGTCAGAAACCTTTTAGGATTGGCTCGGGAGCAGAGGTCCGGAAGACTGGTTCCATCACCCAGGCCCAGTAATTCTTGTCCCATAGCTCAGGAGGACCCCCGCAAAATTCCCACTTAGTCTTCTTTTTCCACTCAGATGAGAGCACAGGTGTTTTTAGCCTCTGCTTTCGTTTTTTGCTGGCAGTAGTGAAGCTTCCTTTAGGGAAGGCAAGTATCTAATCTATCCCTGACCTGGCTGATTAGCAGCTAAAGTCTTAAGAGAGGGATGGAAGTTCCAGGGCAAGATGGCGGGGATCCAGGGATGCCGGCCCTTGGCCTCTGTGTCCCCATCCCAGCAGACAGACACTGGCCAAGGCCTCTGTGGCAAGCCCCTCTCGCACGTCCTCTCCCCCACGCCAGCTTTCCCTGAAACCCAACAGCCAGTCCCTGCGCAGTGGGAACTGGTCAGAAAGGAAGAGCCACCGGCTGCCACGATTACCCAAGAGGCACAGCCATGACGACATGCTGCTGCTGGCTCAGCTGAGTCTGCCGTCCTCACCCTCCAGCCTCAATGAAGACAGCCTCAGCACCACCAGCGAGCTGCTGTCCAGCCGCCGGGCCCGCCGCATTCCCAAGGTACCCTCCCCAGAGGCAGCCCACTGGAGCCGGGCAGGTGGGCGGGCAGGCAGCCAGCCTTTCTCTCTCTTTCCTGGCTTCCTTCCTTCCCTAATCTGGACTGCTTCCTCGATTCCCTTTGAATAAATTCTGGGTCCGTGCACTGGCCTCTTTTTCATCTGATTAATTCCCCTTTCTTATCAATAAAGATGCATTAACTGACCTTGGTGCTCAGATGTTAGAGGAAGGAAAGTCTAGCCGAGGTTCCCCATTAGTAAGTGTGGTGTATGAATTTTGGGGTATCCGCACACATAAGCATTTCCAGGCTTTCAAGGACCTAGGACTCAAACAAGGGTTCTTCCTATAACTCTCAGCATTGAAGAATTTTCAGCAATGATTTTCACACATAGGCAGCCAGGCCCAAATCCCCAGCCCAACGCAGCAGGATTTAGCCAGATGGTATTTTTAACCTGCAAACAATGCTTGGGTATATTGGGAATTTAGCTTCTTCCTGTCGGGGCCCCAGGTTATGGCCCAGAGGGGAAAGGCTAGAATCCTTGTTCCTGTTATTGCATCTCAGAGGCTCTTTGTCTCAGTTGGTTCAATGACTCTTGGGACCCAGGAGCTACCATCCTGTCTAGTTTGATCACAGTTCCTTCCTCTGGGGAGCTAAGTTTAGTGTCCTTGTCTTGGGGCAGGAGACCACTCCTGGGGGACTAGGTATATGGAGAGCTACCATGCATGGCTGGTGAGTCACCACTTGAGGTCGGTTCTGCAGTTAGACCAGTCCTGGACCCAGCGGGTGCAATGCAGAAAGCTTGTACCATTAAGGGCAGGGATGGGCTCCTACTCAGCCTTCTTGGAAGTAGGGCAGCTGGTGTTAAGGTTACCTCACCCATCCTGCTTTTCTCACCCAGCTTGTCCAAAGAATTAACTCCATCTACAATGCCAAGAGAGGAAAGAAGAGATTAAAAAAGTTGTCTATGTCCAGCATTGAAACAGCATCACTGAGAGGTAGGCTTTGGTGCCAGAGCTGGTTCAGCTGTTTGGGGCCCTTGGGCATTAGGAACGGGAGAGGCATCAATTTACCTGTGGAGGGTAGAGCCCTGCCAGGAAATGGCCACGTAGGAGGGAGGAGCAGACAGGGAAGAAAGGTCTGGGATGGGTTCCTTCAGACTTTGGGCTGTGAGGCCCTGAGCAGGGAGGTGGGTGTGGGAATCGGCTTCTGCAAAAGGAAAGGCCAGACTCACTGAGCATTGCGGTCTGTTTCCCATTTCAAATCTTGACCTCCTGGAGGCAGGGTCCATCTTTTCCAGGCCTGTAGGCCCCTCTTCTGGCTCAGCCTCCAACTCAGGCCCTCAGCTTCCCTCATGGGTTTGAATATAGGATTCGCAGTGTGAGCTCTGAAGGAGCCTGGCCCCAGGCCACTCAGCTCCCTGCCTGCAGATGCCTGACCATGGGCCCAGAGTAGCCCAGAGAAGGTAGAGATCCATCCCCTGTGAGAAAAGCTGGGGTGGTGGGGGAGCAAAAAACATTGGCTGTGAGGTCCAGCAAGTATGTACTCTGCTGTTCCTTTTCCAGATGAAAACAGTGAGAGCGAGAGCGACTCTGATGACAGGTTCAAAGGTGAGGCACAGCTCCCATGAGTACGGAAGCTCTCCCAGCAGGGCTGCAGGGAATCAGCCTTCCCTTCCGATGCATGTGTGGTTCCAGTGTCCCTAACCGGCCTGATGTGGAGAGGTGACAGACAGGCCAGATACCAGAACAATAGAGCAGGGAGCCACAGGGAAGTCTGTCCTTATAGACATGTGAGCTCAGCCCTGCAAGGTTAAATCCAGATGTCTCCCTTTGCCAAATGTAAGGGTGGTGACCTGCCCAAACTGTCCCAAGCCATTGTCCATGGGAGTTGGGTGCTAGATTTGCCTGGTAAATGTTGTAGATCTCAGCCGGGCGCGGTGGCTCATGCCTGTAATCCCAGCACTTTGGGAGGCCAAGGCGGGCAGATCACGAGGTCAGGAGTTCGAGACCAGCCTGGCTAAGATGGTGAAACCCCATCTCTACTAAAATAATACAAAAATTAGCCAGGCACGGTGGCGGGCGCGTGTAATACCAGCTACTTGGGAGGCTGAGGCAGGAGAATCACTTGAACCCGGGAGGCGGAGGTTGTAGTGAGCTGAGATCATGCCACTGCACTCTAGCCTGGGCGACAGAGCAAGACTCTGTCTCAAAAAAAAAATTGTAGATCTGGAGGGTCAGAGAGGGGTACAGAAGATTACAAGGACCTCTTCTGGCAAGAAATGTGCCGTAGACTGAGGAAACTGTTTCTCTGGAGGCCCTGCAGTCCCCCATCTCCCCTGTCCCCAGAGAGGAGCTTGAAAAGGTTCTGGAACCTTCACATTCCAGGGTCCTTGGATAAATCTTTGTGCTTTCTCTACTGGGAAACCCTGCCTAGGCCTTCCTGGATGATTATCCTCTCATCCCCAGGCAAATGGGCAAGTGGACTTTGGATGTAGGAGCATGTCCTGCTAGGGGCCCAAGGATGAAGCCTTCGTGGATGTTCGTGTATTCTAGTCCTTTTGGTACAGGGACAGAGTGGGTGCCAAGATACATCCCTGGGTTTGCCTGGCCTCGGCAGTCCTCCTGCCCCAGCTCAGTCTCCAGAGGCTCCAGGAGGACCAGGCCCGCAGCTTCCTGTGTCAGGGCAGAGTCTTTGTGCAGGGGTCAGCACCTTGTGCCTGCCGGTCCTCCTGCACTGTGAGCTGGGGATGGTATCAGACTAGGCTCACGTACTTAAAAGTGCTCCACAGCAATGGAGCCCTGAGCCAGGGGTAGAGGAGTTAACATGAGGCCTGTGAGGGTCCATTCCCTGATGTGCAACCTGCCTCCAGCCCACACACAGCGCCTGGTCCACATCCAGTCGATGCTGAAGCGCGCCCCCAGCTATCGCACGCTGGAGCTGGAGCTGCTGGAGTGGCAGGAGCGGGAGCTTTTTGAGTACTTTGTGGTGGTGTCCCTCAAGAAGAAGCCATCGCGAAACACCTACCTCCCCGAAGTCTCCTACCAGTTTCCCAAGGTGAGGCCTTCTCTCTCCCCACCTTGCCCATATTCCCCCTCTTCCATCCTCTATCCGCCAGGCCTATCTGGGGAAGGAGAGAGATCTTGTTCGTCATACGTCCTCACCGAGCTGCCACAGCCCTGAACCTGCCTCCTCTCAGCCAGGAGGGAAGACAGGGCTGCAGCGGGGGTGGGTTTGGGCCAGTGCTTGTTCAAAGGATGAGGACTAAGAAAGAACCTCTCAATGTGCTTATAATAAAATCCAGAACAATTGAATACCATACAGTTCACCCACTTAATGTATACAGTTCAGTGTTTGGGTGTATTCACAGAATTGTGCAATCATCACCACAGTCAATTTTAGAACATTTTTATCACCCCAAAGAGAAACTCTGCACCCACTAGCTGTCACTCCGCACTTCTCCCACCAGCCTGTCTCTCACTCCGCCTTCCCTGCTTGTCGCCAGCCAGCCTGGCCTCCCTCTTCTTCCTCTCACACTCAACCCCTCTCTCTCTGCCATTGCCTCTGCCAGGAATGTGCTTTCTCCAGCTCTTCACGTGGCTGCTGGCTCCTTCTCATTTCTCAGGCTCTGCTCAAGTAGGACCTCTTTCAGGAGGTCTGTCCAGACACCTGCATGGAGCCCCTCCCCTGCCCAGCTTGCTCTGGTACATAACCCTGCTTATTATTTTATTTTTTTATTCGAGACGGAGTTTCGCTCTTGTTACAGAGGCTGGAGTGCAATGGCGCTATCTCGGCTCACTGCAACCTCCGCCTCCTGGGTTCAAGCGATTCTCCTGCCTCAGCCTCCCAAGTAGCTGGGATTACAGGCATGCGCCACCACTCCTGGCTAATTTTGTATTTTTAGTAGCGATGGGGTTTCTCCATGTTGGTCAGGCTGGTCTCGAACTCCCAACCTCAGGTGATCCGCCAGTCTCGGCCTCCCAAAGCGCTGGGATTAACAGGCATGAACCACCGCGCCCGGCCACCCTGCTTATTTTTTTTTTAAGCCCCGCTCTGAGATGTTGTGGTTGACCATCTCACTCTGCTGACGAGAATGTGTAAGGTCGGGGACCTTGTCCCCTTTGTTTTCCATTGAGAGCCAAGAGCCCTGGCGCATAGCACCGTGTCAGATGCCATATAGAAAGCACTCCGCTGGCATTTATTGAATGAATGAATGATGACTCTGGGCTCTGTAAGAATTCGGAGTGGGACAAGGGTTGCTGAGATCATGCCCGCTAGTCAGTGGCATCTAGGGCCCTCAGGGGAGGAGGGGCTTCTCAGCCACCACCACCCGCCCTCAGGTTCCATGTCATCTCCTGGTTCCTTCTTCCCTGCAGCTGGACCGACCCACCAAGCAGATGCGAGAGGCAGAGGAAAGGCTCAAAGCCATTCCCCAGTTTTGCTTCCCTGATGCCAAGGACTGGCTTCCTGTGTCAGAGTATAGCAGGTGAGGCCTGGCCTGGCCTGAGGGAGGAAGGAGCATAGCCTTCTTTACCCCCATAGCGTGGGCACCTGAGTGGGGCCTGCTCTAGTCTCATCCTCTCCTACAGCAACCTGGCCCTTCACCCCACGTGAAAATGACGGTCCCTATTCTTGGGGGCTGTTTCCTAGGTCCTCTCACACCTCCCTGATGCCAGACCTCTCTTTGTTCCAGTGAGACCTTTTCTTTCATGCTGACTGGGGAAGATGGCAGCAGACGCTTTGGCTACTGCAGGCGCTTACTGGTGAGTGAGGCCATTCGGTCCTCAGGCCAGCAGGCAGGGGATAGGCCAGGGTGTGTGTGTGTGTGTGTGTGTGTGTGTGTGTGTGTGTGTGCCCTTCTGCAATTTTAGCTTGTATGAAATCCTATGTTATGCTTCCTGAGGCCACCCCGAACCCCCTGCCAACACACACACTTTCACAGGTGAGGCTACCCTGGGAGAGCAGGGCTCAGAGTGGTGCTTCTGAGGGGGCCTTAGGATCGGAGGTTATCTGGAGTAAGGGGAGGGAGTGGGTTTTCATGTCTTTTTAGTTTTTCTCTACTTTTTCGTCATTTCCCTTGGGATCATGGGCTCTGATTGCTGGTCTCTGGTTGCAGGATCGAATCGCCCCCAGCAGTATGTGTATATGCATCAGATTAGGTGAGGGACAACCTTCCTCACCCCCATACCTGGCCAGCCTGTAGTGGGGAGGAGGCCTTTCTGTGGTGTGGTGGGGCTGGAGATTGGGCAGGGACAGAGACATACCTTCTCTGGGAATCTGAGAGAGATACCTTGAATCTAGGGGAAAGGGATTAGGTTTTGAAAATGTTAGCCATTTTGTAAAGAGAAGTCCCTCACCATTTCCCTTCCCATTAGTCCTGGGAAATAGATTGGGTAGAGGCTCAGAGCCTGGCCCCTGCTGCACTCCCAGCTTGGAGCTACTGGGTTGTTGACAATGTTTTGGGGTTTCCAGGCCTTAGCAAGAGAAAGCCTCCCCAGATACCAGTCTAGGGGTAGATGAAGGGGGCAGGAGCCCTGAAGGAAGGATTTGGGGCCGGCCATTCATTCATTCAGAAACACTTATCATCCCTTATCAGAAGCCCTGACCTATTGAGAGTCAGGCACGTGCTATTGAGAGTCAGGCACGTGCTCATATAAAGATGAGTTTAACATGGATCTCCCTCTCGAGGAACTTTAGATGGCCTGTTACAGGAGATTGGACTTTCAACACAGGAGGGAAGGGCCAAGGGAATAAGAGGGAATAAATGTTGTTTAGAACCTGTCACATTCCAAGCTAGATGCTTCAAGTATGTCTTTTAAAAGAAAATGATCACAATAGCCCATGGGTTATTATTATCCCTGATCCATAGATTGGAAAGTCAAAACTCAGAGGTAGAATGACTTGCCCAAGGTCATACAGAACCAGAAGGGAAGTCGTTTGTCACCAATTTGTACTCTTGGATCACCCCCAGAGGATGGACTGGGGAGAGGGGGCGTGGGGAGGTAGAATGCCCATGGAGGGGCAAAGGGCGTATGCACAGGAGTGATGCCAGGTGGTGAGCCAGGCAGAGGCCAGCATGCCTCTGGCCGCCTGGGCCTCCCAGGCTTGGAAGGAGTGTTGCGAAGGCTGCCTTTGCTGGAACATAGATGGAGCAGAGCTGCTCCTTTGTAGTGGGGCTGCTGCCCCCAGGGAAGAGCGTGTTTGTCCTGGCGTGCTCAGAGAGGGCCTGGGCTGGGTCTCTGCCAAGGGGGCTGGCACTAGCTCGGCATTCCTGCAGATTGGACACAATGATTCTGATCCAAATCCCACATACTTGATTTAATCACTTGGGGCTTTAGGGGAGGCGGGGGAGAGGGAAAGAGACAGGAGTGAGTTTCAGGCCTAATATGGACAAAAACAGATTCTGCCTTCTCTTTAGATCTGTGACGTGTGGCCAGCAGGTTTGGAGACTGAAATAGCCCCATCTGCATTTGCTTAGCAGCCTGCACGAGGGGCCAGCACCTGCTGCTCTGCTCCCTCCCCACTCGGACTTGCCAGGCCCTCCAGGCCTCTGAGTCCTGCTGGAGAAGGCACTGCAGCCTGCATGGGGGCTCCGGGCCTGGGAGCTCTCAGTGCATGTCTCCCCTTTAGCTACCCACCTTTTTTTTTTTTTTTTGAGACAGAGTTTCATTCTTGTTGCCCAGGCTGGAAGTACAATGGTGTGATCTCGGCTCACTGCAACCTCCACCTCCCGGGTTCAAGCGATTCTCCTGCCTTAGCCTCCTAAGTAGCTGGGATTACAGGCGCATGCCACTATGACCGGCTAATTTTGTATTTTTAGTGGAGATGGGGTTTCTCCATGTTGGTCAGGCTGGTCTCGAACTCCCAACCTCAGGTGATCCACCTCCCTTGGCCTCCCAAAGTGCTGGAATTACAGGCGTGAGCCACCGCGCCTGGCCATGCCTACCTTTTAAGTCCCATTCTTCTTTTGCTCCTTTACTCCATAGCAAACCTCTACCCAGTGTCTTTGTTTTCTTTCCTTCCTGTCAGAAAGCAGCAGGCTTTAGGGGTAAGACAGCCAAACAGGGCCAAAGCAAACTCCTGGCTCCACAGCTTCTAGATAGGTGGCCTTAGGCAATGGCTTTATCTTTTTGAACTCAGTTGCCTCATCTATAAAGGGGATAATAATCCCTCTCTCACAAATCTCTTGTAAAGTCCCAAGCCCAGGAGTCAGGTATAGCAAATGTTCCATAAACAGTAGCTCCCATCTCTTGTTTTCAGTTTGCTCTCTTAGAATGGAGGTGGATCAAGAAAGGGAGAAAAGAAGCAAAAAAAGGAATGGTATGCCGAATGTGCCCTATGGGGCTAAAAAGCTACAATGGCTTGTCCTAAGGATGTACCCTAGTCCTTCCCATCTGCTGGGGTCCCAGCCTCAGGGCTATGAATCCACAGACACCCTGTAGCCTCTGCCAAACTGCTTTGCCCTTTGCCAGCCCCCGTCAGCGTCCTCCTGGGAGGAAGGGTGGAGCCTGTGTGGAGCCTGGCAGGAGCCTGGTACCTGGTGCTGGGAGACCCTGCAGAGCTGAGGCCTGTCCTGAGAGTGGTGGCTGTTCCTTCAGGGCTCTGGTTGCAGAGAGGTTTAGAGGAGGCTTAAAGTCTTCCTCCACTAGAAGGGCAGTCCTTACTCCTCCGTTCCCAAGGAAAAGGAGCCAGAAATGGTAATCATGCATTCTCTGTGTCTGTCTCTCTCCTCCTCCTCCTTGTCCTGGCCCAGCCAAGTGGGAAAGGGCCCCGGTTGCCAGAGGTGTACTGTGTCATCAGCCGCCTTGGCTGCTTCGGCTTGTTTTCCAAGGTAAGAGGCTCTGGCAGGCTTCCCTCCCCGTCCCCCAGCTGACAGCTCCCACAGGAGTATCTGCAGCCAGCTTAGATGAGAAAACCACCTGTGACTGTGAGCGAGCGGGAGACAGAATGCAGGAACAAGTACCAGTGAGCTCTCTGACACCCTCCCATTCCCCGGCCTGGTTCTCTACCCAGCTGGCTGGCATTTCCCCAGCTCCTGTGCTGGCAGTGTCTGCCCCTGTCACAGCCCACCCTGGGCCCTAGGCAGAGCCAGAGTCCTTGGGGAAGCAGGAGCGCCCAGGGAGCTGACTCTTGGGTGGTATTTCCTTTGCCCAGCTACTCCGCTCTTGGGGACTGAAGCAAGGCCAGTTAGGGAACAGAGGAGTCACTGAGTGCCAAGGAAAACGGGAAGGGTAGAGTGTGCAGATCATGGCAAGACCACCTTCCCGTCTCCCAGCTTCTGGGCTAGCCTGGTCAGATGCTTGGCTGCCCTCTTCTCTGCCAGGAGGGGGAAGGGCAGTGCCCTGACACCCTTCCTCTTTGGGCTGCTGGCGGTGGGCACAGGTCCTAGATGAGGTGGAGCGCCGGCGTGGGATCTCCGCTGCATTGGTCTATCCTTTCATGAGAAGTCTCATGGAGTCGCCCTTCCCAGCCCCAGGGAAGACCATCAAAGTGAAGACATTCCTGCCAGGTGCTGGCAATGAGGTAGGGATTTCTGCACCCTCTTCTCTCGGGCTACGGGCTGGGGTGGCAGGAGGACCATGCTGGCCAAGGTCGTAGTCTTTGGGGGTTGCAGAGCACGGTCCCTCCTTGCTCAACCATGTCTGTGTACCCCATCACTAGGGACCAAAAGAGCAAACAATAGGAATGTACATGTTGTCCAGCCCTCTGTTCCTCCCAGGGGCCTTCCCTGACCCATTTGGACTAAACTGCATTCCATCTGCCTTCCTTTTGTTCATTCATTGAACAGTTACTGAATGTGTGCCATCTCACAATCAGGGATTGCGCCAGACCTCAGAGCAGAGTCAGAGGTAGAGGGACGTGGCTCTGTCCTCATGAAGTTTGTAGTCTAGTGGGAGATACTGCTATTATAAACACTTTTACATATAAATAGATAATTCCTAAATGTGTTACAAGCCAAGTGAAAGCACAGGACCTTATGAGAGTGTGAAACAGGGGAGTCTGCTTTAAATAAGGGGCCAGGGAAGGTCTCCTCTGAGAAAGTAACACTTTATCAGAGACCTAAGTGGTGAGTGGGGGCAACTAAATGAAGCAGGAGGAGGGAGATGGAAAGAGAAGGATATGAACGGGAGAAGATTATTCCAAGTAGAGGAACCAGCATCTGCAAAGGCAAAAGTTGGGCAAGTGCAAATGCTGGTCAGAGGGTTGATGGGGTGGGGGTAGAGGGGTGGGTTGGCAGGCAAGAACCCAATCACGATGTCCCTGCTAGGCCAAGTTAAGGATTTGGGGTTTTATCTAAAGCAGGGGTATGATAAGATCTGACGTATATTTTCATTTCATTTTATTTTTTTGAGACAGGGTCTCACTCTGCCACCCATATTGTGCAGTGGTGCTGGAGTGCAGTGGTGCTATCATGGCTCACTGCAGCCTCACCCTCCCGGGCTCAAGCGATCCTCCCGCTTCAGCCTCCTGAGTAGCTGGGACTACAGGCGTGCACCACCAAACCCAGCTGACTTTTGTATTTTCTATAGAGACAGGGTTTCACCCTGTTGCCCAGGCTGGTCTTGAACTCCTGGACTCAAGCAATCCTCCCACCTCCCCCTCCCAAACTGTAGGGACTACAGGCGTGAGCCACCTGTGGCCAGCTGATACATGTATTCAAAGCCCACTGTGGCTGCCATGTAGATAATGGTCGGAGTGAAAACGGGGAGACCAGCAGGGATACTGTTGTGGCACTATGGGTAAGAGATGATGGCAGCTTTGGATTAAGATGTGGTAGAACAGGGGAAGGGAAGTAGATGGATTTTAGAATTAGGACCAATAGCACTTTGCGTTTGATTGGAAATAGGGAGTAGTTGTTACAGAGACTGTAAGGCTGACTCCCAGTTTTCTGGCTGGAGCCCCAGGGTAGATGATGGAGCCATGTACTGAGATGGGAGCTCGTGAAGGAGAAGCAGGTAATGAGGAGGAAGAGCAAGAGTCCAAATGTGTACATGTCAAGTTTGAGATGCCCATGAGACCCCCAAGAGAAGGTATTTAGTAGCAAAGAGTGTAAATAGGGAAGAGAAGAGAGCCCAGTATGGGGTCCTCCTCAGTCCTGGGGAACCCCAACGTGCAGAGGCCCTGCAGGAGAGGAACACTCAGGAGAGGGCTGCGGCTCAGGAGCACCTCAAAAAGGAAGCCGTGATCCGGATCAGGAACCACCAAGAGGTCAGGATGAGGCGTGGCAAGATCTTGACAAGTGCAGGGGCCCAGAAGTTGGGCTGGAGTGAGTTGAGAAGTGATGGGTGTGAGGAAGTGGAAACAGCCTGTGTAGACATCTTCTCAAGATTGCATGGCTGTGGAGAGAAATAGGGAAGAGGGCAGCAATTGAAATGTGGAACTAGGGAAGCTTGTTAGGGATGGTAGTTTGTATGCTGGTGGGAATGGCTGCCAGAGGAAGAGGTTTGAGCTGCAGGAGCAGGAGGGGCTAGCAGAGAGTACTGAGAAGATGTGGGTGTTAGGCTCCATGGAGGGCTTGGTGTTTATTAGGAGAGGAGGGAGTGGCTTAGTAGATTTTGGATTCTCATCTGATGGCTTTGATTTTCTCAAAGTAGAAAAGGTCAGACCGGGCACCGTGGCTCATGTGCTTGTAATCCCAGCACGTTGGGAGGCTGAGGCGGGGGGATCACTTGAGGTCAGGAGTTCGAGACCAGCCTGGCCAACATGTTGAAACTCTGTCTCTTCCAAAAATACAAAAAAAAAATTGCCAGGTGTGGTGGCGCATGCCTGTAATCCCAGCCACTCGGGAGGCTGAGGCAGGAGAATCTCTTGAACTCGGGAGGTGAAGATTGTAGTGAGTCAAGATTGCGCCACTGCACTCCAGCCTGGGCGACAAAGCGAGACTCCATCTCAAAAAAATACATATGTCAAAATAGAAAAGGTCATCCTTTGAGAGTAAGAGGTGGATGTTGGGTTCTAGGAGAGGGAAGAATAAATAAATTAGTTGTAGAGAGTGGGAGAGGGACTGACCAAAAAAGCATACCAGGCTTGCTGAGCAGTGGCAAATCCTAGCTTGAGGGCTTTCTCCTCGCCTCTTTTCTCCCCTTCATTTAGAGGAACTTTAGGCTTCATGGTGGCTGTGGGGCACAGGATAGGGGACCCTTCCCTTATAGCGCAGCATCATGCCTGGGAGCTCTTCATGGTCTGGCCCTGGCCACCTCACTGGGCTCTCGTCTTCTGACTTGATACTTAGTGTTGCCTCAACCCTACTTCCTTTTGCCTAGAAGACACTTCTCTTCTTTTCTCTTTGGGGAGTCAAGTACCTTGTGCTCTGAGAGGCTTCCCTGACCTCTCCCCACCCACATGAGCTTGGCTGCCCTTCTAGATGTCCTGCCTGTCCCTGTGCAGATGTTGGTCACATCTGCCTCTGTCCTGACACTGGACTCCCAGGCTGTAACTACTCAGCTCCTTCAGCCCCCTGGGCTTGATCTCCTTGAAGGCAGGGATGCAGGGAACAAGGCCGGGAGTGGGAGCAGCCTGTGTGAATTCTCAATCCCTGGGGGAAGGGGGAGGGTTGGGCCCCAGGGACAGTAGGGACTGGAGCTGGGTGCTAGAGAGCAGAGCCTGTTGGGCTGCATGCAGGGAGCTTGCGAATTTTGGGGCGGGGACAGGGCCTGGAGCAGGTATAAAGGGCTCTGGCATCATTGTGCTACTTCTTTCTGTGAGTCCACGTTCACTGACCATTTGGGGTGTACCCAGCATCTGGCGGATCACTGGGCCTTCTGGGAGTACACCATCAGGCGGGAGAGACAGTGGACACAGACCGTTACCATGCCCTGTGCCCATTTTGCTGCTTCTCTGGGGCCCAGAAGGATGGATGCTGAGTTAGGAGTTAGAACTCCTTCATTTGCTTAGACTCTGAGGAACAAATGAGATGACGTGGGTATAAAAACTCCTTGTAAAGCATTACCTTTGATGCCATGGGGCAATGAGAGAGAACTGGTTTCTCACCCTAGTTTTCAGGAGGCCTGCACATCTATGCTGCACACACATGCTGCGGGACCAAGGAGGAGGCCAGGCAGACCCCAGGGACAGCTGCTTTGGCACGGCCTGAGCGTCAGCAGTTCCTCCTGCCCTCACCGCTGGAGTCACTCACTACCTTCCACCCCTGTGACTCCCCCAGAGAAGTGGCTCTCTGAGCTGTGGCACTCACCTTGGGAGCAGCCTTTGGAGGAAAGAGGGCCAGGCCTGGCCCTGATAAGACAGTCCTGCTTCCTGGCAAGGCTGCAGAATGGCCAGCCCTTTGCTTATGTTTTCCTTGTGACTGGCATGGGACTTAGGGTGATGGAGATAAAGGCCAGGATAGCAGGACAAACAGCCTCTGGAAGGAAACTCTTTCTGCAGGAAAGGGAGGGGGACAGGGCAACAAGGACCCCAGCATTGCCCTTCCAGAGGCAATGGCTGGGATTAGAGTCCTGGGATGCGGAGATGCCTGGAGAGCAGTGGGGTCTAGTCAGCACTGGGGGCTTAGACCTTTGTCTGGGGAGGTGGGCAGGAGGACCCTAGAGATGTGGCTGTGTGGTTCCCTTCTTCTCCCTATCTCTAAGAGCAGTCAGCTCTCCTCTCTTCCTGAGGTCCCGATGGATGGCCCCTCAACTCCTTCCTTCTGGAGCCTTCCCCGCTTTCACAGGCAGCCCTCTTGCCCACAGGCTGGGTGTTCGAGTGCTACGAGAGCAGAGCTGTAGTCCGAGGGATGGAGAAGAGGGGTTTACTGCATAGCAGGGTAGACGAGAGACCTGGAAAAGAGCAGGTTGGAAGGGGAAAGCAGCTCCAGTTGCTTCGTGGAGGGCCAGAGGGCAGCACCCACTTGGCTGGCCCCGGCCCACTTTCCCATCGCTCTCCTGCAGGTGTTAGAGCTGCGGCGGCCCATGGACTCAAGGCTGGAGCACGTGGACTTTGAGTGCCTTTTTACCTGCCTCAGTGTGCGCCAGCTCATCCGAATCTTTGCCTCACTGCTGCTGGAGCGCCGGGTCATTTTTGTGGCAGATAAGCTCAGGTAGGGCCCAGCCGGGCAAGAAAGCAGAAGGGAGGGGGGAAGGCACACCCACAAGCGAATCAGCAAGTGTTCAGGAGCCTAAGCAGGCGCCGGAGACCAGTGCTGGAGTGGGGCTGTGCGTAGGGAGATGGAAGACTAGGTGGAAAGGTAGCACCCCTGTGTGGGTGAGGGAGCAGGGTTTGGGAGCACACAGATGGCAGGATTGAGAACCCTGTGGAGGGCTTGGCCTGAGGGGAGAGGGAGGGATATTTCTTCCTTTGCAACAGCCAAGACTGTGCAGGTGCCGGGATATGTAAAGGGGAAAGGTTAAGAAATTGAGATTTTTGGTGGATGGTTGCATTTCTTCTGGAGGGGGAGGCAAAGCCATCTCAATGGGATGCTGAGTTTGAGGAAAGAGCTGCTGTGAGGAAGGGGCAAGAGCACTGACCGGGGACAGTGTGAGGAATGCTGAGCCAGCCAGCGAGGGTCCTGTGGAGGGTGTCCCCTGGAGAAGGCAACTGCAGTGGCCCAGGGCTGGGCAATGGGAGGGCTGGGGAGAAGGATGTGATGGGGGCACTGAGGTGCAGAGAGGAGAGTGGGTGAGGAAGGCTGGCCAGCCCACACCGGGAAACAGATGATGTGCAGGGCCTGGAGGTGCCAGGGAAGTCGGGGAGCTGGTTTAGGAGGAGTAAGAAAAGAGCTGGATGGGTCACAGGTCTTGGTCTGAAATGCTGGCATTTATGATTTTAGAGGTAGAGGTGTCGAGAAGGTCTGGTGGTGGCCATGGGAGGGGTGGCAGAAGTGATGGTCACTGGACGTGAGGCAGTTTAGGAAGTAAGAAGTCGGAGCTCTTCTAGACAGCCAAGGTTTAAAAAAGAAAAAAGTTTTATGTCAGTGGTGGTTAGGGGGTGACACAGGCAAGGCACAAGTGATACGGCTCCGATGAGTGCAGGAACACTAGGGTTTTTGGTTCTTATGCTGGTTTAGATAAAACGACACCGACACACGTGGAGTGGTTTTAAGGAGCGGAGAGTTTAATAGGCAAGAAGGGAAGGAGAAAGGCAGAAAGAAGAAAGTACAGAGACAGAGGGAGAGAGGCTCCAAAGCCGAGAGAGGGAACCCCAAGTGTTGTGGATACCAGCCAGTTTGATAAGAAGGCTGGAGGAGGCGGTGTTTGATTTGCATAGGGCTTAGGGGATTGGTTTGACCAGGCATGTCATTCATGTAGCCCCTCCCCCCCCCCCCCCCGGAAGCTGGCCTTCCCATCCTAGCCTTTTAATATGCGAATGTAGGGCGCCTGATGTTCTACACACGTGGGAATATGCGGGGCAGCCATGCTGCTAGGCACCTGTAGGGGCAAGGGCAAGAGGACAACGGTGGGAATTGCCATGTTGGGTGGACCCAATTTCTAATGGTCTTCATTTGCATATCAAAGGTTGCCTGCCTGGCTCTAAGAGCCGGGGCTTTCTTTCCAGACAAGAAACATTTTTGAGCTGCTTTAAAGGAAATGAGGTACAGTGGCTCACGCCTGTAATCCCAGCACTTTGGGAGGCCGAGGTGGGCAGATCACAAGGTCAAGAGATCGAGACTCTCCTGGCCAACATGGTGAAACCCTGTATTAGCTGGGCCTGTAGTCCCAGCTACTCAGGAGGCTGAGGCAGGAGAATTGCTTGAATCCAGGAGGTGGAGGTTGCAGTGAGCGGAGATTGTGCCACTGCACTCCAGCCTGGGAGTGACACTCTGTCTCAAAATAAATAAATAAATAAAAATTTAAAAATTTTTTTAAAAAAAGGAAACAAAAACTTTTCCTCTCTCCATAAAATAATTTCTTAGTAAGTCCTACAACAACAGGATGGGTTATTGGCAACATGTTACATATTGTTTTGGTCAAAGAATCCATCCCAAGCAGTGGTTTCTCTAGAGTGGTCATTTGGACATTGATTAAGCCACCTTAAATGTCAGGTGCTCACAGGAGGGCAGTGAAGGAAAATCCCCGTTCTGGTTTGTCCTCCAATAAGTCCTGAATCCCTGGGGTATTTCCTTCCGTATGTATGAGGAAGCAGTTGAGAGGAAACCGAGAAATGAACTCCCGATTGCCTTCAGAGGGACAGGAACGCAGGCCCATCCTCAGCCCAGGAGAAGAAAGGAGGAAGAAAAACCAGAGCTGCTGACTTTTCCATAGAGCACCAGGGTTTAGAAAGGAAAACTGCCCCTCACTTGTTCCCATCACAGCCTCAATGCTTCTGTGTCTCACACTTCTAGGTGTTCTGTGGGCCCATCAGGCCCTTGTGAAGAAATCTAGCCCAACAGCTGGAATGAGCTGGGTACAGCAGTTCCAAGAGGCCCCTCCTGTGTACCAGCCATGGTCATTGTCAGCCAACAAAGCCCCTGACTGCCCAGCTTTGGTGCCCTGGCCTGGCCTGACCTTAGTGGCCCCTAAGAGAGCCTGGACCATGAGGTTTCTTTTCCTGAAGGTTCTACCCTCTAATTCAGGGCTGAGCTTCCTCTTTGCCACCCTGCCCCCCCCCAGGCCAGCTCCCGTGGGGCTGTGAATACAGCTATTGTTTCCTGTGGTTGCAGCTGCCTCTGAGCACATTCCAGGACCATTCTGGGAGGGACGATCCCAAGGTCTTGTTCTTGGCCTGGCCGGGTATTCAAGTTCTGCCAATCTGGGGTCTTGGAAAAGATGTCCTTCCTGTTCTGCCTGGGGTCTGCCTCTGGCTGGAGAGGGGAGGGGTAGGTCCAGCCAGCTCATGATCCGTTGCTGATGTTTTAGGTTTTCCACAAGTTCTTTGTCCCTCTTGCCTAGTTCTGATGTGGGGTGGGAGAGGGTACCCACGATCTGCATTCACTGGCCCTAGGGGTTTACAAAACCTACTGCCTCCTCAGCCACGGGCCCACTGATGTGCCCCCCAAACCCGAGACAGCCCTTTTCCAGATCTTTGTCAGATGACTGTCCTGCGGGTTGCTGCATACCTTCCTGGCTGTTTGCAGGTACATTTCCCTAAGAGAGTAGCATTGTTGTCCTTGAGGCGCTACGCAGTGGGAAAGCGGGGACTTTACCAGTCTGCAGGGTCCCTGAACCCCATTAGCATTTTTGTTGCACTGGGAGGTTTACGATCAAAGGCTGTCCTGAGCCTCCAGCGAGCTCTAAGTTCCTGGGCCTGGGCTCAGGTACTCTGTCTCTCTGTCTGCCCATCAGTACCCTCTCCAGCTGCTCCCACGCGGTGGTGGCCTTGCTCTACCCCTTCTCCTGGCAGCACACCTTCATTCCTGTCCTCCCGGCCTCCATGATTGACATCGTCTGCTGTCCCACCCCCTTCCTGGTTGGCCTGCTCTCCAGCTCCCTCCCCAAACTGAAGGAGCTGCCTGTGGAGGAGGTGGGCCACCGGGGGAACCAGCTGGGGGGAAGGGTGGAGGGGGAAGCAGGTGCTGGGATCTTACTTGTGGCCCCTCGGCCTCTTTACCAGGCTCTTATCCTTTCTCCCTGGGAGGTCTATCCCCGGCTGGAGTACTTCCTGTTAGCTGACCCTGGGAACCTGGGAGGTCTGGAGGCCTGGCAGAGGGCATTGCGGGACTCATGCCCTGAGCCACTCTGCTAATGACTCCTTTTCTCAGGCGCTGATGGTGAATCTGGGATCTGACCGATTCATCCGACAGGTAAGAGGGTGGGTGCTTGCTAGAGTTGGGCTCCTGAGCACCCTGCACCATCACACACACTACTCAACCTTCACAACCTGTTTGTTGAGCTCTCTCTCTGGGTTCAGTACTACTCACAGACTAGTCAAGGGTGGGGAGAAGCTGGTCTTGGAATCCTTGACCTTAGCAGGGTCCGCCTTTCCAGTGACATCATGAGCTTCTAGAAGGCAGTGTGGGAATTTGAAGAACACGGCCTGGGAGTCCACAGACTTGGCCACTGGACTTTGCCCCCTTTGAGCCACATGGTCTTAGGCCTCTAAATTCTTCTGAGCTCTAAAGGAGAGGTGGTGACAACACCTGCCTTGAAATGTTTGCTGGGGGTTACACAAATAACTATAGATTGTTATGTAACGTACAGGTTTGCAATCATTGTTGTCAACTACAAAAAGCCTTTGTTAGTCGTGGAAATCCTCCTGGCTCTCTACAAAGGAGCACAACCCAGTGCTCTCCCCTATGGAAATGTACTTATTGTCTGTTACACACCAATGACGGAGCTGAGGACTCCCTGGGTACCAGGCATAGTGATGTGGACACAGAAACAGAGTATAGAGACGAAACAACAGTCTAACTTCATTCCTGAGACACAGGCTGGCCACAGTCCCCCTGCCCCAAGCCAACTGTGCCTCCTGCCTGGAGCTGAAGATGGAGGAATTGGGGAGACCTAATCAGGAACCCCTGGCTGGTCCTGGTCACAGAGGCCAGTGAATGCCACACTGGCTCTACCCCCTTTTTTTTTTTTTTTTTTTTTTTTTTTTTGGAGACAGGGTCTCACTGTCATCCAGGCTGGAGTGCAGTGGTACAGTCATGACACTGCAGCCTCGACCTGCCTGGGCTCAGGTGATCCTCCCCATGTCAGCCTCCTAAGTAGCTGGGAGTACAGGTGCATGCCACCATACTTGACTAATTGTTTTTTTGTGTGTGTTTTGCAGATAGAGGGACCTGCTAAGTTGCCCAGGCTGGTCTCGAACTCCCTCCTGGGCTCAAGCGATCCTCCCGCTCAGCCTTCCAAAGTGTTGGGATTACTGGCGTGAGCCACTGCGCCTGACCCTCTACCACTTTTAATCTCTGTAATCTTGGGCAAGTTTCTTAACCTTTCTGTGCTTCAGTTCCTCATCTTAAAATGAGGTTGATGATAGTTATGAGGGTTACTGGGAGAGATAAATGAGATTATCTACTCACGCTCTTCTAACAGGTCTTAGCACATAGTAAGTGCTCAGTGTCAGCTATGATTGTCACTGTGCTTTCTTTCTCCTGCAGATGGACGACGAAGACACGTTGTTACCTAGGAAGTTACAGGCAGCTCTGGAGCAGGCTCTGGAGAGGAAGAATGAGCTGATCTCCCAGGACTCTGACAGCGACTCCGACGATGGTGAGAATAGTGCCCGGGCACGGTCAGCTCTGCTCCAGGCTCCCTCTGCTCTGGGTCAGGGCCCCATAGGGCCAGAACTCTGCCTCTGCACACCAAACCCTTTCTGGCTGATGAGGACCTTGGTCTCACTCTAGCGTCTTTTCTACCCCAGGTAGTTTAGGAAGGAAAACCCAAAGACATGTGGCAACCCCAAAGATACTTTCTGCTGACAGAAAACTAATTATTCCTCCTTCTGAGGCCTTGCCTCAAGCCATTGCAGGAGATGAAAGGCACTTCCTCTTCCTTGGAAGCCAGAAAAATCACTTAGGGTGAGGGATATGATGAAAGTGGTGCTCTGGTTTCTACTTTAATTCATCCAGCAATTATGTTTCAACTTCCATGTTCAGAACATAGTTTCTGGCCTTCTGCAGCTCGTAGGCTAGTTACAAGGCTATGAGCACAAGAAAGCAAGCTTCCAGAGGCCGGGTGTGGTGGCTCACGCCTGTAATCTCAGCACTTGGGGAGGCCAAGGCGGGTGGATCACCTGAGGTCAGGAGTTCGAGACCAGCCTGGCTAACATGGTGAAACCCCATCTCTACTAAAAATACAAAAAGTGCACCTGTAATCCCAGCTACTTGGGAGGCTGAGGCAGGAGAATTGCTTGAACCCAGGAGGCGGAGGTTGCAATGAGCTGAGATGGCGCCATTGCACTCTAACTTGGGCAACAAGAGTGAAACTCGGTCTCAAAAAGAGCTTCCAGAACAGAAGAGTGGTACTGGCTGGAAGTCTTGTTGGGGAGAGGAAGACTACACCAGGAAGATTGAGGAAGGCTTTGCAGGCTCTTGACCTGAACCTCAAAGATTGTCTTTTCCCTTCCAGAATGTAATACCCTCAATGGGCTGGTGTCGGAGGTGTTTATCCGGTTCTTTGTGGAGACCGTTGGGCACTACTCCCTCTTTCTGACACAGAGTGAGAAGGGAGAGAGGGCCTTTCAGCGAGAGGCCTTCCGCAAATCTGTGGCCTCCAAAAGCATCCGCCGCTTTCTTGAGGTTTTTATGGAGTCTCAGATGTTTGCTGGCTTCATCCAAGACAGGGAGCTAAGAAAGTGTCGGGCAAAGGGTAAGTCTTGGTTATCAGCTCTCTTCTCTAATTTTTTCACCCACAGCAGGGCTGAAGAACCAGGCACTATGATGGAAGCTCTTGGACATCAGCTAGGGCCAGGCCTCTTAACATCCCTTTACCTCTGTTAGAAACTTCAAGGTAGCATTCTTCTCCTCCGGCCCCAGTAAATGCCTTCACAAGGCTATGCACAAGCTAAGCCACATGGCTAGAGGTAGGACTCATCTCCACCTAGGAGCAGCATGCCATTGGTTGCCCACCCCCTCCTCAAAGAGAAAGATAGGAGAAAGCCCTTCTATCCAGAGAAAAGGAGCAGACTGAGCAATTTCGGGGGTTCTGAGAACCCAGTGGTTGGGAATTCCCTTACAGAGCATTGGGCCAGCTGTCGTAGGTTGGTGGCAGTCTTCATTTAAGGCAGATGGTTATCTTGTTTTTTGCTATTTCATCAGCTCATTCGAGGGCTTTTTCATCTCATCACAATTTTTCTGTCTAACCTCAGGGTTAGTACTTCTTCTGTCCTCTAATACTATCCATTTAGTATAACAACCTTTTTGGAACAACATGGTAGAGTTGTCTGAAGGAAGCTAGAGATGTCCACTTGGGGCAGCTCTGAACTGAGAAGCAGCCTCCTCACCTAGTGCAGCTTGGGAATGTGCATGGGGAGGCAGGGTGGCAGCAGCAAACCCCGGCAAGATGTCACTAATGATCGCCTTGATGAGCCAGCCCGAATTCTAGTAAGATGCTCCTGCAAATTATCATCCCAGATGTTTTCTTTCTCCTTTTTTGGCATCTGTGCTCCATGGTTCCCTTCATGTAGGCCTCTCCTTCCCTTCCTCCAATGACTGTTCTCTTCCCTGTGCCTGTTTCTTTTACCCAGGCCTTTTTGAGCAGCGAGTGGAGCAGTACTTAGAAGAACTCCCAGACACTGAGCAGAGTGGAATGAATAAGTTTCTCCGAGGTTTGGGTAAGTGGCCTTGTTACTGATGAGATAGATGTTCAGCAAGAAGGAAGGGGCTGGGAGATTTGTGTTCCCGAATACTCTAAATCAATGTCAACAGGTGTTATACTGGGGCTGTAGACAGAACAGGATGTAGACATCCCATAGTGACTAGAAGGTTCTCAGCCAGAATTCCAAGGGCATTTTGCACAGTAGTGGTCCTTCAATATCTGTGGGGGATTGGTTCCTGGATACCCAAGGATACCAAAATCCACAGATGCTCAAGTCCCTTCTATAAAATGGCATAGTATTTGCATATAACCTGTGCACATCTTCCCATATACTTTAGATCATCTTTAGATTACTTATAATACCTAATATAATATAAATTTTGTTATTTTATTTTATATTTTATTTATTTTATTTTAGAGGCAAGGTCTGGCTCTGTCACTCAGGCTGGAGTGCAGTGGTGCAATCCTAGCTCACCGCAGCCTCAAACTTCTGGCCTCACGTGATCCTCCCTCCTCCACCTCCTGAGTAGCTGGGACTACAGGCATATGCCATTACACCTGGCTATTTTTAAAATTTGTTTTGTAGAGATGATGTCTTGCTATGTTGCCCAGGCTGGTCTCAAACTCCTGGGCTCAAGTAATACTCCCATATTGACCTCCCAAAGTGTTGGGATTATAGGCGTTAGCCACCATGCCCAGCTGTAAATAGATATTATACTGTATTGTTTAGGGAATAATGACGAGAAAAAAAAAGTCTATATATGTTCAGTACAGACACCACCATCCATTTTTTCCCCCAAATATTCTTGATCTCCAGTTGGTTGAATCTATAAACATGGAACCCATGGACGCAGAACTCATGGATATGGAGGACAGGCTGTATTTACCATATTGCATTACAAAGAGGAATCCCAGGTTCCCACATACATCAGGTCTTTCTGTTTGCACTCCTTCCTGAGTGAATATGAAGGCCATTAGAGCCAGTGAGCTTTCCTCTAGACCATAACAGGTCTGCAGACACAGCAGTGCGAGTGCCCTTCCTGCAAAATGCACCCCTCCCTGCAGGGTGCTCAGCCCGCCAGATCAGAGAATCATAGCATGTTTCTGTTTAAAGAGAAATTGAGACCAAAGAGGTTAAGTGGCTTGCGTAAAACCACACAGTGATTAATACCGGTGCCCTAATTAGAGCTCTCACGTGTTTTCACTACCCTGGATCAGATCACAGTTATAATCCAGTCTTCCTAATCCTTCCTCTCCCACTGACAGGGTTAGGGCTACAAGGAGGAGAGGGAGTGGAGGTTGGAAGGGATAACACTGAACATTCTCTCTTGTCCTCTCTGGCCCACAGGCAACAAAATGAAGTTTCTCCACAAGAAGAATTAAGCCTCCTTCTCAGTAGCAGAGTCCAGTGCCTTGCAGAGCCTGAAGCCTGGGGAGAAGGCCCAGCCTGGGACCCTCTGGGCTGCTGTGGCTCCTCTGCCCCCACAGATCCTATCCTCCAAGCCAGCCCACCTCTGCCTTCATCATATCCCAGGATACTGTTTGTAAATAATCTGCTGTAAGCTTTCTTAACTGTTTTTTGTAACAAGCAAAGAGAATATGGCAAATATTTGTATATTCCCAAGGGGCCGGGTGCTTTCCTGTCCTGCCAGAGCATGGATGAAGTTTCGCTGGGTGCTCGTGACTGGCCAGTTTTGTGCAGCTGACTGTCTCAGCCAAACCACTGATCTTCCCTGGAGGCCTTCGGCCTGCCTGCCTGCCTGAGGTCCCCGCTGCCAGTCCCGGGCCCTGGAGAGCAGATGCTGTCTTGTTATGTACAGGAGGACCTTTTAAAAAAATCAAGTTTCTATTTTTTGCTGGTAGTCCGCATACCCATACCCTCTGTTTTTGAAAGGCAAAGGCCAATCAGTCCCCATTTGTAGCATGGCACCAGGGTCTTAGGCCTAGTCCTCTCATTCCTCCCACCCTCCGAGATGGTCAGTGTGTCATGGGAAGCCCACCCCCAGCTCTGCCAGTGCTCTCTGGGCCTGGCTCCCAGTCAGTGGTGGCCACGATGCGGTACAGGGCATCCCTCCTTCCCATCTACGGGTGTTCTCAATAAACAATGTACAGTTGTTTGGGCCCAGAGCCTCATGTGTTCCTTGGCTTTGTTATCTAGTTCTCTCTCCTGGGAATGGGCTGGGACTGGCCAGTCAGGGATGAAACACCATCACACAGGGAACTGAGTACTAGATTAAGGGGTTAGCTTCAGTGTGAGTCACTGACCTCCCCTGAAATGGAGTTCTCCAGCCTAAGTTGCATGACCGGTCTTAAGAGTTAGAAGATACCCAGTCATTGCAGTAGTTCAGCTTCCCTCAACTGTTCAGCCTGTGCTTAAGTGTTTCCAGTGATGGAAAGAATGCTCTTTGCCCTTCGGCCCCATTATTAGGTAAATCTTAACATTTTCCTCTTCTGCCTGAAGCCCCTAAGATGTCATTGAGTGTCCTAACATTGGTAGAGTAAAGCCCAGCTAATGCCAACCCAGGCTTGGGCATAGCCCTGACCTACTCCCTGTGACTCTTGCATGTCACTCTGTGAATCGTTTTTCCATTGGAACCCTAGGTTTTCATACAGAAAGTACGGTTACATTCCATGGAAGAGGAAGGAGAGAAGCAAGGTGGGAAATAAGGACGATTTAGGCTTTTCACCCACCAAGGCCTTCGGAGAGCAGAGACTTTGCAAACTCCCAAGTGAGGCATTAAGCTGCAACTATTTTCTTTGGTATTGTGTTTGGGTCTGACAGGATTTGAACCATGAGTAAAGTTTTCCTGTCCTTCCACCCTGTTGAGAGATGATCCCATCCTAAGTTTCCTTCCCCTCTTCCTCCTCCCCATCTCCACTGAGGCCTGCACAGGCCCCAACCTGTCCATGGTTTGGGCCTGCCGTCAGCCTCACAGAATAAAGTGGAGGGTTTGTCTTCTGGGAAGGCAAAGTCATTTTCTGGCTCTGCCATTTGCCAGGACTAGGACAGAGATTGAAGCCTCATGAGTCTTCAGTTCAGATCAAGAGAAAAGACAAGGATTACAACCAGAAGACTCAGAGTGGGAAGTAGTTCCCTCCAGAACTCGTCGCTCTTAACTCAGCCTGGGCTTAGGACAGTCATAGAACCAGATTCCTTAATAAGAAAAATACAGGCCATGCGCGGTGGTTCATGCCTGTAATCCCAGCACTTTGAGAGGCCGAGGCGGGTGGATCACGAGGTCAGGAGTTCAAGACCAGCAATGGCCAACATGGTGAAGCCTCGTCTCTACTAAAGATACAAAAAATTTGCCAGGTGTGGTGGGGTGCCTGTAATCCCAGCTACTGGGAGACTGAGGCAGGAGAATCGCTTGAACCCGGAAGGCAGAGGTTGCAGTGAGCCGAGATCGCGCCATTGCACTCCAGCCTGGGCGCAGGGTGAGACTCCATCTCAAAAAAAACCCAAAAAACCAGATTTAATTCCTAAAAGGCTAAAAGGTACATGCGCTCTCTCTCCCTTCCTCCCCAATTCTCCACCCCTCCTTTTTCAGCATGGCTCCAAAGAACCACTTTAGACATGTGATCCGATCACAAGATGTGTATGTGTAAATTTTTTTTTTAAATTTGCATTAACGGGGTCTCACTATGTTGCCCAGGCTAGTCTTGAACTCCTGGGCTCAAACAGTCCTCCTAAAGTGCTGGGATTACAGGCATGAGCCACCACATCCAGCCTTATTCATAAATTTTGCCACTTTTATGTGTCTTTAAAATCTAGTATGCCCTTCCGTGAATACCAGAGCGGTATGTCTCCCCGCTACTGTGGCTGCAGCTCTGGTCCCAATCCAGAAAATCAGTACTGGCATATAATGGCTTAGAATAGGCTGCAAGGGCCCATAGAGTGATTGCCATGGCCAAGGCACAGCAGCCTTATGGGGAGAGGAGGGTGTGGACAGTGGGCCTGGCTTGAGGTTTACAAAAAATATTCAGGGCTTCTTTCCACGTTCTTTCACATGATCTCAGGGCTTCTTTCCACGTTCTTTCACATGATCTCTGGACCTCTAAACCAATGATTTTCATCCCTATCAGATCCAACAGTTTTTTTTTTAATAGCAAATACTTTAATTCCCTCCTTCACTACCCTGAAATGAAATTCAAAGATAATATAAGCTACCGAAATATACCTTAACTGTAATATAAAAGGGGAGAAATAAAACAGAAATATTTTGTTATAATATTTAAATATGTAAATGCTTGTGTACAACTGTACTAGAAGAGATAATCAGATGCCTATACTGTACACAGAATTACTGTGAATGCAACAGCTACATATGCAGATGGAGAAAAGTGTTGTATCAGCATCTCAGATCCTACTGAGTAGTTATTGGTGAGTTTTCTGAAATGAACAATTTTTGGTAACGTTCTCAACAAAACAAAGTATGAGCTTCCCCTGATTTAAACAGTAGTTAGAATCCTAGGAAACAGAAGTATATGAAAACTGCAAAAACAAAAAACAAACCAACTTTTGGGTTATGTGTAAATGAAGTTAGATTTTAAGTTAGATTTCTCTTTGTTGTGTAGGACCAGCTCATCCATTCCAAGATATTTAGCATCCCTGGTCCCTTCCCCTCCATGACTGTGACAACAAAAATGACCCAACATGGCCAGGCGTGGTGGCTCATGCTTATAATACCAGCACTTTGGGAGGCCAAGGCAGGAGGATCATTTGAGCTCAGGAGTTTGAGACCAGCCTGGGCAACATAGTAAAGACCCCATTTCTATTAATTAAAAAAACAAACAAAAAAACCCCACTGTTTCCAAAACACTCCTGTAAAAGATGGTATTGTGGCCATTGAGAGGGAGTATCCTTAAACAGTGGCTTTCTGACAACACTGGGGCAGTTGCTCAGGGATAACAGTGCTATCTCCTCTACCAGGGAAGTCCCCTCACCTATAGGAGTGTCAGTTCTCCTCTATTCTGTAATTAAGTTAGTTCTTTTAATGCAGGGCAGGCCACTTCATTACACGGTTCTAAATGCTCTGATAAACTGTAGTCTTGAAATAAGTATTCTGGGCTTTTTAAAAAGCAATATTTTGAAGAATTGCCCTTAAACAGCATTAGTCAAACTCTGGTTGACATTGGAATCGGTGGAATTAGGGCCCATCTTAGTCCATTTTGTGTTGCTATAACAGAATACCTGGGACTGGGTAATTGATAAAGAAAAAAGACTTATTTGGCTTATGGTTCTGATGGCTGAAAAGTTAAAGATTGGGCAGCAATACCTGGGGAGGGCCTCAGGCTGTTTCAGCTCACGGCAGAAAGCAGAAGGGGAGCTGGGCGTGTGCAAAGAGATCGGGTAGTAAGAGAGGAAGCAAGAGAGAGAAACTGAGGAAGCCAGACGCCTTTTAAACAACCTGCTCTCCATTCCCAGCAGAGTGAGAACTCACTCATCCCCACAGGAGAACATTAATCTATTTGTAAGAGATCTACCTCCATGATCCAAACACCTCCCAATAGGCTCCACCTTCCAACACTGCCATACTGCGGGCCAAGTTTCAAACCACATCCAAACCATAGCACGACCCAAGAAAATAAGTGGGATTAGTCACAGCTCAGTTACATTTTTGTTAAAAACATCTTTTCGCATGTACACTTATAACCTACTTTATACCAAAATGACTTACAGGGATACACAAACTAGGTTATTTGAAACAACGTAAAGTGGGAATGAGAGGAAAATAAAAATTGGGATGTAAAATAGAGCCAGGAATTAAATTTACGCTTTAACCTATATTCTTGCTAGGGGAGCTACACAAAATACGTTTCTAGAGCCAGATGATGTGGTATGCATTCCAAAACAAATTTATTTGCCTGTGGAGGTGGGGGTGTAATTTAAAAGGCCATGAAAACTCTCGAAAGAGAAAATATTACTTTTCAGCAACGGCAAGTTCTGGTAGTTTTTTTTTTTTTCTCAAGATACTTTCGCTCCATTTATATTGCCTCTCAATATGAAAATACGCATTGGGTTGAACAAAAAACTGCACCAAAACATACTTCGTGCTCATTTCCCTAACCTCCTAAGAGGAAATTCCTTTTATGTTCTTCTAGAATATTTCCATCCGTGTACAAGCACTTTCTTTTTTAGCCCAAAGTGCCCTTGAATGTCGCTGACGCTCATTACCTTTTAGACAATTGAGACAAATTCTGGAGGTTCCCATCTCGAAGATTTACGTAAAGGCCACGCCCACTGTTCTTAAACGCACCCTAAAGGGGCTCGAAGTGCGGCGAGGTTGGCCATTCCTCCGCTTCGAAGGGGACCCACGGCCGCCCAAGGACCAGGGGTGGAGTTGAACATCCCGCCTCTCCAGGGGAGTTATCTGCGCTCGCGCACCACTGGCCGGCTCCGCCCTTGCCGGAAGTGGCCGAGCGAGGCCGGTCTCCGCCGGGCTTCTTCCGGTCTGGGACGCGGGGGAGTCATCGTCTCCGGAAGTAGAAGCTACTCACCGGAAGTGGTTCTCAGGTGCCGGGGTAAGACCCAAGGTCCGGTCTGTGTTGTGAGGACGCCACTGAGGTCGGGTCGTGCTGACTGATGAACGCGGCCGATGGAGCCACCAGGTGGGCGCTGCACAGCTTCCGCCCGCGCTTCCGACTTGCAGTCCGTCCGTGGGCTGTCTGCTCTTGGGCTAGTTAGCCGCTAAGTAGGGTTTAGTAGTACATTTATTTTGATTGAAAGCTCGCCTGATTTAGCTGCCCTTGACGAGCACTGCTTGTGCAAATTATGTGGCAGCCATTTGTCATAAAATCAAGTTGCACCTGCAGCTCCCACGTTTGAACGCAACTATATTTAAGGCATATATACATTAGACCAGAAATTAGATCTTTTGCAATTCAAGCTTTAGCCAGCCACTAGAGATCGCCAGTATGAGCCTCCATGAACACAGCAGGCTATTCAAAGCTTGGCAGTCATGAAAATATTTTAGTAAATGCGGGTTCAAGAAAGCACTGGAATCGGCGGACTTAGGGCTCAAAACTATTTTCGTCTGTTCCTCATCACATGAAACAGTTTTTAGAACTGTTAGTAGCTGTAGCTTCTGGTGAGTGAACAAGCCAGCAACGAAATCAGTGTTTCTTTCCCAGGCCAGGGGATCGGATGGCCTAACAACTCCTGGGGAAGAAGGTAGCCATTAAGGGACTAGGGATCCTTCCCCCCAAACTCTACTTCCTTCCATGCCTTATCATTTTGTGGTCGGCCCACTACAATTCAGTCTCCAAGTCCCGTCCATTATGCCGTCTGAATCGTACCTTTTCCATACTCACTCCCATTTTCTTGGTTCTGCCTTCAGCCTCCCATTGTAGCCGTCCTTTACAGCCCGGCCAGAGTAATCTTTCTCTCCACCATAGCACTTCCCGTTTGCCTAACCTTCCCAAACCAGTTTCCTGAACCAGTATTCCCTCTGCTTGGACCAATTTCCCACTGACAATCACATGAAGGCCAATTGACTCCATCTGCTCCCGTAATAGTTTGCACTTAAGTTACTAAGTCAAACACAAAAATTAAGTGCCTGGGCCGGGCGCGGTGGCTCATGCCTGTAATCCCAGCACTTTGGGAGGCTGAGGCGGGCAGATCAGGAGATCGAGACCATCCTGGCTAACACGGTGAAACCCTGTCTCTACTAAAAATGCAAAAAATTAGCCGGGCGCAGTGGCGGGCGCCTGTAGTCCCAGCTACTTGGGAAGCTGAGGCAGGAGAATGGTCTGAACCTAGGAGGCGGAGCTTGCAGTGATCTGAGATCGCACCACTGCACTCCAGCCTGGGCGACAGAGCGAGACTCCGTCTCAAAACAAAACAAAAAATTAAGTGCACGGTTTCCATTTTAATCTACACAATCCTCAGGTAGGCACTTTCACTGAAATTTTAAAGATGAGGAAATTAGGACTAAAAGTCACACAGGTATTGGGTGAAGACCAAATATTGAGTCTTTTAATTCATCATGAACTACTGACCACTTATTGTGGGATCCTTGGATTCAGGTTCCATATTACAAGTCCTCTATGGGCCCTAATGGAGAGCCCTTACTTTTTTTGGGGGGGGTGGACAGAGTTTCACTCTTGTTGCCCAAGCTGGAGTGCAATGGCACGATCTCGGCTCACAGCAACCTCCGCCTCCTGGAGATTCTCCTGGCTCAGCCTCCAAAGTAGCTGGGATTACAGGCATGTGCCACCACGCCTGGCTAATTTTGTGTATTTAGTAGAGACAAGGTTTCTCCAGGTTGGTCAGGCTGGTCTGGAGAGCCCTTATTTCTAACTTCTCCAGCACAACAGAAGATACAAGCCAAATGATACATTTGTTTAAAATTGTCCAGCTGAATCGAGGTTTCACTACTTGTAATTCTAGCCTATTCTTATGTAAGCCAATTCAGTGCTTCTCTGTGCCTTCTATTTGATCCCCAACATCCTCTAAAGGTTGTCCTGACAGATGTGTCCCATAGACAGCCATGGTTCTCGGCTTATTATGACCCCACAGTGCACTAAGGAAACCTCCACTAACTAAAACCCAGGAGTCTAAGTGCCATCTTATTTGTCTATAGTTTTAGACTGTATTATTTTGGGTCAAAAAAAGCTCAAAATCACAGGAAGAACCATAAAACTGTAGCAAATTATAATTTACCGAGATCTATGAGGATCTTATTTGTAAACATGAATTGGTCACCATCAGTTTTCCAATAGCAAGAGACACAAATCCTAGAAAAACTTATTTCAATTTCCAGCCTTCAGGATTTCCAAATTTTCCCGATACATTTCAGACTAGAAGAAAAATTAACTATTTCAAACCCACTTTGACATACAGAAAAGCCCTGGCATACTGAAATTTCAGATTGCTGGACCCCCATCTCGAGATTTTGATTCATCACATTCTGGATGTAACAATAATTTGGATCAAGATTAAGGAGCCATGGCCGGGCGCAGTGGCTCACACTATAATCCCAGAACTTTTGGAGGCCGATGTGGGCAGATCACTTGAGGTTAGGAGTTAGAGACCAGCATGGCCAACATGGTGAAACCCCATCTCTACTGAAAATACAAAAATTAGCTGGGCATGGTGGTGGGCGCCTGTAATCCCAGTTAGTCAGGAAGCTGAGGCAGGAGAATCGCTTAACCTGGGAGGCGGAGGCTGCAGTGAGCCGAGATCGTGCCACTGCACTCCAGCCTGGCAAGAGAGACTCCGTTTAAAAAAAAAAAAAAGATGAGGGGGCCACGTGGAAAAACCTTGGGCTGAGAACTTAAGTCCTAAAGGACCATCTCATTCCTATCACACTGCCCCTCTTTAGAATGTGACCCATCAAAATGGAATCTTTCCTTTTGAGCCCTGTTGAACAATTAGGGTACATTCTCTCATTCACTGTAAAATTCAGAGTACAATACATGCAGGCCTTTCAGTGATCAACAGGTATTATTCTGACTTTATAAACAGAAATGTTTAACTGGCCAACGTCTGTGTTGGTCTTACGTTTACCATATATTTGAGGGAAGTCAGGAGAGGACCCCATGTCTTCATACCCTAAGTACTAGAACCTGGGCTCCCAATGCACACAGGATGTAGAGGTGCCACTGAAGAACCTACACTCACACCACAAGGAAAAAGTAGTTAGCATTTAATGAAACTCCCTCCATGTGGCTTCAAGCCACCAGGACACAGGCCCCCCCAACACTCTTAATCTTCTCCTCAGCTCTTCTGCTGAAGAATTTGGCCTTCACGATGACAGGCTGCTTTGGGAGCTTTCCCTTTCCCAGAACTTTGTAGTAGCCCTAGAAGAACAGAGAAAAAAGTTTACAATACACTGTAGTAGGTACCAACTGCGTGATGGGCGTGAGGAAAGACTGCCAACCCACTTTCTAAATCCCTAGGCAGGGTATGTATGTTTCTGATCTGGGCACTAACGGGGGCACCGACTGCCCCCACCAGTGAATCAAGACCAGTAGATTCTCTTCGAGTACTCTAGCACACCAGGACAAGAGTTGTGTCAGGATGTGACTCTAGTCTCGGCAAAGCATAAGCCTCCTCCTGCTCAAATACCCCCTGCTAAGCAAAAGAAGACAACCACCTTCCTGACCACCAGAACTACTCAATGGACATTAAATAGGCTGGGAAGTGAATTTAAAGCGTCCCTAGGGTTCTGGCCTCTTAACACTACCTCTATATTCATGAGAGTTAAGACTGACACAGGGACCAGAACCCCCGCAAGGACAGACATAATACATCTGTTTTGGGGGAAAATCTCTTCAGATAATGCATGGCACTGAGTATCAATGGAACATATTAGGATTCTATTATCTGGAGAACATGAAGGGCCAAGAGCTGTGCTCAGTGAAAACCAGCTATAGTTCAAGCACGAAATGCAAACCTGATACAACCTGGGCAGTGACAGTAGGCACTGCTACGGATAGGGAACTACCTATGATAATTCTACCACAGGAAGAATATCAATGTCTGGTAGGTAACTGGGAAGTACAGATTATATAAGTGGATTAGATTAAGCCAGAGTTTTGTAAGGGAAGGTATGGAAGTACAGAAAAACATCCAATTAACTTACCGATCGCACCACATCAATGATGGGAGCAGCCCCAGTCTTGTTTTTAGCAGCATTCACCCGTGTCTGTTCACTGACCAAAGTCCACAATTTGTCAAGGTTGACAGTTGGGCAGAAGCTCTGGTTCCTCTTTAAGTGGTAATGCTTCATACCAACTTTCCCAAAGTAGCCTGGGTGGCTAGGAAGAGGTAACAACCACCTTCATACACACTCCAATTAAGATGCTATGTTTATCATCTTTATAGTTACCACCCCCTATTAGAGTGTAAATTATTCACTGGTGTAGAGCAGTGTCAGGCATATGATACATCTGTTGACTTAAACAACTGTTTTAAAAACCACCAAAGACTATCATGAGGAAAAGGCTAGTCTTATTTCCTGGAACCAGGATAAACCACCGACAATGTCAGAGGCAGGGCCGAGACTAAAATTCAAGTCACATAACAGCACTCTATGGAAAATCTACATACTCCTATAATAAACGTCTTCTGAATAGCCAAAATTTATCATCCACTAGTTTGTGGGTAGGTGAATGTGAAGCATGTCTCTAACCTGGTGACTGACTGTGCCATAAGGCCCACAGCCAGTGAATAAGGTCAGCAGTTACTCTTCGAGGACTCTAGCACACTCAGGCAATAGCCGATACCCAAGCGTGACTCTAGCCTCGATGACAGGTTCTCAGTTCACACCAAGTGTTAACTTGGTAAAAAACAGCAATAGGCAAGGCTTGCTTCTAAACTTTTTGTTTAAGCCAGCCCTCTCTCTGCCCCTACCTCCCAAGCTGTGTCAATAAAAGCAGTCCAAGGACACTTACTATTTGTCGAAGTTGATCCGGTGGTGATGCAGACCACCAGCATTACCGCGGCCGCCGGGGTGCTTCCGGTGCTTGCCTGCAGGAATACAAAGCTACGTGGGGCCGGTGTGATGGCTCATGCCTGTAATCCCAGCATTTTAGGAGGACGAGGGGGGGTAGATCACCTGAGGTCAGGAGTTCGAGACCAGCCTGGCCAACACGGAGAAACCCCCGACTCTACTAAAAATAGAAAAAGAATTAGCCGGGCGTCGTGGCGCACACCTGTAATATCAGCTACTCGGGAGGCTGAGGCAGGAGAATCGCTTGAGCCCGGCAGGCAGGGGTTGCAGTGAGCCGAGATTTCGCCACTGCACTCCAGCCTGGGCGACAGTGATCAGTCTCACACACACACAAAAAAGCTACATGCACCACACAGCCTTCTCATGCATCTCAATACTTCCTCGCACAAAAGCAGAGTGTTTCCCAGACTTCTGTGTCCCGCTTACGCTGTTCCCACCCTACCGATGCCGGTTTTCAGCAATGCGATTACTTTAGGATTCCGGGTGAAACATCTTTTCAGGTTCCACATCACAGCATTCCCACAGTACTCCATGTCTTCAACTAACCCAATACCGTGCCTGCTCAATTCCTATTACCCCACTGATGTGAAATTCCTTAGAACTGGAATACTAGAGGATCGTCAGAAAAAAATCAACAGCTGTGCAACTTGACCACAAAAAGGTCTTATTCTAACCCACTTATAGGCTACCGATCTCCAGACTAGCTAAGCACCCGAAGAGAGCCCAAGGCCCACCCCGAGGGGAAGCCGGCACTTACCTATGCGGCCGTGGCCGTGGCTCACGTGGCCCCTAAGTTTCCGGGTCTTCCTCAGTCTGGATGGCTGTGTGGAAAAAGCTTGGTGGTAAGGCCTAAGGAATTAGGGGCAGGGGGCGATGCCCGCCAGCCGAGATGGTCCTGTAAGCCTGTGGGTCAAAGACCTAACTTCTGGAGCGTTTGGGAAAGCTGAGGGTACCGATCCGCTCAGGGCCGTGAGGTCTCACCACGGTAGCGCAGGGGCCCGCGTGTCCTAGAGATCCGAACCGCGGGCCTAACACACGGCTCCGGGAGCCCCGCCCCGGGCCCGCGCCGGCCACCCTGCCCCGCAGGCGGCCATGCGCAGCCTGGAAGCCCCGACCATGGTAGGGAGTGGATGACTAGGGGCAATGGGAATACAGCTTAGGGGTCTCCGCCGGCAAGGAAGAGGAGGCAAGAAACGAAACACCTACCATGTTGGCAGCCCAGACGAAAAAGGAAGGCCTTCGCCAAGTCTCGCGAGGTATCGGCCACGGGGGCGGGGCAAAACGCCTCACTTCCGGTCACAGAGGCCGGGCTTCGGGCGGGGCCTCCTGGTCTCGCGGGATTGCGCGCCTGCTAGTCGCTTCCTCTTTCTGAGGGTGGTGATCCCCCATCACGGAGTGTCCTGGTGGCGGTGTACGGTTTCGGTGAGGCTCGTTGTGCTAGGCTCGGAGGGCGAGAACTGTTGAAGAATCGGGGCTAGGTGTGCTGTACTGCACGCCGCCCGTGCTTGCTTGAGCCAGGCCCTTTTCTGGCGCCTTGGTCAGGGAACCGCCTAAGCCGACCCTAAGGGCCTCGTTGTCTGAGCTCCTCACCAAATGCGCCAGCCCTGAGCCGCCCCGCGCACCTCCACAGTTCTTAGTGGTCTGCCCGGGGCTGGTGATAGTGGCTACTGGTTTGTCTCCCGGCCGCAGTGCGGAACCGCGAGGCCCTCTTTAATCCTCAGTGTGCCCACCTGGTGTCTCGCTCGGTTTCCTGAAGCTCGGGCGGCTCCCGAAATGCCTTCTCCCGCTCTCACACTTCTGAGTGGGCACTGCAGCTTCCTTTCTCTTTTGCCCTTTTGCTATCATTTGGTTGTCCTCTCAAGTTTGAGCAACTTAAATTGCTTCAGGGACTTAGATGCCTGGTTGCTTTATGGTCCTTTTAATGCAGATGTTGTAAATACTTTTTCTAAATGCCACATTTAGGCCAGGCGCGGTGGCTCACACCTGTAGTCCCAACACTTTGGGAGGTCGAGGCGGGAGGATTTCTTGAGGCGAGTAGTTCAACACCAGCCTGGGCAACATAGTGAGACCCTCGTCTCCACATACAAAAGTAAATAAGTAAAAATAAATGCTATTTTTGAATTTTCTCCAGAATCTACATAACACGCCTGTGACCCTTTCCTGGACACAATGCAGACAGTTGCTCGCTTCCCCACCTGTACCACCACACAATCTAGTATAACCCTTATGTAATTTATTGACCTACGTTTGTCTTCCCTACTAGACCTAATTCCTTATGTGGTCAAGGACTGTTTTTTTTAATCCACACTCAACTAGTGATTGTTGAGTGAATAAATGAACTTACCCTCACCTCCCTGTCTTCGCTAATAGCAGCATGTCTTCGCTCTTAAGTCGGTTCCTTCAACCAGTGTTCAAGATCCCATCCCCTCGCTAGTCTATTAATAGATCCCATGGGAAAAATGAAATAAATTTTTAAAATCCCATCCCCTCAGTTATTCTCTGTGTGTATGTGTGAGCGTGTATTTATTTATTTTTCTTTGTCTTGCCCCCTTCAGCTAAAATATATTTTAGCTAAAATATCCAAAATTCTGGCCGGGCGTGGTGGCTTACTTCTGTAATCCCAGCACTTTGGAAGGCCGAGGCGGGCGGATCACGAGGTCAGGAGATCGAGACCATCCTGGCTAACACGGTGAAACCCCGTCTCTACTAAAAATACAAAAAATTAGATGGGCGTGGTGGTGGGCGCCTGTAGTCCCAGCTACTCGGGAGGCTGAGGCAGGAGAATGGCGTGAACCCGGGAGGCGGAGCTTGTAGTGAACCGAGATCGCGCCACTGCACTGCAGCCTGGGCGACAGAACGAGACTCCGTCTCAAAAAAAAAAAAAAAAATTCCAAAATTCTCCCATGTCCTTGCCCTTACAGCCAAGCTCCCCAAAAGAGTAGTCTACAAATCCTGCCCATTTGCACCTTCCCATCCATTGTTCACTGCGGTCTAGCTCACAGCCTGTGACTTCAGTGAAATTGCTCTTACTAATGTCATTAATGAACGAATTGCCAAATTGGACTCTTCCTATTCTTCATATCACTTGTTCTTTCTGTTGTACTTTAATCTGTTGGCGTCTTTTTCTAGAAAAAGTCTTGCCTTCCTCCTACTCTTTGGTCACTTTTCAGTCTTCTTTTCAGGTTCTTCCATCCAGCGTTGTCCACCATTTGAATGTTGATGTTCCTCAGCCTTCTGTCCTTGTCCTTATCTTTTCACAGTACATGGTCTTCTTGGGTGGCTTCAATTCACATCCTTATTGCTGAGCTCCACACCCATATGGTCACTTAATTACTGGTTAGTATTCCTTGGACATTCTACAGACAAAGTAAACATATCCAAAGAACTCAATCTGCACTGCTCACTGGTGCCTTCTCCTTTATTCTCTGTCTTGGTGAGTGGCACCATTGTCCACCTAGATAATGAAAATTGTCCCCAAGCCTTCTCTTCTTCTACTACACTGTCACCCTATCCTTTTGTTTCTGTATCTCCCCAATGTGCTTCCTCTGTTTAAGCCTTAGTGCCCTGCCTTCATTCAGGCCCCCATCATATCTCTTAACTGGAGTTTACAACACCTTCCTTTGTTCACTCTGCCTGCATTCTAACCCTCCTCCAATTTCTGTATCCTTCACACCTCCACCACGTTAGTATTCCGAAAACATGACTTTCATTCTTTTACTTGATCAAAAAGTTCGGTAGCTCCTTATGACCAACAGAATATAGCCCACTTGCCTTTCCAGCCTTACCCCAGCCTCTCCCTTACACAAGCTTTCTACTGCAGCCGTGCCTGGTATATCCCATTTGCATTTTTGCCTTTGCTCATGCTGTTTCCCATCCCGGAGTGCCCATCCTCTTCCTGACCACATGTCCTGAATCTTCCTCAACCTTTAAGGCCAACTTTATATTCTGCTTCTTCCCAGAACACTTCAGTCCACAAGGATAACAACCAACATTTTCAGAGCACTTGGCAATTTACAAAATACATCTGCCTGAAGGTACAGCACTACCAGCCTCATTTTACGTGTGTGAAAACTGAAGCACAGAAGAATTGGGTGACTTGTCAGACGCTGCATAGGTGGTCAGGTACAGAGCCTGGGCCTAGCCTTTAGTCTTCTCTCTCCAGATCCCCTGCTTTTACCTCAGTGACCAGTCCCTCTCTGACCTTACAGCATTATGGTCTTCATCCCTCCATCAACCTTAATCACATACTGCATGTGACCAGCAGGAAGAGGGGTCTTGAGAATAGGAGGGGAGATCAAAGAAGACATCGTCGTCTATTTGACATCAAAACTGGCCAGTAAGTGCACAAGAAATGAGCTGGGTTACCTGGAACCTAACCTTGGGAAGATGATCTGTCAATGGAGGTAAGCTGGGCAGGGCCTTGGGAATGAAAGGGAACCATCAGTGGTATTAGAGCTGGGGCCTACAATAAGGACCACCACTGCAAGGGGTTGAGGTAGGGTTCTGGGTGCTAAGACACTCCTCTTGGATAGTTTGCCAGGTTCCTTGGTTATAGAGGAGCTACGTTCTGTCCCTCAGGTCACGCGGCTGAACAGAAGGCCTCCCAGAGTGGACCCAGCACTACCCGTTGGGTTCTGTGTTCACCTAACATTCTTCTCATCAATGGCTTGATCTGGTTGTAGAGGGAGTACCCTGGGTAGTTGTCTGGCTCAATCCAGTTTTCTATCCAGCTCCCTCTCCTTCAAAAGGCAACCACATGACTTAAACACACAGCTCATGTGGTGTTTGTTCAGTGTGTGTCACTTTTCCTAGGTTGACAGAGGTCTGAGAGAGCAGACAAAGCTGAGTTTTCTGTCTGCAAAGTGGAGTAGCAGCCAGATATTTGGCATTAGGGGACCTGTCCCTCCCAGCTAGGCACATGGGACATGACCTTTGGCCATGACTCCTGAGGGGTGTCCTTCTCTGTGACATCTCTTCTGAAGTACAGCATGGCTTTGTGACATCTCAGGCATCTGGGCTTCCTCAGAGTGTGAGGGCCTCAGAAAATACCTCAGAAATGAACGGAAGAGATGATACCAGACAGCAGCCTGGTGAGGCAGGCAAGTGTGCTGATTTTTTGCTGCCCCAGGCCTCTCTCCAGGTGGCCTTGGGAACACATCATCACCCTGAAGAAGGCCCTGGTGATCCCTCTTCCTTTCTCTCCTCACTGGGTTCCTGAATTCGACATCAGTCCTTCAGATAGCAGCAACATCCTGAATGAATCCAGCTCTGTTTTCTTGCTCTCCATCTTTAGATGTGGACATTTGGAAATATGTTCGTTTTCTTTTTTAAGTAGAGCACTGTTAATCAAGATGGGAAGAAGCAGTGTTTCTGCTTTTTTTCCAAGTGAGAATTAGAGAAAAGCTCAGAAATCCCAATTTACTTCAGAAAGACTTGAAAAATTATACGTAATAGACAGTACAACAGTAAAGAAAATTCTGAAAAAAATATAAGTATAAGCAACTCAAATCATTCCACCCTGTGATGCCATTTTCTTTTCTGAGTATTACCTTTCAACCCTTGTATACATGGAGACATAGCTGTCTGCAAAGTTAGTGATCATAGTATACAAATCCTTTTGTATTCTTTTTATTTAATACCATGGCAGTTTTTCGTATCACTACCCAGTCTTCATGATTATTTTTAACAGCTGAAGAATAATTTATTTTCAGCATGTGCTATCTTTTATTAAGCCACTTTCTTGTGTATTTTGTTTTTTTAAAAAATTCTTATTGTATTCTTTGCTGTTAGAGACAATGATGGAATGAGCATTTGTATATAATTTTTTCTTCTCCTGTTGAATAACTTGTCTAGGATAAATTCCCAGAAGTGAGACTGCTGGATTATATGGTATGAACATTTTTGTGATTCATTTTATGTTACTATGTATTTTTTCCAAAAGGATCGTACCAATTTATTCACCAGCAATATGTACAGTTTCCAGTTTCATTTTAACCTCCCTAGCCTTGGGGGTTTTTGTTTGCCTTTATCGGTAGTTTTTGATATATGGCATTTAGGGGAAATCCATAGGATCAGGCGAGGTTTTCTTCAGCACAAAGTAAAAATAATCTAATTGGAAGATTAGGAATTTTTAGGAGTCTTTCTTTCCTGTGTTGGATAGAGTGTTCTACATGGCAATTACATTCCTAAAGCTTTATTGGAAACTAGGGTGGAAAACCTTGTTGCCATTAAACTCAGAGTAACAAAACGTGAAAAGAGAAATTCTAGAGTCTTTGAGAACAGCTTATACAATAGCAGAAAAAAGGAGTTACATATTTGGGTTTTACTTTAATTTCAGAGGATAAAATTAATGGAAAGAACACAGAAAGTTGGGTTCATTTCCTAGTTCTGTTTTTTTTGTTGTTGTTTTTAAAGATAAGGTCTTGTATGTTGCCCAGGCTGGTCTCAAACTGCTAGCCTCAAGCAGCCCTCCTACCTCGCCCTCCCAAAGCACTGGGATTACAGGCATGACCATCACGCCCAGCCTCCTAGTTCTGTTTTTACTCACTGAATTATATTGAACAAATAGCATGTTCTCTTTGAATCTGTTTTCTTGTCTGTATAATGAAAAAATAATGAGATTCATTCATTCGTTTTATAAATATTAATTGAGTGTGTACTATGTTCCTATGCTAGGTGCCAGGCAAGTGAGGGGCAGGTACAATTGTGAACAAAAGTCCTTCCCTAAGACTATGTCTAAGACATACATTAAACAAGCAAACAAATAATATATCACATATAACACAGCCTAGCAAAGAGTAGGTACTCTCATTACCTACTATTTCTCGCTCACATTTTCTCCCTAAAATGAGTGTTATTTTTATGATAATTTGTTCTGTACCCTTCATGCAAACAATCTTTGAAATTCTTATTCCCAATGTGATGTGGAATGACTTGTTCCATCATTCCTTAGCAAGGTTAAGGTACTCCAGTAAATATTTTCCTTTTCTTAGATATAGATGTGGTAAGATGTTAAAAGGAGGTGGTTTGTGGCAAGGCAATGTTTTAAAATTTAACTTTTTGTTAACATTTTAAAATGTAAATAAAAATAATTTCCTGGGTTTTGGAAAACTAAGATTTGGAGACATTAGACCCACATTCTTTTAAGTAAAGCACTTCGTTCATATAGATTGCCCAGCCCCTGTAGGCATTTGAATTTACTACCTTGGCTTAAGTACAGTCTTGCAAACTCTGTCCCCTACACTCTTCTAGGTCAGGGGAGATAAGAAGGAGAGGGAAGAACTAAGTTATGATGAAAGCAGCCATAAGAAGGGGGCAGAAATGGGGTCATTTGACCCTTCGTCTTCTCAAATCAGAAACTCATTGTGTGGCTGTGCCTTTAAATTAACCATTTACTTTCATGGAGTTACTTCAATTGCTCTTCTAAGACATAAATGAGATGCCTGTTTCTTTATATTCTTACCCTGTGTAGTACTTGCTGGTGGTGGAAAGCCATGCTACCTCCCTGAATTCCCAGGATTGTGATGCAAGGTCTAATGCAGTAGTTCTCCAAGTGTGGTCTGTAGACCTTATGGGGTGGGGGGTCCCTGAGACCGTTTCAGGGAGTTCACAGGTCAAACAATTTTAATAATAAAGCTAACGTGTTATTTGATCTTTTCACTGGGTTGACATTTGCACTGATGGTGCCAAAGCAATGTTATGTAAAACTGCTGATGTTTTGGGCACCAAACTGGAACAAAACCTTATATTCTTTACCACTAAGCATCTGCCGGTTAAAAAAAAAAAAAAGAAGTTTACCTTAAGAATGTCCATCCATGATGAAGTGGTAACAATTTTTATTAAATCTCAATCCTGAAATTCTTAAGTACTTTTTTAGATTTCTTTTTGATGTTCTGTGTGAAGAAAAAGTATTCCTACTACATATCAAAGTGAGAAACTGTGCTTGTGCTATTGAGTTGCAAGTTAAACTAGCCTTTTAAAAAATGAAACATAATGGACGATGTGGTGGCTCACGCCTGTAATCTTTGGGAAGCTGAGGCGGGTGGATCACGAGGTCTGGAGATTGAGACCATCCTGGCCAACATGGTGAAACCCCGTCTCTACTAAAAATACAAAAATTAGCTGGGCGTAGTGGTGCATGCCTGTAATCCCAGCTACTTGAGAGGCTGAGGCAGGAGAATCGCTTGAACCAGGGAGTCGGAGGTTGCAGTGAATCAAGATCACGCCACTGCACTCCAGCCTGACGACAGAGCGAGACTCTCTCAAAAATTAATAAATAAATAAATAATAATTAAAAAAATAAAAAGTGAAACATCAGTATTACACGAAAGGACAACTGGCAGGCCGGGTGCGATGGCTCATGCCTGTAATCCCAGCACTTTGGGAGGCCAAGGCAGGTGGATCATCTGAGGTCGGGAGTTTGAGATCACCCTAACCAACATGGAGAAACCCTGTCTCTACTAAAAATACAAAATTAGCTGGGTGTGGTGGTGCATGCTTGTAATCCCAGCTGCTCGGGAGGCTGAGGCAGGAGAATCACTTGAACCTGGGAGGTGGAGGTTTCTATGAGCCAAGATCACGCCATTGTACTCCAGCCTGGTTAACAAGGGCAAAACTGCATCTAAAAAAAGAATAACTGGCAGACAAACTGTGGTTATTCAGGCTTGGGAATTTGTCCGATATTTTCTCAAAAGTGAATTGACAGTATTTGTTGCCAATGATAAAATTCAAGCGTTCAAGCAAAAGTTAGAATTCTGGTAGTTTTTGCTGCCTCCATGAATTTGGCAGCTTCTCAATGCTTAAAAGAATTTTCTGATGAGATTCGAGGTGATTCTAAAGAATGTGATTTTTTGTTATTGTGTAATGAAATGTGTCGATATTTGGAACATCTGCATAAGTCATTGAACTGGTATTTTCCAAATGACCAATGCTTGGTGTTAAAAAACTGTGCCTGGGGAAAAGACTAGTTCAAAGAGCAAGATCAGCAGATTTTAATATAACAGAATAAGAAAAGTTTGGTTCAGAGTCTACCTTATAAATAACATTTAAGAAACTACTACCACTGTTGAATTTTGGTGTGGTATCAAAGAATATCCACAATTACCTGATAAGGCTATTAAAGTACTCCTATCTTTTCCAGCTGTATGTCTGTGTGAGACTGGATTTTCCTCATATACTGTGAACAAAACAACATATAACAGATTGACTGCAGAAACAGGTATGGGAGTCCAGCCGTCTTTTATTAAGCCAGATGTTAAAGGGTTTGGCACATATGAGAAACAATGTGACTCTTCTCATTAAATTAATTTTTTTGAAAGTAGTTGATTTTTTTTTTTTAGGCTGGGTGCAGTGGCTCACGCCTATAATCCCAGCACTTCGGGCGGCCAAAATGGAGGATCGCTTGAGTCCAGGAATTTGAGACCAGCTTGGGCTACATAGCAAGACCTGGTCTCTACAAAAATAAAAATGAAAATAAAATAGTCGGGTGTGGTGGCACATGCCTATAGTGCTAGCTGCCTAGGAGGCTGAAGCAAGAAGTTTGGTTGAGCTCAGAAGTTTGAGGCTGCAGTGAACTTCGCACGACTGCCCTCCAGCCTAGGCAACAGAGCAAGACCCTGTCTCAAAAAATAAATAAATAAATAAATGGAAAAAAGGAAATAGTTATTTTTTCCAAAAAGTATGTTATTCGTGTTAACATATAACAAGTTTATTATTTTATGAAAATTAATGTTTTAAAATTTTCTCAGCTTTAACTTCTAATGTGGTAAATAGCAATAGATTTTCTCAGCTTTAACTTCTAGTGTGGTAAATAGCAATAGTTCACATAAATGAACTCTCTTTGGGGTCTTCAATGAGTAAACATATGTAAAGGGATTCCCAAGACCAAAAAGTTTGAGAACTACTGGCCCAGTGAAATAAACTCAGGCATGCTTGAACCTTCTAATAGAGACTGTCCTCGTCTCTAATCATGCTGCTGCTATGGCTGTTTTCTGCTAAATAATGCCCAGAAGGAATTAGAAGTGCAGGTCTATCTATAGCTTTATGTAGTGGCATCTTTCTGGACCCCAGGCAGCCTGGCCTCTCCCAGCCCCATCACCCTTCCTCCTTCCTGAAGGCTTGGCTCCTAAAGACTTCAGACTGGAGTGAAATTTTTCTCAAACTTGCATAATTACCAAGACCCAGATTTGAATTAAATGATTTGTATTTTGTTTCTTAAATAAGTACAAATATAAAACTAGCTACAACTTCCTTTGGCTTTTAGCTGTTATACAACTATAAAACTGAATATAGTTTACAAATTGTAAAAAACTACAAAGCCATCAAATTAATAATATTAATTTCACATGTATGTGATGTTTTTCTAAACTAAACTATCATTATGACTTAAATGTGGTGCTCACTCTTGTAGCTAAGTTCAGCAAACATATGCCACAATGATGATGGCTCAGTTTTCCCACTTCCTTTCTCTGTTCCAAGTACTGTAAAACATGCATCATTTTGTGCCACAATGTTGTTTAGACTTCAAGTGGCAAGAATACATTATTTGTGTATTAAGTCTGCCCCTCTCTCAGCTCATTAACCTGAGACAAGTAATACTGCCTAGTGTGTACTAAATCCTAGACTCTTAACACTACCCCCAAAATCATATTGTGGTAGATATGTAGATAATCCAGACTATACTTTTTAAAACTTTATTATCACAATGAAACACTAATTTTAAAAAATTAGTGGACAGAACTCATGAAAATATGTGTGTGGACCTCAGCTTAAGAACATTTCACTAATTAAGAGTGTGGGCCGGGCTCGGTGGCTCATGCCTGTAATCCCAGCACTTTGGGAGGCCGAGGCGGGTGGATCATGAGGTCAGGAGATCGAGACCACGGTGAAACCCCGTCTCTACTAAAAATACAAAAAAAATTAGCCAGGGCGGTGGTGGGTGCCTGTAGTCCCAGCTACTCGGGAGGCTGAGGCAGAAGAATGGCGTGAACCTGGGAGGTGGAGCTTGCAGTGAGCAGAGATCGCGCCACTGCACTCCAGCCTGGGCAACAGAGCAAGACTCCATCTTAAAAAAAAAAAAAAAAAAAAGAGTATGGGCCAGGTGTGGTGGCTCATGCTTGTAATCCCAGCACTTTGGGAGGCCAAGGCAGGCAGATCACTTGAGCCCAGGAGTTTGAGACCAGCCTGGGCAACATGGTGAAACTCTGTCTACTAAAAATACAAAAAATTAGCCGCATGTGGTGGCATACACCTGTCATCCCAGTTACCTGTGAGGCTGAGGTGGGATGAGGTGGGAGGATCACCTGAGCCTAGGGAGGTCAAGGCTGCAGTGAGCTGTGATTGTGCCACTGCACTCCAGCCTGGGCCACAGAGTGAGATCCTGTCTCAAAAAAAAAAAAAAAAAAAGAGACTGGAGTCCAGAATCAGAAGACTGACCTGGATTTGAATTTGGACTCTGCCATTTGCCATCTGTCTTTGTGCGTGACCCAGCCTCTCTAACACTGTTTCCTCAGCCTGTCCCTCTTGGTTTTATTTAATTTGTAAAAGTGTCTCAACCCCTTTGAAATACAGTATGTAAAGTGCCTGTCATAAACTTGTCAATAATGCAATTTTCTTCCTTTTTCCAAAATTGAAACTTAGGTCAAGCTTGTCTACCAATAAGGAGAGGCACAGGTACGGGACACTTTTGAAGGGTTTGTTCGCCTTCAGACAAACAGCAGACACCTCCACGCTTTGTTTTCCACGGCAGAGATGGCTAGACTCTCTTTTTGGTCCCAGGTGAGGAACTGAGGCTGAGGCATGAGCCTCCAGCTCTGGAGAGGAACATGGCCTGGACTTTTGAGGCCTTGTTCTCGAAGGCCCCTCTGGCCTAAGATTTTTTTCTGCTCAAAATAAGTAGATCACTCTGCTTTGTGCTTCACTTACAGGGAGTGGAGCTGGCTCGCTCTACACGCTGCTTCTCACCTGAGGATATCAGTGGAAAAGCCCCAGTCCTGGGCACAGGCATGGCTGTGGACATGGGCATGAGCTTTATGGGGCTGCCACTAGCTGGCCAGAAACACTGCCCTAAGAGTGGACAGATGGAGGCCATGGTAATGACCTGCTCATTGTGCCATCAGGACCTGCCAGGTATGGGCTCTCATCTCCTATCCTGCCAGCATTTGCTCCGTAAGGACTGCTTCCAGGGCTTGATACAGGAGCTAGGGCAGATTGCCAAGGCTCATGAGACTGTTGCAGATGGTAAGTACAAAGGCACCACAAGTTCACCTCCCACTACATAACAGGTCTCTTCCTGTTTCATAGGAACTGAATTTTGGGTGTAGAAAGAATCAGAATTTAAATGCCCAAGGGACACTCATTGCTGAAAGCAATCTTTGGGGGAATCTGTGAGACAGAGTGAATCCTCTTGATGCCTAATATATCTGTTTTGTAAGCTGGAACTTTTCATGTTTGGGATTTCCTTAAATTGGTGGCAGACTAAGAAGCCTGGAAAGGTTTTGATTCAAAGTTTGGCTGCCTCCCCAGACGGAGAGGATGTGTTCTGACTCACTAAATCTCCAAGGCAGAGAGAGAATGGCTGGCCTCCTAGGGTTAGTCAGGAACAGATTTTGAATAGAATCACACTGACTAGTGAACTATTCAGTATTTAAGCTGCTGCCCAGCAGGGAGGAGCCTGTGTCTTCCTCCAGAATGTCAGGTTTCCTAGGAAACGGTCTCACTGGGAACTGTGCAGTCACTGGAGACGGGAACCGGGTCACTTCATTTTATTATTCTAGCACAGGACATGTCACAGAGGTACAGTGAATATCCATTGAATGAAATTATGCAGTGAGAAAGTCAAATAAGTTGGCAACACTTAGAAATACCGTTGTTGATCTTTTCTGTTTGTTTTGTTCTCTGCAGTATTTCCCAAGTGATTTGAAGCACAAATCTAGGCTCTCTGTGAGGCATTATAGCACTGGTTAAAAATGGGGACTTCAAAGTGCTGGGATTACAGGCGTGAGCCGTTGCACCCGGCCCACACTCTTAATTAGTGAAATGTTCTCAAGCTGAGGTCCACACACATATTTTCATGAGTCCTGTCCAATAATTTTTTAAAATTAGTGTTTCATTGTGATAATAGAGTTTTAAAAACTATAGTCTGGATTATCTACATATTTAAGCCCTCTGAACCCATGGGCAAGCTACCTTGCCTCTCAGAGTCTGCTGAGAGTTTGGAGTACAGGAAAGATACGATCTATTTTGATTTTTTTACATTAATATATGATTTTTAAACATAAACTTAGTTTTTCCTTAATCTTAATTTTAATTAACAAATCTTACTGTCTTTATAAGTGGCATAAATTTTAACAATGCCATTTAAAGGGCCTTTGATTAATATGCAAACTTAGTTACAAATTTTGTTAATATTGGCTTTTATAAAATAAAATGTAATTTATTTTCTTTGTAAGTACTCCAATTATCTAGCAAATAGGCATTCCTGATTACTTAAAGAACTCTTGAAAATCCAGTGAGTTAAATTTATAAATATGGTGAATCATAAATATATCTTGAAAGTTCCAGCATTATAGAAAACCAAATACTTAATGTTCTCACTTATAAGTGGAAACTAAAGATTGAGTACATGTGGACACAAAGATGGCATCAGCAGATACTGGGACCTGCTTGAGGGTGGAGGGTGGAAGGAGAGTGAGGGTCAAAAAACTACCTATCAGGCCTGGTGCAGTGGCTCACGCCTATAATCCCAGCACTTTGGGAGGCCAAGGCAGCGAATCATCTGAGGTCAGGAGTTCGAGACCAGCCTGGGCAACATGGTGAAACCCTATCTCTACTAAAAATACAAAAATTAGCCGGGCATGGTGTTGCGTGCCTATAGTCCCAGCTACTCGGGAGGCTGAGGCATGAGAATCACTTGAACCCAGGAGGTGGAAGTTGCAGTGAGCCAAGATCGCACCACTGCATGCCAGCCTGGGTGACAGAGTGAGACTCTGTCTCAAAAAAAAAAAAATAAATAAAAACAAAACAAGACAAAACAAAAAACTACCCATCAGGTACTGTGATTATTACCTGGGTGATGAAATAATCTGTACACCAAACCCCCATGACACACAATGTACCTATATAACAAACCTAAATATGTACCCCTGAACCTAAAATAAAACTTAAAAGAAATAAATGAGATGGTCAGGTTTGGTTCAATTCCAGTGCCTAAGGGCAGAGGAGAGGGCTGATTACTGTTAGTCCCTCAGGCTTAATGCAGTGTTGCTTAACAATCTCTGACCCTGGCCCCACAGCCCTTGGACAGACCTGAGGCCTGAGTGATAGGTGGCTGCCACTAGGGGTTGTGAATAAAATCCCAAAAGGAGTTTTTTTTTTTTTTTTTGAGACAGGGTCTCACTCTGTCGCCCAGGCTGGAGTGCAGTGGTGCGATCTCGGCTCACTGCAGCCTCTGCCTCCTGGGTTCAAGTGATTCTCCTGCGTCAACCTCCCAAATACCTGGGACTACAGCATGTGCCACCACACCCAGCTAATTTTTGTATTTTTAGTAGAGACAGGGTTTCGCCATGTTGGCCAGGCTGGTTTTGAACTCCTGACCTCAAGTGACCTGCCTGCCTCGGCCTCCCAAAGTGCTGGGATTACAGGCGTGAGCCACTGCACCTGGCCCTAAAGGAGTTTTATTAAAATCATGTTGGACAATGAGGATGCAAGGTATTACCATTGATTTCAGCAGTATTGACAGTATGAAGGATGGTGCCTGTGACTTTACCGTAATTCTTCAGTAATGGTAAATAGCACTGTTGGTATTAGCAGCAATAGGAGATGGCAGTCTCAATGCATCAACATAAGGCAGTCTATGCTTTGGACCAAATGATATTGGGCCTCTGCAGCAGTGGTGGCACCTTTTGTCAGCTTTGATGATGGTGCCCTTCATCACTATGGGGATTTAAAGATGGCCACAATTCTTTTCTGCCACCCATCCCACCAAGAGGTGAAGTCTATTTGTTTCCTTTGAATCTGTATTGTTCTATGACTTACTTTAACCACTGGAATGTGGCAGAAATGTTACTGTGTAACTTCAAAGGCTGGACCTCAGGAGATCTGCAATGTCTAAGTTTGCTGCTTGGAATATGCCATCTTGGGACTGGGCGCGGTGGCTCATGCCTGTAATCCCAGCACTTTGGGAGGCCGAGGTGGGCGGATTACCTGAGCTCAGGAGTTCGAGACCAGCCTGGGCAACATGGTGAAACCCCGTCTCTACTAAAATACAAAAAGTTGGCTGGGCGTGGCAGCGTGCGCCTGTAATCCCAGCTACTCGGGAGGCTGAGGCAGGACAATGGTGTGAACCCGGGAGGCGGAGATTGCAGTGAGCCGAGATGGCACCACTGCACTCCAGCCTGGGCGACAGAGCGAGACTCCATCTCAAAAAAAAAAAAATAAATAAAAATAAAAGGAATATGCCATCTTGGAATCCAATCTCCATGCTATGAGCAAGCCCAGGCAGTCACATGGAGAGTAGAACTGAGGTTTCTGCCTGACAACCAGTACCAGTTGCCAGCCATGAGTGAGGCTGTTTTGGACTGGGCCATCTCAGTATCCCAGATGACATCACTGAAGCAGAAGAACTACTCAGTCAACCCATGGAATCATTGAAAGTAATAAACTTCTGATGTTTTAAGCCATGAAAAAAAAAGTTCCAGCATTGTTGGGTTAATATCTAGAATATATAAAGAACTCCTACAACTCAACAATAAAAAAAAAAACCTGATTTTAAAATGGGCAAAAGACTTGAATATACATTTCTCCAAAGATGAAGTACAAATAACCAATAAGCCCAAGAAAAAATGCTCAACATCACTAATCACTAGGGAAATGCAAATCAAAACCATGATGAGAAACCACCTCAAGTACATTAGGATGGCTATCAAACAAACCAAAAAAATCCCAGAAAATAATAAATGTTGACAAGAATGTAGAGAAATTGGAATATTTGTGCACTGTTGGAGGGAATATAATACAGTGTGGCTGCTGTGGAAAATATGGCAGTTCCTCAGAAAATTGAAAATCAAATTATCCTATGATCCAGCAATTCCATTCTGGATATATGCTTAAAAGAATTTAAAGTAGGGACTTGAAGAGATATTTGTACACCCATGTTTCTAGCAGCATTATTTGCAGTAGCCAAAAGGTGGAAGTAACCCAAGTGTTAATCAACAGATGAATGGATAAACAAAATGTGGTATATACATATAATGGAATATTATTCAGCCTTAATAAGGAAGGAAGTTCTGACACATGCTACAACATGGATGAAGCTTTAGGACATTATGCTAAATGAGGTAAGCCTGTCATAACAGGGCAAGTACTGTATGATTCTGGTTACATGAGATGTTCAGAGTAGTCAGCTTCGTAGAGATAGAAACTAGAAAGGTGATTTCTAGGGGCTGGGGGAATGGTGAGTTGTTATTTGATGGGTACAGAGTTTCAGTTTGCCCATTTTTTAATGGGGTTGTCATTGTTAGTGTTGAACTGTAGAAGTTCCTTACACATTCTGGATACCAATCTCTTATTAGATATATGATTTGCAAATATTTTCTCCCATTCTGTGAGTTGCTTTTTCATTCTGTTGATAGTGTCCTGGGATGCACAAAGTTTTAAATTTTCATGAAGTCCAACTTATCTATGTTTTTTGTTGTTGTTGTCTGTGCTTTTGGTGTCACATTCAAGAAATCATTGCCAAATCCAATGTCATAAATATTTTCCCCTCTGTTTTCTTCTAGGAGTTTTATAGTTTTAGCTCTTAAGTTCAGGTCTTTGATCTCATTTAAGGTTTTTAATGTGAATGAATTATGCATGTGTCAAGGCTGTGTTTGACTCTAAAAGGAGAACATTAAATTCATATTAATGGTCTGGGTGCTTTGGTGGCTCATGCCTGTAATCCCAGCACTTTGAGAGGCCAAGGCAGGTGGATCACCTGAGGTCAGGAGAAGACCAGCCTGGTTAACATGGCGAAACCCTGTCTCTACTAAAAATACAAAAAAAAAGTTGCCGGGTGTGTTGGCAGGTACCAGTGGTGGCAGACACCAGCTACTCGGGAGGCTCAGGCAGGAGAACCACTTGAACCCAGGAAGTGGAGGTTGCAGTGAGCTGAGATCGCGCCACTGCACTCCAGCCTGGGCGACAAAGTGAGACTCCATCTCTGTCTATATGTATGACAATTACCTGAATCATAGTATTTGTTGCCAAGTTATTCTAATTGCAATGAAGAATAAAAACAAAAGCTTTGGTGTCAGTATATTTGGCCATCTGAGTGTCATTCCTGATCTGCCTGCCATTACTAGCTGTGTAATTTAGGCAAGTTACTTCATCTCTCTGCCCAAGAGGTTTTTTTTGCCTGTAAAATGGGGTTAATGGTGGTAGTTACTAACTCATAGGACTGTTGTGAAGATGAAATGAGGACATATACATAAAGCCTTCTGTACTATGCCTCGTTTATAGAAAGAAGGTAAGAAAGGTAAAAAAACAAAAAGTGCTGTTATTTAGAACTTGAGAACATGTGAAATAGGGGAAAAAAGCCTGTTAGATGGAAACATGCTTAATTTGGAACCAGAGAGTCAATTTCTCATATAATATGTATAATATGTGGCATCTTATATTCTTTTTTTTTTTTTTTTTTTTTTTTTTTTCTGAGGCGGAGTTTTGCTCTTGTTGCCCAGGCTGGATTGCAATGGCGCGATCTTGGCTCACTGGAACCTCTGCCTCCCGGGTTCAAGCGATTCTCCTCTCTCAGCCTCCCGAGTAGCTAGAATTACAGGTGCCCACCACCATGCCCAGCTAATTTTTTTGTATTTTTAGTAGAGATGGGGTTTCGCCATATTGGCCAGGCTGGTCTCAAACTCCTGACCTCTGGTGATCTGCCCACCTCGGCCTCCCAAAGTACCAGAATTACAGGAGTGAGCCACTGCGCCCAGCTTCTTATATTCTTTAGTAGGTCTTACAGTCTGGCTGGGTCATGGTTACCTTCCACATTTACGTTTATGGGTAAAAAGTTGAATAAACTTCCTCTTTTTTTATTTTTTGAGATGGAGTCTCACTCTGTCACCCAGGCTGGAGTGCAGTGGTGAGATCTCGGCTCACTGCAAACTCCACCTCCCGGGTTCACACCATTCTCCTGCCTCAGCCTCCTGAGTAGCTGGGACTACAGGCGCCCACCACCACGCCCGGCTAATTTTTTGTATTTTTAGTAGAGACAGGATTTCACCGTGTTAGCCAGGATGGTCTCGATCTCCTGATCTGCCCGCCTCGGCCTCCCAAAGTGCTGGGATTACAGGCATGAGCCACCGTGCCTGGCTTAACTTCCTCTTTATTACTTGGAACTATTAGGACCCTATGTGGTGTGGTATTTGTTGGTTTGTGTGTCTGTCTCTCCCCCATGGATATTTATTGACTACTGTGTACCAGGCTGTATGGCATTTAGGGTACAGAGATGAAAAGACAGAGCCCTTGACTTCAAAGAGCTCATAGTCTAATGAATGACAGCCAAATAAACAGGTGATAATAATACAGTGAAGAGAAGATTGTTTAAAGTTCAAGCAAAGGATCAATAACTCAGGTAAGTTGTCCACGTACTAGGACTGGCAGATATCAGTTGCCCACTGAATATTTTCTGAAGGGTCAAAAGAATGGCTCCCAAATCAGCTGTCTGATGAAAGGCAGAGCTGTCACCTGTCTCTGGCTAGCCTAGTGAAATACCTAATACCTGAACTTAGATTTCTGGTCTGTAGTTTGAGAAGCCATGTTTGGAGAGAGTTTTTAGTGCAGTCAGTTTGTCCAGCAGAGTAGGAACACAGGCTTTCTGGAACGTTTATCCTCTTTCTGTGAATCTGGGCAGAAATCTGTTTTTTTTTTTTTAAAGTAAAATGTGGGAGCCGGTAGAGGGATGGCAGGGGAGGCGGATAGAGGCTGAGGAATAAACAAGTTCCTAGCTTCAATGCCTCCAACCAGATGGAGCCACGCTACATGGGGCTGAGTTCATTTCTATAAACCTGTTTCTCCTACTTGCTGGGCAGAGCCGAGCAGTTGCTGTGTTGAATGGAAGAGGGGCTGTGCCTGGGCTCAGGGTCTGTCCAGCTTGTTTTCAACTCTAATTCTTCAACAGAGCCTCCCCAGGGCTGTACTCCTGCTCTGGGGCTTGGAACTGAGGGGATGTCATGAGGTAGGCATCTTCTCATTCAACCAGACGGTGCCTTTCATGTTTGTAACCCCGCAGCCCAACACAGAACATGATACAGGAGAGGAGGTCTTAAGTGAATATTTATAGAATAAATGACTTAATCAATAAAGCCTGGGTAGAAGGCTTTTTTCACTTGTGATCTGTCCCTTTTTGTTCTTCAAGTGGGAGTTACAAAATGCATTTATCAAGCACTTACTGGTTGGCAGACACTGTACAGGCATTATCTTTTGTAAACTTCACAGCAGCCTTATAAAGTAGGTATTAGTATTCCCATTTTATAGATGAAAAATATGAGGATTGGGATATTTATAGACTAAGGTTAACAACTACTGCCCGGTAAGGTCAAATTCAGGTTCACCTGTCTTCAAAGCTTGCGATCGACATTGTGGCACTTTGCTCACGGGGAGAGTCCACGCTCACTTAGAATACCAAACTGATGAGGAGAGTCCATGGAAAATCTTTGAAGAAAGAACAAATCCTGCAGCCTGAGCCAGCAAATATAAATATTTTTTAATTAAAAAAATTTTTAACTGACATGTAAAACTGTATGTATTTACAGTGTACAACATGATGTTTTGAAGTATAGATACGTTGCAGAATGACTAAATCTAGCCAGTTAACATATACAACACCTCACATAGTTATCATTTTGGTGGTGAGAACACTTTACATCTACTCTCTTGGCATCTTTCAAGAATACAATATATTATTAACCATACTTATCATGCTGTACAATGGATCTCTTGAACTGACTCCTGCTATCTAACTTGGATTTTGTATTCTTTCACCAACATCTCCCTAACTACCCTTGCCCCCTGCCAACCACTCTAGCCCCTGGTAGCTGCTCTTTTACTCTCCGCTTTTATGAGATCAGTTTTTTTAGATTCTACGTGAGTGAGCTTATACAGTATTTGTCTTTCCGTACCTGGCTTATTTCACTTACAATGTGCTGTAAGTACAACCATGTTGTCACAAATGACAGGTTTTCCTTTTTTTTAATGGTTGAATAGTATTGTGTATATATATCACATTTTCTTTATCCATTCATCAGTAGACACTTAGGTTGATTCCCTGTCCTGGCTATTGTGAATAATACAGCAATGAACATGGGAGTGCAGGTATGTCTCTGACATGCTGATTTCATTTTCTTTGGAAATACAGTAGTCCCCTCCCCCCGCATCCAAGGTTTTGCTTTTCAAGTTTTTAGTTACTCACAGCCTGAAAATATTAAGAGATTTTGTGGGGGGGCAGGGGGAAGAGAGAGAGAGCGAGACAGTAGAGGCTGCATTCATGTTGCTTTTATTACAGTATATTCTTATAGTTGTTCTATTTTATTATTAGTTATTGTTAATCTCCTACTGTGCCTAATTTACAAATTAAACTTTATCATAGGTATGTATGCATAGGAAAAATATAGTATATATAGGGTTTGGTACTATCCACTGTTTCAGGCATCTTGGAAAGTAGCCCCCATGAATAAGGGGGGGACTATTGTATACTCAGTATTTGAATTGCTGGATCAAGTGCAAATCTTTAATTAATACAGCCACAGCCTAGCTGAGATTCTCCCCAGCAACTAGGAAGATGGGTCTGCGTCACCTCTCAGGTACTGAGGAGACCAGCTGGGCAAGATCTTCAAAAGCTAATGATGGGGACCAGAGCAAAGGTAGGAGTGTGGTGAGAATACAGTGGCCTAGCCATGCAGTGGGATGGCTGGGTACACAAATGCTAGCTATTGGAATTGGATTTTCTCAGCCAATGAGAATATCTACTTGGGGCTATTTGCTTTTTTGGCTAATTAAGAATGGTCCCAGGTCAAATTCTGTCTGGAAAGTTGGCCACTGAGTACCAAAATTATACTTTAAGTAAATGTAGCAAGCTCTGAAGGGAGCTAACATCCCTGAAACTGACTCTTACCATATGCTGGCTCTGTCTTCAAGGTTCTCAGAGTTGCTGTGGTTTTATTTGTCATTTTAGGAAAGGGAAGAGGGAATTGATTGGATATTTCCTTCCCCATGTGAGGAAAAGGAACATTACTTATTGTTTCTCTTCAAATCAATTAAAAGACAAATCATGGCTGGAAGACTTTGATACTTAGATACAGATTTCAGAATCTACTTGTTTAGTATCTTATTTTTCCCATTTTCAAAGTTGAGGATGTAGCTGGAAGTCACAGACCCTAGAGCTCACCTGGACACTAGCACTAATTGACTGGGCAATTCTAAGCCCTTTCTGGCTTTCAGGGCTAGACTTAATGAGATTTAAGAACACCAAATAACTACCATAGCCCGATGCTTCTTGAAGCTAGTGAAGAGTGACAGCATCCCCGAACACTACTAATGCTGAAAGGAGGAGCAATCACGGTCCCTCGGTGGGCAGGCCTTGGGACTTTAGGAATATCCAAAGAGGGGGAACTGATGCAAGATGCTACAACCTTAGAATCAGAGAGGGAAATGACACTTATCTTAATGAGCAGCTCAGCTGCAGGGGTTCTAATGGTCTTGGGTGGGAATGGGAGGCCAGAGGTGAGATCTCAGCTGTAGGAGCCTGGGAGGTGGGTGACTACTCTTTGCTCATTCCAGGTGCTGCAGTGTGTCCAGCCTTGTGGGGTCTGTTGTGGGCAGTAACTCAAGTCTCCCAGGTGAAGGGCAGGCTGGTGAGCTGGGTGTGCAGCAGGTGCAGAAGCTGGAGCCTGGAGCCCTGTCAGTGGAGTGGCTTTTTAGTTCACGAACAGTTTCCTCGCCTTAATTGGCTCTCTAGGGCCCTGGGAATAGCACTGGCACCCCAGAACAGGACCCATTACTGGGAGAGCAATTCCCCCGGTAATGGAAAGGAGGCAGGCTGTGTTTTGGGGGAGGTGCTTGCTGCTGCCAGTGCTGCTTGGAAGGCTATAGCTAGAACAGATTTGCTGAGGGAGGGAGCTCGAGATGGCTGTGATTGATGGATGGGATCTTTGAGGGGCCTCTTGTCTGCTGGAACTTTCTGATTTAAGGGGGAGTGGTTAGGGTTGAGTGCTGTGGAGGCCAAAAGGCAGGGAAGGCCCTTAATCTCCAATCCCTCCTGCATAGATGAAGCATCAGGAGTCCAGGAAGGGCTAGGATCCTGCTGAAAACCACATAATCGGTCACTTGCAGAGCCAGGAAAAAAATCCAGCTCCTTTGCCTGACAGTCCAGGGCTTTCCTGGGCTTGAGGGCCAGTAGAAACTACAGACCCAGAATAGGATGCTGCCCTTGGTTCCCCAAATGACTCTCTGTCTCCAGGCCCAGCTGGAAAAGGGATCAGTGGTTTTGCATGGAGTGTGTCAGTGCATCAGTTTTTGGATTGACTTTAAGATTTGGGATGAAAAGAGACAGAGGTGCTACCTCGGTCAGTGAGGGTCTGTCAGATGAAATGAGCCCAGACTCATCCTACCTGTACTTTTTGCATTATACTGTGGGTACTTTCTTGGCACAGAAAGCCTGTTTCACAGCCAGGTGGTTCCTAGGAGCATGGGCTCTGAAGGCTGTGGATCGTGCATCCATCTCCAGCCCCAGCCAGTCACCTGGCTTTCATAGCCAGATTCTGACTCTTGGCTCAGGCCGGCTGTCTGGCTCTTCCTCACAGGCCCTGGATATCTGCCTGACCTCAGTTTATTCCCTATTCTTTCCTACAGTGATATTTTTCCTGACGTCACTTCACTTATTGCTACTGTGATTATGCTTCCAAATCCTCTAGCTTTGACCCTGATCACTCCCTCTGACTCCGGGACTACACTTCTAGCTCTCTAAAGGCTTCCAATTGCTTGCAGTTTAGAACAGACACTTAGCATGGCCTCCAAGTCTTTTCATAATCTGGTCCCAAACTAATGCTGTAGCCTCACCTCCTGTCATTTCTCTATATGTTGTAGCCTTACAAGACTTTCCAAAGAGACCTCACACTTTCATATCTATAATTCTCCATTTATGATGTTCTTTCCTCCTGAAATGCCTTTTCTTGCTTGAAACATCCTACACAAACTTGAAGGTCCAGCTCAGATGTGACCCAGTTATCAGAATTAGAGTTCACAAAGATGGACGTGGGCTTGGAACAAGCAAAATCCCCGTAATCAGAATTAAACTCCAAAGGGTGAGGCTAGCACAATTTAAGGAGCTGTTGCTTTAGGCCAGATGTCATAAACTTTCTGCACAAGGCTAGATAGTAAATATTTTAGGCTTTGTGGGTCATACAGTCTCTGTTACAACTACTTAGCTCTACCATTGTAGCAGAAAAGCAGAAGGCAGCCATAGACAATATGGAAATGAATGGGCATTACTGTATTCTTTATTTACAAGAACAGGCAGTCTGTGGTTTTCTGACCCCTGTTTTAGGTTCTGTCTGGGGAAATTGGGTGGTTTGAATCTGTAGGTGACACCAAGTAGGAATAGCTGTAGAGGAACCAGGCAGAGTCAGAAAAATGTGCAAGGGACTCCCAGGTAGGGAATAGTGTTAGGATGAGGCACACGCAGGGGAGGGGAAGGCAAATATTAGAAACAGGAGGGAGTTAATTTTGGCTGGAGTATGGGATGCTTGAAGGAGAGAAGTGGGGATTCTGTTCAGAAAGGAAATTTAGGGCCAAATTGTGAAGGATCTTGATTAAGCTATTCTGTGGACAGTGGGGAGCCATTGAAGGTTTTTGATCAGTGGAATATGGTCACATATCCTGAGGTCAGGAGTTCAACACCAGCCTGGGCAACATAGTAAGGCCCTGTCTCTACAAAAAATAGAAAATAAAAAATAAATTAGCTGGTTGCACGCCTGTAGTCCCAGCTGCTTGGGAGGCCGAGGCAGGAGGATCACTTGAGCCCAGGAGGTTGAGGCTGCAGTGAGCCATGATCATGCCACCACACTCCAGCCTGGGTGACAGAATGAAACACTGTCTCAAAACAAACAAAGACAAACAAACAAGAAAAAAACAAATTCAGTTGGCCCAGTGAGAAGAATGATTGGAGGAGACAGGACTGGATACAGGAAGACCTGCTGGACAACCGCAGCTGTCCAGGCCATTGGTTCCTGATTGCTGGGCCTTGAACCAGTGCTGGTCTGAATGCCTAAGAATTGTTTGTGATGCTTGCTAAAAATACAGATTCCCAGTCCCACACCCACACACAAGAGATTTGGGTTTGGTAGATTCAGGATTTCTAACAAGCTCTCCAGATTGGGGCATCACTGGTCCAGGCAAGGCAGAATGAGGCCTGATATTAAGAGGGCAAGGATGCCAGAGAAAGGAAGGTATAGATAACATGAGATTTGGCCACTGCTCTCTTCCTCCTGTTACCTACCTCTGTTCATGACAGCCCCTCCACTTGATTCCTTGTTCTTCACACACCACCACTAGCCCCAACATCCTAATTTGCTTGTGTCCTGTCAGTTCTCTTTGAAATGAGTCTTCTTTTGCTTTTTTCCATTTTTACCCTTATTTAGGGTCCCATTAATGCTCAACTACCCTGACCTCCCTGTGTTCAGTCCATCAAGATAATCATAAAGCCCAGCTCAGTCACTCTCCAGAAACTTTTTGGGCTGCCTTTTATTTTAGGATGAAGGTCAAGCTCCTGAGCTTAGCATTCAGGTCCCTTCAGGAGCTTACTCTCCTTCCGGTCTTTCCAAGCACATCCCTGCCACTCCCCCTCATCTGGTTGCTCTGTGCTTTTGAAATTATGCTGTACTTGTAGTCTTGCCCCATCCTAATGTCTCCTCCAGTCAACCCTGTTCATTCTTCCCTTTTTCCCTCCCTGCTTGTGTGTGACTGGATCTTCCTGGTGGGTAGAGTTAACTGCCAAGGGAGACCTCCCAGGACCTTTGTGCATCGTAAATGTGTGTCTTCTCCATCCGAAGTCCTAATCCTCTGCTTGTGACGGACAATTGGTCACTATGGCAACTGACTGTGACGTCACAGGATAAGGACTTCAGGTGAAGTGGCAGGAGCAGGTGAGTATGTAGGAGACAGATTTCAATGTCTGTTGAAGGCCCCCCCACACCCTCCTTCAGTGCCGGGGGCATGGAGGGATATCTTGGGCTCCTGCTGTTTTTTAAAATGATGCGGTGAGAGTGTGTGCCTGGCATCTGCGTGCTGCAGCAGTGTGGGGCTGACAGAGTGTGTCAACTTGAGCTCTGGCTGTGCAGGCACCGCTGCTGCGTGAGCCTGTTATTCCATTCTGGATTGCTATTTTGATACCCAGATTGCATCATTCTTCCTACGTATAAACAGGGGGTCCCCAGGGTCCTGCAGCTACTCACTTCACCACCAACACTGTTGTTGTGATGAGCTCTATTTAAATGAGCTGCCGGATCGGGGCAGGTTCCAGCCACACATGAGCACTGTCATTTTGGGGAACATGGAGGGCTGAAGGATTTTTGGATGGAGTCCTAAAAGGCTGAGAGTGCTGTCTCCCGAGCTGTGCAGAGGGCGACAGAGCTAGTTCCTGAAAGTTGAAAATGTCGTTTTCTTCCTTCTGAGCTTCTATTCCAAGGCACCCAGAGGATTAGGAAGGAGATGCAGCTAGGAAGAGAGTCGCCTCTTTGAGGTCTCCCTCTTGCTGTTCAGTTTGGGAAAATTGCTGCAGAGCCTTCGAGATAAACAGAAACAGGAGGAGTCAACCAAGCTCTTTCTTGCAGGAGTATCTCAGGTGAGCTAGAGAAATGCAGCCCTGGCTGAGGATGCATCAGAGAAAGGAGGAGAGGATCCAGGCTGCTCCCCTTACCCTATCCAGTATCCATTCCCCGAGGCTTAGGCCTTGCAGCCCGCCTGGCTGCAGCATGCAGGGTGGGTGTTCCTGGGCGCTTGGTAAGCGCCATCCTCTGGGACCTGTGGTGGTCTCACCTGTCGCTTCTCTGACTTCTCTCCCAGTGTTGCCCTAATCACGGCAGCAGGGCCACAGATAAGCCTGCTGGCAGCTGGGGCAGAAGCAGCAGTCACTTTAGGGGTGACTTGGACAAAAATTTGTCTTTCTAGCAGGGTCTGGGTATTTGGGGATTGGGTGCAACATGTTTCTTGAAGGTGGTGCTGCTCTGAGTGGTGGGTTGGAGGAAGCCTTCAGGGGCTGTGTGGTGGGGGCCTTAGCTGGTGCTCCTGGTGCTCAGTAGACTGGGGCTGCCCGGGGGTGGGAGGGCAGGACTGTTGGTGAGGATGTCCAGCCTGCCAGAGGATACAACTAGAGTGTTTTTTCTCGTTGCTTAGTGTCTGACAGAGGCATAGGGAGGTAGAGCATCTTACCTGTGGCTACAGAGGTAATCAGGGACTGCTTAGTAGTTCACGGTATCACCTATGTTATACAAGGGCCATGTGATTTTAGCTAAGCTCCTCCCTGTCCCAGGGCCTCCATGTCATCATCTGTGTGGTGGGGAATTGGCTGGATGAACAGTGAAGCTCTGTCCAGCTTTGGGTCTACGGGTTGGAACTAGCGGAGGAGCATCAGGCTCCTCCAGTGGATGCTATTGCTCTGTTGGGATCAGAGCTCGGACCCCAGCTTCAAGTTGCCTGGAGCCCTGGACAAGAGCTGTGGAATGAAGTCTTCCTAACCCTCAGAGGATTGCTTAGCATTGGCCTCAGGCTTATGCAACGAGTGTGTCCTCACTTGGTGGCCTAAGCTGACCCGATACCAGCTTTCTGAGACCTCTTTGGGATTTCTCTCCTCCCCTACCTCTCTGGTGTCCGTGTTGCCTTGGCCCTGCTGTTCATGTCTGAAACAGACATGTGTGGGCCCCACTTCCTTGCTGCCTCACTAAGTCTTAGGCTCAGCACATGTTCTAGGTCCCAGCAGCGGTCTTGGTAGTGCCAAACCTCAGGCTGCACTCTAGGCCTGCTCATGGGTCCTGCAGTTGAGCTGTGGGAGTCTGGCTCCCAGCTCAGTGCCAATCCCCGGGTACAGGGATATCAGGTCACTACCTGTCTGTTGGGAATCTGCCCTTTTCTCTGCCAGAGGGGAGCTACATCACAGCTGAATTCAGAGTCTTTCCTAACTTCTTAGAGTCTCTTTTTAAAGCGGGGTGAGCCTGCCTTTCTCAGCTGCATGATACAGGAGACAGCTATCAGGCTCAGCCACAGGGGAAGGGGATGCTCTCTCTAAGGTGCTGGGTCTCAAACTTGGTTGTACATTGTATTCGCCTGGGGAATTTTTTACACATGTAAAGTGCCTGGTTCAGAGAGTGGTGGTGTACACATGAAAATTTATCCCACACCTCTCAAGGACCAGAAGTGTTTGCACTTGTGACAGATGGACTAAATGTCCTCCGTTTTCAGAGCTGCTCTGCTAGGCTCCTAAGTTCTCAGGAACACCTCTGGTGTCTGTGACTTCCTCATTCTGGAGGCAGAAGCCCCACATCTCCTGAGGATAATCATGTGGACTTGGGGCCCTGTCTCTATATTTCTCAGAATCAGTGTTCTTATATGTGAAACACAAGAGTAGGGCTGTCATTTGAATAATAATTAACTGAATAAAATAGAAAAAAGCATGATATCTAAATAATATTTTATGTGCAGTGTGATTTAAATATGTATTTATAACTAAACTAATATTAAATATTGTTAAGTAGATGTTTGATTATACATAGCTCTAAGAGTTGATATATGCCTTGTCTAAAGTAAAACTTTGTTTTGATATCCTCATTAAAAGATGGAGAATCTCTTTAAAAATAATAAAAAGTCAAGGTTGACACAGCTTGATGGGGTTAGGGACTTTGTGAGGGAAGAGAAGAATTTCTGGACAAAGGTGTTGTGACACAAAGGGAGTGCATGTCCTTTGGATCCACTCTGGGGCCCGCAGCCTCCCTGGGACAGTGCCTGCACCACTGTGATGGTTCTCCACCTCTGCTCTTTGCTGCACAGCCCCTCTTAGAGGGCTAATCTCTTAAATCCAGGATTCCTTTCAACTACGAGCTTGTTCCCTGACTTTCTGACAAGGCTGATAGCCAGGGTGCCATTTGGCTGTCTGTTCCTTCCTATCTTGCCCAAGAGAATATTTTTTTTTTAATTTTTTATTTTTATTTTAATTTTTTTTGGAGACAGAGTCTCACTCTGTTGGCCAGGCTGGAGTGCAGTGGCATAATCTCAGCTCACTGCAAGTTCCGCCTCCTAGCTTCAAGCAATTCTCCTGCCTTGGCCTCCCGAGGCTGGGATTACAGGGTGCCCACCACCACGCCTGACTAATTTTTGTATTTTTAGTAGATACTGGGTTTTTCTATGTTGACCAAGCTGGTCTCGAACTCCTGACCTCAGGTGATCCTCCTGCCTTGGCATTCCAAAATGTTGGGATTACAGGCATGAGCCACCGTGCCTGGCCTCCAGGAAAAAAAAACGTCTGGCTGCTGTAGGCAGAGTAAATGGGTTGGATAATTTGTACTCCCCTGCATTCCTATTCCCTCATTTTAATGGTGTAGAAAGTAAGGTTGAGTGAAAGGGGGTGACTTACCCAAGGTTACATAGTTAGATACTGCCAGCCCTGGGCCTAGAACTCATATTTTTTAATTAAAAGCTTTTCCCAAGCCCCACACCTCTGCTTTCCTTATAAACCTGCACTGGCTTTTTTTCCAGAAAACTTCCAGGTGGCTTCTTACTACTTTCAGTGCTGTGAGTGCAAGGAGTACACATGGAACACACAAACTCCCGAAAAATGCAGTCCTCTGCCAGGCACAGTGGCTCATGCCTGTAATCCCAGCACTTTAGGAGGCTGAGGTGGGTGGATCACTTGAGGTCAGGAGTTCGAGATCAGCCTGGCCAACATGGTGAAACCCTGTCTCTACTAAAAATACAAAAATAGCCAGGCGTAGTGGCAGGTGCCTGTAATCCCAGCTACTCAGGAGGCTGAGGCGGGATAATTGCTTGAACCCAGGAGGCGGAGGTTGCAGTGAGCCGAGATTGTGCCGCTGCAGTCCACCCTGGGTGACAGAGCAAGACTCCACGTCAAAAAAAAACAAAAACAAACAAAAACAAAACAGAAATGCAGTCCTCATTTACCATCATCAACTAGATTCTTAAAAACTGTGATTTTAAGCAAAACAATGTACAGCAGTTCCTTAAGTAAACATCCTTTTGTTATAACATTGATGAAGAAAACTGGTTTCATTATATGTCATCATACTTAAAGTTGCCGTTTCCAAGAACCTACCACTGATGTTAAGTGAGGACTTACTCTATAATTGTTCAATCTGCTAAAAACCAGGTAATATCCTTTAATACCAACTGTGGTTTATTTTTGTGTGCAGACATATGAACAGGTATTTAAAATGCAATGTGATATTCGTTGTACTGGAAGGATGTTCAGGGTGCTGCGGGAACCCAGAAGAGGGACTAATTAACTCATCCCGGGGGAAATTGATCTTGCTGCTCAAAGGTGGAACATTTGAACAGGTATGAAAGGATGAATAGGAGTTTATCTGAAAAGGAGAGGGGCAAGAAAGAGTATTTCAGGAAGAGGAAACAGCATTTTTCACAGACACAGAGTCATGCAAAAGTCTGGTGTATTCAAGAGATAGCAGAGATGTTGGGCATGGCAAAAACACAGGTTGTATGTTAGGCAAAGCTAAAGATGAGATTAGAGAGAGATAAGGTCAATTTACAAGGGGCATTGAATGCCAAGCTGAGGACTTTGGCTTTAAGGCCAAGGGAGCAGAGGATGTGTGATGAGGCCTTGTTTGACCTATTCAGTTCTTTCTCTTTTTTCATTCTGCTCGTGAGGCCATGTTACAATGACTGATGTTTGGGCATCTGGTACCCGGGATGTCTTGTGGAAGTCGTTTTCAACAATTAGAGCAGCATTTCTGTCCTGCTGTAGATGAGGAGGTCACCTCAGGGTGAGCCAAGTGGAAGAGAGGGACAGTAGCCTTATTCCCCTGGATGATGTCACCTGTGGAGAGCATCCTTCTCCACCTCTGGCCATTGTTCTTGACAGGCAGGAGAATATGCAGGACATTCCAGATACAGTCCTGTCATTAACACCCATGGCTCTGCAAAAACTCAGAAAGTTTTTCTTTTCTTTTCTTTTCTTTTTTTTTTTGGTGGGGTGAGGGAGTATTAAACTATTATTTTTCATGATTTTGTGGATTTCTATTTTCCTGGGATGTATCAGTTAGCTTTTACTGCATAACAAGCCACCTCTAAACTTTGTGCTTAAAACAACTAAACTTTATTTATTTTATGATTCTACAGTTTGGCTGTTTGGGCTGGGATTCTCTGGGTAATTCTTCTGGTTTGGCCTGGGCTTAGCTAATTATAACTGTGTTCACTCTTGCACTGTATTCAGCTAGTGGGTTAGTTGGGGCTGGCTGGTCTATGATGGCCTCAGGTGGGATGCCTGAGACAACTGAGAACTTTCTCTGCATGATCTCTCATCTTCCAGCAGTCTCAATGCCAGGTTAGATTTTTCACATGGCACTCTTAAAGTTCTAAGAACAAGAGCAGAATTATATAAGGCCACTGAGGTCTAGGCTTGGAAAACTTGTCACTTTTGCTGCATTCTGTTGGCCAAAGAAAGTCACAAGGTGAGCTTAGATTCAAAGGGCAAAGGGTCCTACCTCTTTTAAAAATTAAAAACTCATCACTGACCTGAAGCTCGTGGAGAGTCTTACCTTTTGATGGTAGGATTGCAAGGGTATGGATGCAGGGAGGGGAAGAATTTGTGGCCATTTTTTGAATCTACCACTCAAACTAACTTTCGTCACCAGAGAGTTGGTAATTGAGTTTATTGCATTACTGTGAATAGGATATGAGGAATCTTTTGAACTCCAAAGTTGACATTCATGGAGGACCATGTGATTTCTGAAGTCTTATCTAATTTAATGTGCACAGCAACTCTTATTTTCCCTATTTTACATATGAAGAAACTGGGGTACAGGGCAATTAAGTGAGATTAAGTGTTTTGCCCAAGGTCATTGGCTGGTAGGCCTGGTATTTTGGACTTACATTTGTCTGACTATAAGTCTGGAGCAACTGCCATCATATCATTCTTTCGTATTTTGAAGAGATGAGACAGAGGAGATTGTAGCGGTACTGCTGCATTCACTGCCATAGCCAACCCCTTTCCAGATCACCCTCATCCCTGGACACAGGTACCTTGCCCTACTCCAGAGGCTCATTTTCTTGTTCCTAGTAGGTTGACTGCCCTTGCGGTGGGCCGGCAGAATCACTGTGGTCTCCAGGGTGGGAGTCTTCTGCTGCTTTTATAGTCCAGAAGCCCACTATGCTGAAGAATATGTTAGAGACTGATGTATTTCTCTGGGGAGAGATTGTAGGTCAAGCTGTTCATAGGTAAAATATACATATATATGATGCATCTAACTTGGTCTATGGGGAGAGAGCCCTCCAAAAGACCTCTGAGCCTCAGAGGCAGACTGACTGGTATATGCTGTACTAAGAGAAAAATACCTCCTAGATGAGCGGGCAGGGAGGCCTTGCCTTTCTCTGACTAAAGCCTTCTGGAGGCTTTAGCTTCGAGATCTTCCAAGTCATCCTGCTATGTGGTAACCTTAATGACCTGGAACTGTGCCCAGACTAAACTGACTCTGGATCTTGGCTAGTGATGGGAGCTGTGCTCTCAGGGATGTGGAATGAGGAATGGGAGCAGCAAGAAGGCACCTGATTGTCAGAACCAAAGCAGCGTTGGGCCTGTAGTAGCATGGTTTATGGGGCAGGGAGGAAGGTAGGACCAGGTAAAGACAAGAATGTGAGGAGACCAGATGGTCTGTAGGGAAGGCCCCAATGGGATGGTCATGTTCAGGGTACCCACATACTAAATGCAGGCTATGGCATCAAGTGTAGTTCATTTTGGCACACATGGGTATTGCCATGTATCTTGGTGTTGTGTATTAGAAAGCCTTATGTCCAGGCCTTAGTTATAATCAGCCATGTTGCCCTGACTCTGCTATCTTTCTTTCTTGCACAGAGCTCATCTCCTGTCCTGGGTGTGAACGAGTATATCTTACCAGGGATGTAACTGAACATTTTTTTCTGCATTGTGTTCCTACTGAGCAACCCAAGATGGCCAGGGTAAGTCAGGACAAGGAAAGAAGCAGCTGATCTTTTTCAGAAATCTGTGAGGCCCCTGTCCATAAGTCTTCTATCCATCCATCACTCTATCATCTGATTTGTTACTTCTCCATCAGTTTTCCTAATCATCCATCCATCCATCTAGAAGAAAATAAAAATGCATGAGTTGGGGGAAACAATGAGGGGGTTTTCTATTAAGTGAAAATTATTGACTTTTTTTTGTGTCAATCCCTTTAGCAGAAGGTGAATGTAAGTTAAGATATATTAAGAGTTGCTTACTGTCTATATAATTATTTTTCTCTCTCTTACAGCTCTTGCTGAAAAATACCAGTACTGGGCTTTTGTTTTATTTTTTTAATCATCCTGAGTTGAAATTCATGTACCAGCCTGGATTAAATGGGTTTATTAACCTTGCCTGTATTTAACAACTATCACCTTTTTCCTGAGTTTCTTAAGGAAATTTTTATCACTTATTGGCCGGCAGCCCTTCTGTTCCTCTTTCCACTAGGGTAAATTAGTAAATTAGTAATTTACTAATTTACTTACTTGTTCCTGTATCTGATTTGTGTTGAATGTCTCACATGTGCCAGACCCTGTGCTGGATATTAGGGAGATCGACCCATATACTCTACATTCAAGGAATTCATAGTTTAATTAGTAGAACTTTCAGAATTCACATCAGTTTGGTGGCCTCTGTGATTCAGACACAGATAGGCCAACTTTTCCAAATCTCCCCTTCTCTTGATGTTTTATAATAGCCCGGGCAAGATATTTGCTTACGAAATGAATGAACATTTGGACTAGGAGAGGCCTAGGTACCCTCAGATCAGGCAGAGCCCAGGTGTGGGAGCACAACTCTGAACGCTGGTCTATACTTGCCCTTCCTTGGTTGCATTTGACCATCTTGCTGTGTACTCCCATATGTGGGCTTTCTCCTCTCTGAAGCACATTGAATTTCCTGCTTTTGCCAGTGCTTTCCCTCTGTTACAACATTTTCCTCCCTTATCTGCCTGGTGAACCTACTTGTCATTCAGTATCCAGCTCAAGTGTTTCCTTTTTGTAAAACCTTTCCTAGCCACTCCTAGACTGAGTTCCAGGAAGGCTTCCTTTGCTTCCTTAGCATGTGTTGCATCCTTTTAATTACAGCATTACTCAGTTAATGTGTACCATCCTGTGTGCTGTGGATAGCATGAGATCAGATCCTTGGCTTACGCATCTGGGTGTCCTTAGCTTCAGCACAGGACTTGTGTGAACAGCCCCTGAGACAGCTGCTGCTGCTGCTCCTCCTCCTCCTCCCTCCCTCCCTCCCTCCTTCCCTTCCTCCTTCCCTTCCTCCTTTTCCTTCTGCTCCTTCCCCTCCTCCTCTCCTCCTCTTCCTCCTCCTCCTTCTTCTTCCTTCTCCTTTGCCTTCTTCCTCATCCTTTTTTGAGACAGGGTCTTCCTCTGTTGCCCAGGCTGGAGTGTAGTGGTACGATCTTGGCTCACTGCAGCCTTGACCTCCTGAGCTCAAGCGATCTTCCCACCTCAGTCTCCCTAGTAGCTGGGACTACAGGCATGTGCCACCACTCCCGGCTAATTTTTGTATTTTTTGTAGAGATGGGGTCTCACTATGTTGCCCAGGCTAGTCTGAAACTCCTGGGCTCAAGCACTCCTCCTGCCTTGGCCTCCCAAAGTACTGGGGTTACAGGTGTGAGCCACCATACCTGAAGTAGCCACTGTTCTTTTGGTTACAAAGGATGCTTCCTTCCACAAGCCCCGGCATGTTACTCCCAGACAGCTCTGCAGAATAGGTTACACTCCAAACTGGTGGAGGAATAGGCCTGCAGGACCCCTGTCTTTAGAGCATTTACCACTTGTGGAGGCAGACACAAATGAGGATAACATCAGTAACTCCAGAACTCTCTGCTTCCAGAACTGCTCTGAGTGCAAGGAGAAGAGGGCAGCACATATCCTCTGCACCTACTGCAATCGCTGGCTGTGCAGCTCTTGCACAGAGGAACACCGACACAGCCCTGTCCCCGGGGGCCCATTCTTTCCTCGGGCCCAGAAGGGATCTCCAGGTACCAATCCCACCTCTCCCTGCCCACTCCCATGCCCTAAAGCAGGGCTGAACCCTAAGATCCCTGGAGAATAGCTCTCCGATCTTGTTTTCTTGCTGGGGGAGAAGGTAGGGACAGTCTCAGAGCCTTTCCCAAAGGAAGTCTCCTTCAGAGTCAAAGGGGTGACTCACTCTCGTCCCTCCCTGTTGATGGTGGGGGTGGATGAGTGTGGATGAAATGGTATAGAGAGGAAAGTGTTGAATTATTGTGGAAGCTGGCTGAGCTCCCTGCCTTTCCCCTCTAGAGTAATCATGTTACCCTTCTAATTTATTTACTTGATTAACTTAGTCTGGATTAGGGCTTGTTTGTTTGTCTACCCAGCACCATCTGTTTTATTTTTATTTTTATTTTTATTTTTTTTTGAGATGGAGTCTCACTCTGTCACCCAGGCTGGGGTGCGGTGGCATGATCTCGGCTCACTACAACCTCCACCTCCTGGGTTCAAGCGATTCTCCTGCTTCAGCCTCCCAAGTAGCTGGGATTACAGGCATGCGCCACCGCGCCCAGCTAATGTTTGTAGTTTTAGTAGAGATGGGGTTTCGCCATGTTGGCCAGGCTGGTCTTGAACCCCTGACCTCAGGTGATCCGCCCACCTTGGCCTCCCAAAGTGCTGCGATTACAGGCGTGAGCCACTGCGCCCAGCCACCATCTGTTTTAAATGACAATCTTCTTGAAAGTCTTTTCTCAAGGCCCTTGAATTGTGGGAGGGGTTCTACAACTGTCAAATCCACAGGAACCAGAGTTCATGATCCACGTGATCTAGCCTGGAGCCTGGCAAGGCTGGATAGCTGGTTTCAGCTCCATTAAAAACAGAATCCTGATTAATGAACAGGTTAAGGTTAATTGTGAAGGATTCATTATTTTGCAGGAGATCTATGTGGAGTAGTAGCAAGCGCCTTCCTCAGCCTCTGGCAGGTAGTGGGATGCTTGGGCTTGATGGTGTGCTATTTCTGGACAACTGGGCAAATCCAGCCAAGCTCAGCCCAAAATCCTCCTTGTGCCCCTGGAGAGTCATCTCCTGTTTATAACACTTCCCCCGAGCTCTGTATTTCTGCAGTGTCCTCTGAAGGCTGAGAGCTGTGCAGCAAAGCTTAACTGAGAGGTTTGTCTACCTGAGCAAGAGAAGCTCACTTTCTCTGTCTTCTCTGGCAGGAGTGAATGGTGGTCCCGGAGACTTCACCTTGTATTGTCCTCTACACACACAGGAAGTACTCAAGCTATTCTGTGAGACATGTGATATGCTCACTTGCCATAGCTGCCTAGTGGTGGAACACAAAGAACACAGGTGGGGCTGACAGACTGCCTGAAATGGGCTGGGGAGGGCTCTGGATTTCTTACTTGTGAGAGCTCTGGGAATCCCCGTGCATCAGAATCTTCTCCCTGCCCAAGCCAACCTGCAGCCCCTGGGCTGAAGTTTTTCTCTGCTCCTGTTGTAGGACTTCCCTGGAAAAGGCCTAATGGGCCAAGAGCCTGTGGTGCCTTAGACTTTCCCTAGAAGTCATCACAGCTTCCATGGGTCTGGCTGAGACAGTTCCCTGTGGAGATTCCCGCTTGGTTGGCATGCTCAAAGTAGGACTCAGCCCTTCTCAGCTTTTTCTCTGCCTCATCCCCTAGGTGCAGACATGTTGAAGAAGTTTTGCAAAACCAGAGGATGCTTCTGGAAGGTGTGACTACACAGGTGGCACATAAGAAATCCAGTCTACAGACATCTGCAAAGCAAATTGAGGACAGGTAGCACAGGCTAGTGCCTTGCCAGTGCTGGAAATGCTCTGTTCCCGCACACCCAGGGTTCCAACACCAGGCCGTCAGATGTAGTGCCTGTGAAGAGGAACTGTGGTTAAGCAGATGTGGGCATATGTCCTAGAAGGCATATGTCTTGGCCTTTGAGGTCTCAGGGCCAGGGAGGGGTCATTAAGTCATCCCTTGGTGGCTGAGACCAAGCTAGGTCAGGATGATCAGAGTGAGTCTGGGTCAAAGAATATGCCTTATGAACTAGCCAGAAGTCGGTGCTTGAGAACAAGGGTACCAAGCAGACACTAGGGAAGAGAGTGCTGCTTATTATGAGGGTGGAACAAACCAGGGGCAATCTGTGCTTTATCACCCCTTTCCCTGTGTGTTCTCTGTAAATCTACAAGTCACATGAAATCATTGGTATTTTACATAGGAAGAGGAAGTGGTAGGTGCTGAGAGCACCTCATGTGTCAGGCACTGGGTTGGGTATCATATATGCATTATTTTGTTCAGTTCTTGCCATTCTTTCAGTTAGCGATTTTCTCCATTTTACTGATGAGGAGACTGAGGTTCATAGAGGTTTGGTAACTCATCTGAGATCACACAACTAGCCAGTGACTGTGCTGGGTTTAGATGGTAGGTCTGTGGTGACTTCAATGCCCATGCTTTTTAAATTTTTAAAAATAGCTTTACTGAGATATAATCTACGTATCATAAAATTATTCTTTTTAAATGTATAATTCAGTGGCCTTTAGTATATTCACAGAATTGTGCAACTGTACATAATTACTGTCTACGTTTAAAACATTTTCATCCCCCCAAAAAGAAGCCACATTAATATAAACATTATTATATGTTTATAATAAACATTATATTATATGTTTATTGTTTATTATATAATTATATGTTTATTATTGTTTATTATATAATATGTTTATTATATAATATGTTATTATGCCAATAATATAAACATTATTAGTCACTCTCCATTCCCCCAACACCCCCCGGCCCTCAGAAACTACTGAGGCAGTATGCATTCTGCCTCTTTTTACCTCATGGCGACATTTATTGGAGCATCCTCCTTTTAAACACAACAAATTACAGTAAATTATTCCCATACTTTCTCTTTTGGTCCTACCTCTAGTGCTGTGTCAACTGGTGGGCTACTGGGTTGACCTTGGTGTAGACTTGAGGTTTACCTAGAGAAAACCAAGCTGAACTTTGATCAAGTGGGGCTTTGTACAAAAGGTGGGATGGTGGAGGAAGGCTCTCTTTTTTTTGTATTTGGTGTCTGCTAGGCCCTGATCTCAGTAGGCAGCCTCCAAGTTGGTTCTTATGTTTGCTGTCTCTTCGTCTTCATATAGTCCATGAGGAAAGCTTACCATGGTTTGTCCCATTGTGTTTACAGGATTTTTGAAGTGAAGCATCAGCATAGGAAGGTGGAAAACCAGATCAAAATGGCCAAGATGGTTCTGATGAATGAGCTGAACAAACAGGCCAATGGGCTAATAGAGGAATTAGAGGTATGTATAGACAGATGGATCAGATGGTTGGGTTCAGAAACCATCCATATATCAAGCTAGTCCCAGGACCTAGGGAAGCCTAGGCTGTAATTCAGATATGCAGCTTCCATAGCTCTGTGCTGCTCCCTGTATTTTAAAATGTCAGCCTAATTTTGGGAGGGTGGCTCATTAAGGGCTAGAAAATCAGTTCAAACTGATTTTTGATGCTATGTCTCTTAGGCAGCTTCCATCCTTAACTGCTCAGGGTTATAGTCTTGGAAGAGAAAGTCATGAAACAAACCACCTTCTTCACCAATTTATGCCCAAGAGATGTAGACATTTATTCATTTCCTCTTTCATTTATTACCCATTCCATATTTGCACTATAAAATCTCCCACCATCTCCCCCTCCCCTTTTCCATCAGCCAGCATCCCATGGCAACACTCTGCCCTGCTGTCCTCTCAGGGGTGTAGTCTCATCTGATTCCATCAGTGACACACACAAGCCACCAGACTTCCCAAGCAGGTGGATTACAGTCCAGTAACAGGATCAAGGACTCTGTCTTCTCTCTGTACCCAGGGGATTACTAATGAGAGAAAGCGGAAGCTGGAACAGCAGTTACAGAGCATCATGGTTCTCAACCGTCAGTTTGAGCATGTGCAGAATTTCATCAACTGGGCTGTCTGCAGCAAAACCAGTGTCCCTTTTCTTTTCAGCAAAGAGCTGGTAAGAGGAATCTCCCAACTCCTCAGCCTGTCCTTGAAGCTTATCAGAGCATCCCCTTTGTCAGAGGGGCAATGAGGCAGTCCTTGGAAGTGCCTTTTCTTTTTAGGATGGAAGGAGGAATAACATAGCAGCTCCATCCATCCTTCAAATTCAATCACTGCTTTTGGGTTAGTAAGTAAACACCATCTTTTACCAAATCCCATAGTGCAAAGAGGACACAGGTGCTGAAATGGTCCTGCCCTCCCAAAGGTAGCTCAGTTGGGAAAGTCTGTAGTTCTTTGTCATAGGTAATTGATTCAGACATTACCCTGGACATGAGCAGTGTGCTGGGCATCTCATAGAAAGTTACTGGGGTTTACACGGGGGTCTGAGAGAAAAGGAGTTGGAGATAAGGTTGAAGTATTAGGCTTGAGAGGACGGCAGCACCCAGGAGAGGGAGCAAGAATTTTGAGAGAAGTCGATGGAGTTTATATTTGAATACTTTGAATCTAAGGTGCCTGTAGTGCATCCAAAACCAACTCCAAGCTACCTACCATTAAAAAGCCGTTTTAATATATGGGTGTGGAAGTCAGAAGAAAAGTTGGTTTTGGAGAAGGAGATGTAGGAGTCACCAGGAAATCAGTGGTATCACCTTGGAAGAGTGTGTGGAGCAAGAAGAGAGAAAGTCAGGAACCCAGGGAATACCGTCATTTTCAGCATAGACAGAGGAAGATGATGACTGGAGGAGAGTGAGAAGCAGTGGTCAGAGGTGAGAAGCAATGGTCAGAGGTTAGAAGCAAAACAGAGTGTGGTACACAGAAATGAACAGTTTCCAATTTTAAGTGGTCCATTTGACAATGCTGCATGGGTGAAAGAAGATGAATAGTGACGAGCAGCCTCTGGATCTGGGAATCAGGCTATCTTCTGAAAGAAGCTCCAGTGAAGTAGAAGGGTCAAAAGCTAGAATGAGGAGACTGAGGATGGGTGGTGACGAAGTAGAGACAGAAGTGAAAAGAAGAAAAATAAAAACATAGCCTGAGAAGATGGCAGAGTTGGGGGAAACTTTTTTTTAAGCTTGGAAAACATTTGCACACATGTATATGGGAGAAGAGGTTGAAGATAGAGAGGAGGGGTGTGTGGTGGGGTAAGTACACTGAGAAAGCAGGAGGAAGGATATAGAGTGAACTGGTTGACCTTAAACACAAGGACAGTCCCTTCGTCTGAGATGGGAGGACAGGAAGGGGACAATGCTGTAGTTAAGTTTGAGGGTAGAAGGGATACAAGTTGGGGTAATTTATCCTTTATGGTGTCTTTTTTTTCTCTGTGAAATAGGAGGTGATAATAAGAGGGTTAAAACATTGGTAAGTAGCACCAAAGTAAAGATTTTAAATGGTCATTGAGTGCAGTGGAAGAGAAAGATGACAAGAAAAGAAGTGACAAGAGAAAGGGCTGAGGGGTGCTGCTGAAATTCATAATCACTGAAGTGGCCCCAGATAACATGGCTTTGGTATGGCTGGATTACCTAAGAGTAGGAGTTGGCGATGGGGAGGGAATTAGGACACTAGTGATATCATGACTGTAAATGAAAGGAAGCTGGGAAGTCCTGTGGACTGAAGGAGCAGGGCTTGGAGAGGTTGAACAACATACTCTGAAAGAGCATGAACTTGTTATGACCAGGGTGGGTTGTTGGAGTTTAAAGGTCTCATAGGTAGAATGGTTGTAAATGATGAATAGGGTCTAGGTATGGTGACTAAACTGAAAACAAGGTGGTTGCCATGCAAGAGATCAATGAAATGAGAGGCTAAGATGTTCGTTGGGACATTAGTTAACTAGAGGATAGCAGGGTAAGTTGGACACTTGCCAAAGCCCTGGATAAATAGGAGAGTTAGTGATGAGAAATAGATGAAAGTGTTGGGAGAGGAAGAGGGCTATTGAGTAGGACAGAAGGGTGTTTTACCTGCAAGTGGAAGTACAGCAATGGGGAGCTCAGACAATGCCTGCCCCCACTAGGCTTTTAAATTGAGGTGATGGTAGAATGAATGGAGCTGCCAGTCAACGATGTAGTGAGGGAGAATGACAAATCACTTAAGGCCTGAAAAGATAAGAATGTAGGGGTTCCAGGCCAGGTGCGGTGGCTCACGCCTGTAATTCCAGCACTTTGGGAGGCCGAGGTGGGCAGATCACGAGGTCAGGAGATCGAGACCATCCTGGCTAACACAGTGAAACCCCGTCTCTACTAAACAAAATACAAAAAATTAGCTGGGCGTGGTGGCGGGCACCTGTAGTCCTAGCTACTCAGGAGGCTGAGGCAGGAGAATGGCGTGAACCTGGGAGGCAAAGCTTGCAGTGAGCTAAGATCGCGCCACTGCACTCCAGCCTGGGCAACAGAGTGAGACCCCGTCTCAATTAAAAAAAAAAAAAAAAGAATGTAGGTTCCAGGAGCCTTGATAAGAGGAAAGGGATCAGCTGGGAGGATGGACAGGTGCTAAGGTGCAAGAGAATGAGAATATGGAGGATGACCAGAGGTTAAAGGGCCATGACTTTGAGCCTTTCAGCTTGTCCAAAGAGTAAGGGAAGGGGAGTTGTCATTTAGGTGCAAGATGCCCAAATAAATGACCTTTGGTGCTGTTGTCAGATTGTGTTTCAGATGCAGCGATTGCTGGAGACAAGTTGTAACACAGATCCTGGCTCCCCTTGGAGTATCAGATTCACCTGGGAGCCTAACTTCTGGACCAAGCAGCTAGCTTCTCTTGGTGAGCTTGGACCCACCCACCCAGGCCTACCCACCCTGTGGGCTTTGACTTAATTGCTTACCTTACTGGGTAGGTCAGCATATGCCCAAGAGAAAGCACTCTCTGGGACTGCCAGTGGTCATGGAATCATTCAGCAAACCTTTTTTTTTTTTTTTTTTTTTTTTTGAGGGGGAAGAGGAGAGGATGAGGAATTAAATAACAGTGGCAATATAGGACTTTGTATCAGGATGAGTTGAAATCTGAGTTTACCATTCTGTGTAAATGTCCTGTTACATTGGTTTTATTGCTGAGGAGGAGACAAGACAGTCACCCTGCTCTCCGGAATGCTGTATGGCAGTACAGATGAATGTGTGTCTCTGTGGTCACACAAAGGTATACACGTGTGGGCACAAGCAGGGGTATCTCAGCAACAGTGAGACTGCGTGTGCATGTTTGTGTCACACAGACATATCCTTTCGAGTTGAGATGTAAGCAGATAATTCATGGCCTTGTGCATTTTTCTTCCCTGCTGCAATCATTTGCTGGCATTCAGTCTTTAGGCAGAATGTAGACAGCTTGAAGTTGTGCCTGTGTTGACAGCCTAACGAGTGTTAAACTGATGGCCAGCTGCTGCCTTCATTTGAGGCTGTTAATCTTATTGAAAATTTGTTGAACTTGGCAAAGTGACAAATGATATGTAGGTTTATTTCTTTTCTTCCCTCTTTCCTTTGATTTAACTCAGCAGACCTTTGATGGCCACCTACTCTTGTTTAGGCCCCATGCTGAGCACCAAAGAACCAATGGTGAATAAAACACATTTTCCTTAAGGAGCTCAGACTTCTTCTAAGTAAGTCTCACCAAAATAATGAGAGGAAGGAGTCATTAGACTGAGTTAGCCATAGATCTACTTGTGCACAAGGGACCTAGAGGCCTCAGGGGGCAGTGCCGGTGCCTGGCACTGACCTGGTGTATTAGTCCATTCTCGCATTATTGTGAAGAAATACCTGAGACTGGGTAATTTATAAAGAAAAGAGGTTTAATTGGCTCATGATTCTGCAGGATGTACAGGAAGCATGATCCTGGAACCTGCTCGGCTTCTGGGGAGGCCTCAGGAAACTTACAATCATGACAGAAGGTGAAGACGCACATCACATGGACAGAGCAGCAAGAAACAGAGCAAGGGGGAGGTGTTACACACTTTAAAGAAATCAGGTCTCACGAGACCTCTATCACAAGAACAGCACCAAAGGGACGGTGCTAAACCACTCATGAGGGATCCGCCCCCACGATCCAGTCACCTCCCACCAGGCCCCACCTCCAACACTGGGGATTACAATTCAACATGAGATTTGGGCGGGGACACAGCTCCAAACTGTATCACCTGGTATTAGAGCTTCCCCACTCTCTTCCGTCCTACTTGCTCAACACACAGTTCCCCACACCTGTATCTGGGAACTTGTTCATTGGTCCCAGGCATGGCTCTCTACCCTTTGCTACTTTCTAGCATACTCCCTCCCAACCCCAAAGTTGATTCTTTTTGTGAGAGTCTGATTGGGCTGTTCTGTTGGAAAAAAATGAGTGGGTGCTATTTGAGAGAGCTTGTGGTTTCCCTAGTGGGACAGAAACAGAGTCAGGGCTGAGCATCTGGTAAAAGCTGAACTAATTTCTCAAATATCCTAGGCCCCCAAAGCAGGTGCATACAGGTGCTATTACTGGCAGCATTCTAGACCGAGTCTAGGAGATCAAGGGTTGAGTTTCTTAATCTCTGTTCCTGGTACAGGATTGTTGAATGAGGTTCTTTTGTCCCAGGAGCAGGAAGTAGCAAGGTGGGAGCAACTTGAAAAACTTTTGAAAAACTCTCTATTCTGCATTTTCAGGCTGCATAACTACTGAAGGTGGACAAATGTCCAGGGCAGATGCTCCTGCTTATGGAGGCTTACAGGGGTCATCACCCTTTTATCAAAGCCACCAGTCTCCAGTGGCTCAGCAAGAGGCTCTTAGCCACCCCTCACACAAGTTCCAGTCTCCAGCAGTGTGCTCCTCATCTGTGTGCTGCTCCCACTGCTCCCCAGTCTCGCCTTCCCTCAAAGGCCAGGTCCCCCCACCCAGCATACACCCAGCCCACAGCTTCAGGCAGCCCCCTGAGATGGTGCCCCAGCAGCTGGGGTCTCTGCAGTGCTCTGCCCTGCTGCCCAGGGAGAAAGAGCTGGCCTGCAGCCCTCATCCACCAAAGCTGCTGCAGCCCTGGCTGGAAACCCAGCCCCCCGTGGAGCAGGAGAGCACATCCCAGCGGCTGGGGCAGCAGCTGACTTCCCAGCCCGTGTGCATTGTCCCCCCACAGGATGTTCAGCAAGGAGCCCATGCCCAGCCCACCTTACAGACACCCTCTATCCAAGTCCAGTTTGGCCACCACCAGAAGCTGAAGCTCAGTCACTTTCAGCAGCAGCCACAGCAGCAGCTACCACCTCCACCACCACCCCTCCCCCATCCCCCACCTCCCCTTCCCCCTCCCCCACAGCAGCCACACCCACCTCTTCCTCCATCCCAGCATCTGGCTTCTAGTCAGCACGAGAGCCCTCCTGGCCCTGCCTGTTCTCAGAACATGGACATAATGCATCACAAGTTTGAGCTGGAGGAAATGCAGAAGGACTTGGAGCTTCTTCTCCAGGCTCAACAGCCCAGCCTGCAACTGAGTCAGACCAAATCTCCTCAGCATCTTCAGCAAACCATTGTGGGGCAGATCAACTACATCGTGAGGCAGCCAGCACCTGTCCAGTCCCAGAGCCAGGAGGAGACCCTGCAGGTAAGCGTCAGGGTGGCTTGGCGTGCATATTCTGCCCATCGTAGGATCACTCAGGGAACACAGCCTCCCCAAAAACAAGGCAGCACAGGAATACAGTTTCTGCACCTTAGGGCTGCCTTGAGCTCAGCCCTCACATTTCAAAACTATGCTGGGCTCAACCTCCCACCTCAGAAAAGCTCCAGAGAGCATAGTACCCAGTCCCAAATTAGATTTAGGCTCAGTATACTCCGGAGTAGCTTGGCTTAGCCCTGTCTTCCTGGATGACAGTAGGGACCCTGCCCACCGATGGTACCTTCTGAGCTGTGCTGAACTCCTGCCAGTGCCAGAGCAGAAGAGAGGCTGTCTCTTATCTTGTCATCTCCCTAGCTCCCTTGCCGGACCTTATGAATCCCAGACAGGGGGAGGGCAGAGCTTAAGGAGCAGAGTGAGGGTCCATGTTAGATGCTGGCAGGCAGCACTTTTATAATACTGCACAGATATAGACTTAAACTTTTTTACTTCTACTAAGCTGGGTATGTTTTATATGCACCATATCATTTATCCTACCAACAATGTTGTTTGGTAGGCATTACCATCTCTGCTTTATAGGTATATAAGTGGGAGCTAGAGAAGGCTAGCAGTTTGTCTCCATATCATACAACATTGAGAGATAGAGCTAAGACTTGGATTCAGGTCTGCTGACATTTCTGTAATGCCACAGAAGTCTTCTTTCCACAGGAGGATATTGGATGGTGCACCTCTTTTTTCTCAGCTAAAAGACAGTTGAAACAGTTGAAGAGGTGCAGTTTGTACCCCTGGGATCTTTGCTACATTTCACATCTTCATTCTTAGCTCTTGATTTTCTTTTTCTTCCCCCCAGAACCTCCTGTTCTATCCTCTTTTCTCTACCCTTCTCTCACTTTTTCTATAGTGGTATCCCCTTTAAATCTGTAATCACAGTTATATCTTCAAAGCAGCTTTACAGATTTTTACTTTATTATAGAATATAAGGCCTCACATTTACGCTTCAGTACTGACAACTTCAGATCATGCTTCAATGTCTTCCCCTGAGGCCCAGTTCTTTTGAGGAGATATAGAATAATCCATGTGATGGCAGAGAAGGGTCTAGGGTTCATAGAGGGCCACAAGCTAAAATGTAAGTCAAAACTAGGTTATGATTGCTAAAGTGAATATCACAAAATTAGCTCAGAATTCTTGGTTTGGGTTTCATCCTAAGACATTCCCATTAGCGTGTAGTCTTTGGAAGAGTTGGGATAAGAGTATTTTTCTTTTTGGAAAACGTTTAAGCAGTCCACAATGTGCAAGTGGTGATGATGCACATGGCAGGGTGAGCACTAGCCTTTGCTGCCACTGCTGCTGCTGCTACGCTGTCTGCAGTAAAACCCACCCAAGTTCTTATTTTCTTCTCCAGGCTACAGATGAGCCCCCAGCATCTCAGGGCTCAAAGCCGGCTCTCCCTCTTGACAAGAATACTGCTGCTGCCTTGCCCCAGGCGTCTGGGGAAGAAACCCCTCTCAGTGTCCCCCCAGTGGACAGCACCATCCAGCACTCCTCTCCAAATGTGGTGAGAAAGGTACTGAAGGAGCCTGTTTTCCCTAACTACATGGGACCCACTGCCAGCCAAGACCCCAGGCACTTGGAGGAGGAGGATAGGGTGGGGGGAGGAGCGTCCCTGTTCCATCCCTGGACGCTACACAGCCCTGATTCATGCCTTCTGCCGTAGTGAGTCAGCAACCTAGATCTTCCTCCTCCCCATTTCCACTCCCCCACGCACACTTAAAATGGGACCTCCTGGGCTTCATGCAGAGTGGAAGGAGGAAGGGAAAGAGAGCCAATTTATTGAACATGTACTCTGTGCTTGGAACCGTGTGTGCTGCTTCACCAGCATTATCTCACCTCACCTCCAACATTTGTGGAAGTGAGCATCCCCATTGTACAGCTAAGGAAACTGAAGTCCAGGGCCTTACAGCTAGTAGACGAGAGAGCTGAGGTTTATTTAAAATGAGATCAGTTAGAATCCAAAGCTTGAACTTTTCTGTCCACAGTGAAGATGGGGAAAATATTTTTTGTGGCCTCCACAACCCAGAGTTGGATACCTTAGGATTTGAATCAATGGAATTTGTTGGGTGAGTGATCTGCAGGGATGTTCTACAGAGGTAGATGAGCAGCTGAGACACAGAGATCTCTTGAAGATGAGCTCTTGGAGGCCTTTCTGTCCACCCACCTACTAGCTTACTGAAAGTGTTCGCTTACCCTGGACATAACCCAGAACCCCACAAATCCTCAACTATCTATTCTCACCTCTGCCCCTTCACCCCCAACCCCTGTCATACATCTAGCTGGAGCCTCAGTGCTGTGCCTGTCCTCCACCCATTCCTCCTAGTGTCCCTTGGCCCTGTTTCACTTACGCTATTGTCTTCTCTGGCCTGGTGCCCTCAGCTCTCCAGTGCCTCCACCCAGCCCTGGACTTGAAGCTCTGTCAGGTGTTCTGAACTCTCCCAGCCTGTACCCTTGGCCCTGTAGCATCCCTCTGGCCCTGCAGCCCAGCTATGCTGGTTGCTCAGTGTACCTGCCCCTCACCAAGTTTCCCTAGCTCTGTACCATTGCAATGCATGTCTTAGAACAGTCAGTCTCCGTGACACTTGAGGAGAGTTTAGAAAAAAGAAGGGATGGCAAAAATGAAATGTCAGCTTGGAAATTGCTGGTGACTTTTGAGGCTTTTTGTCTGTGCCTGTCCTACCCTGTTGAAAATGACTTGGCATAGAGGCCCTTGAGGTACTGTATATTGGCCCTTTGTGGCTCTTAGATGTTTAACTTCTTGTATTTGGGCCAGCCACCTAACCATTCATCCATTTATTTAATCATTTAATGCATATATATAATGCATATATATATATATATATATGCATTAAATGATTATATCTATATCTATATCTGAGTATGTGCCCCATATTCTACTAGGTGCCAGGCATACATTGGTGAATAAGATAGTCGGTCCCATGCTGGAGAGTACAGTCTGGTGGAAGAGACAGTTAATCAACAATAATAAATTGTGGTAAAGTGCTATAATAGTCATTGGGGTACACCCCATTGGAGCACCTAGCTCTGGGAGAGGGGGCTGTTGACAGAAGACTTCTTAGGGGACATTATTTTAAGCTGAAATTTTGAAAAGGAGAAGTTGGGCTAGTGAAGGGTAGAGGGGTAGAACAAATAGTCAAAAGGAATGGCAACTAGGGAGCTTCAGAAGTGAGAGAAAGCCTGGGGCAGTTAGGGGGGCTTCAGATAATTTGTAATTTGGCTTGATAGGATCACGAGATGCACTGGGGAATGGGATGGATTGAAACCAGAGGGGCTGTAAGGCCTTCTAAATTATGCTTTGGAACTGGGATTCAGTCTTGGGGGATGTGAGGAGTAAGTGAAGGACTTCCAGAAAGGAGGGATATGGTTTGAATTAAGTTTGAAAGACCACTTTAGCTGTGGTAAGGGAGACCAGAATAGTACAGAGGAGAAACAGGAGGATGAATGAAATCAATAGCAATAGGAATGGAGAGGAAGCAAAGATTTCAAGAGATATCAGATCACAGGAGTTTTGGCCTCAGTGTCTAATTGATGATAGGTAAGGCAGAGAAAGCCCTTTGGCTTAACACCCAGGTGTTTTCCCATGCTCCCATCCCAGTGGATCTGTCTTGACCCACTGGAATGGGAGCATGGGAAAAAGAGCATATTTAGGGGAAGAAGTTAAGTTTTGAATTATTGCTATTCTTTTGTGGAATACACATTAGAAGATGACCTGAAGGCAGCTAGCTCTAGATGTCAGTAGTTCAGAAGCAAGCATGAGAGTTGCTGTAACCGCCTGATGGGTTCTTCTTGCCTGCTGCACAAGTGAAGACCATGGCATTGCAGTAGAGAAAGAGTTTAGTTGATGAGAGGCTGGGATTTTTCAAAGGCAGTTTGGGGAAGGGGTGGGGGTGGCTAGAAATAGGTGCTTGCTGCTGATTGGTTGGGATGGAGATGAAATCATGCGTTAAAGCTGTCCATTTGAGCTGAGTTGCTTCTGGGTGGGGCCACAGGAGTGGGATTGATGGATCTGGGTGAAGCCATGGATGTCAGACATGCAGAAAAGTTGAGAAGATATCTCAAAAGGCCAGTCTACAATAGGCCCAGGAATGATTACGGGAAAGGCAAGGGGTGGGAGTGGGTAAGTTAGATCAGATCTTTTTCACTGTCATAATTTGCTCATTGATATAATTTTTGCAAAGGTGGTTTCATTGCCAGTGCTCAGTTGTAGTGGAAGCCATGCAGAAAATGCTGCTTCTCATTTGATGAGGTTCAGTTCTGTTCCTATACACAGAGCAGAGGAAAGGAGCTGAGCGACATACATGCATGGAGTCAGTGCTGCTTGTGTGAATGGCCAACAGGGTTCCCTGAGCAGCAAGGGGTGCTGCCCTTTTGTGTGGCTGCAAGTTGGCAATGGGGTTAGCAAAGGTCCTAGGAATTCTATCTTCTCATTTTGAGCTGCTTCTGCCCCTTATTAAAAGGGACTCCTGTAGAGGTTTGGAGGGGCAGATGGCCTGGCATTCTTCATGTGTTTCATAGGCTTTTGATGGCTTGAACTCCCAGAAAAAGGACCCTCAAGTTTGTCATCCTGGCTTAGAGGAAGCTTTGGATTGGCAGAGAGAGATCAACCCTGACAGTGAGAGCCACTGGTTGTCCACAAAACTACTGCAATGAGGAAAAGGGCTTTCTTTTTGAGGAAATTTGTTGCCTTGGAGCTGGGGTTGGGCAGGGTGGAGGGTGTGAAGCTCAAGGATAGCAAACAACATTCTGAGCCTTTTACCATTGAGTGATAATACTTTGTATAGTATCGTTCTAATTTTTTCATAGGTTTTTACATGGATTATTTCATTTTATCTCTTTATCCTAGCAATACTATGAGGAAGCCACTTTCTTATTCCCCTTTGAAAGATGTGGAAACTGAGACACAGAGAGGTTAAGTGACCCACCTAAGAGTTATGCAGCCAACCCATTGGGCAATGTTAGGACCAGACCACGGGTCCTTGACAGCTCTGTGTTCAATGACTAGGTTAAATTGCTTCTCTTTCTGCACTGCAATGGGAGAAATAGGACTCCATTTGGCCTCTTACCTGCTGGATTTTCCTGTCTTTACAATCCTTGAAGTAGCCCGAGGCTTTGCTGGGGAGAGGTCTTAGGACCCAGCCTAGTTTGGTATTGGTTGTTTTATCTGGTAAAGGTGTTTTGTCCTCCATCCCACTCCCAGCCTGTGCTGGCCTGTGAGTGCCAGGAAAGTCAAAAGAATCTATCTGAAGGTCATGGACCAGAAGAACCTGTGGCACCACGCACCTTTCTGCGAGTTCCACACTGACTGTATTTCACCAAAAGAGGACTTTTGGTGAAGCAGAACATCTGCGTACAAGTACCTTGGAGTTGGTGCTATGTGAGCCGATGGTGGAAACAGGTTGCGGCTGAAAATGAGATGTGAAAGTTCTAGAATGGATTTTCTAGTGGCTTGAGCTCTGCAACCCCTTTTGAATGAATTTTGGTATTTGCCTGGCACCAGCTGTTGCCTAAGCTTCCTAATCTTGATTCAGCCACTCTGAAAGAAAGACCATGGCTACAACCCTACCACAGCAACCCTTACATCTCAAGTGAAACTGGGAGACATTTTGATGCATTCATTTCATGCTTCTGAACCAGTCAACTGCCGAAAAATACACACAATCCTTTCCTCAAAGGAGTTGGCCGGGTGTGGTGGCTCACGCCTATAATCCCAGCACTTTGGGAGGCTAAGACAGGCAGATTGTTTGAGCTCAACAGCTCGAGACCAGCCTGGGCAACATGGTGAAACCCAGTCTCTACAAAAAAACACAAGAAAATTAGCCAGGCGTGGTGGTGCATGCCTGTGGTCCCAGCTACTCAGGAGGTTAAGGCATGAGAATTGCTTGAGCCTGGGAGGCGGAAGTTGTAGTGAGCCGAGATTGCGCCACTGCACTCCAACTTGGGCAACAGAGCGAGATTGTCTTAAGAAAATGAAAAGCTCTCATGGAGTCAAAGCTGTAGGCATCACAGAAAGCCCTATCCGGGTCCCAGTTCACCTGCAAGAGGGACCTTTCTTCTGCTGCTCATAACATAGCCCCAGATCTTCAAGAGAGGACTTCGAGGCCACCAGCATGCGGCTCATGGCTTAGGAGCCTGAGATGTATTTCCAGTAAATGATACAGAAGCGGTAGGCATTCCTGTGATGCAGATTATTAAGAGTGATACAGAGGAGTAAAGGATAATGACCCAGGCAGATAGTATTTATACCATTATCAAAGCATTTTGATGCCCGATCTCTTAATTTGAGTCTTATAAAAACTCAGTGAGATTTACATTAAGCTGTGTAGGAGGAAATTAAAACCCAAAGCTGGACAATGACTTGCTTAAACTCATTAAACCCTGGTAACTGTGAGTAAATACTAGGCATCCTGCTTCCATAGTCTCCAAAGCTACTGCTATGGATCAGATTGTGGGTCCTCAACCTCAGGGACAATCTTTTCCTCATAGCCTAGCCCTGACAGCAGCATTTGCTCAGAATGTTCCCGGGGCCTGCTGAAGCTTTCTTAAGGCACAGCCTGCGTCCTGGTCAGCATCTGCAGAATTATACACTCTTTCTACTCAAGAGTCAGGCCAAACACTCCCCAAGTCTGGCTCCTGAACTTAGCACACTCTAAGAAGCCTGTCTCCTTAGTTCTATCCTGATTTCATTCACCATCCAAACCTAAGATTTTTGTCTAGGTCTCCTGGCCCATGAGAAAACAGGTCCTTGCTCCTATCTGTTTAATAAGACAGAATAGTGTGTAAAGTGTTTTAGAAGTACTCCTATTCAAAATAATTTTTTTTTTTTGAGATGGAGTTTCACTCTTGTTGCCCAGGCTGGAGTGCAATGGCACGATCTCGGCTCACCGCAACCTCTGCCTCCCAGATTCAAGCGATTCTCCTGTCTCAGCCTCCTGAGTAGCTGGGATTACAGGCATGTTCCACCATGCCTGGCTAATTTTGTATTCAAAATAACGTTTTTAAGTCAGTTTCCTACACTGGCCTGGGCAAAATACCTTTGACCAAATTCTCCTGAGTCTCCAAGCCTTGGGGTTTGAGGGTTCCACTCATCAGGCTTTCACTTCAGACTTACTAGAATCCACTTACTCCTTTCCTCTTTCTTCTACCTCAGATTCTGAGATCCTCTTTACTTTTTCTGTCCTCCCTGGATTATCAGGGCACTGGGCACTTTTCACTTCTCCCTTCACCACCCATGAACCTTTTCTCATTTGGCTTTACTAAGTTATCATATATCTGCATAGTTACATCCATAGTGACAGCCTTAATAAGTACAAGAGCTTTCTCTTGAGATGGAGGAACACTCATTGTCAATAAGAGCAACAACTTTGCCATTAAAAATCAACATGTGAGGGCCAGGCACAGTGGCTTACACCTGTAATCCCACACTTTGGAAGGCCGAGGCAAGTGGGTCACTGGAGGTCAGGATTTCAAGACCAGCAGCCTGGCCAACATGGTGAAACCCCATCTCTAGTAAAAATACAAAAATTAGCTGGGCATGGTGGTGGACACCTATAATCCCAGCTACTTGGGAGGCTGAGGCAGGAGAATCACTTGAACTTAGGAGGTGGAGAGGTTACAGTGAGCTGAGATCGTCTGACTGCACCCCAGCCTGGCCCACAGAGTAAGAATCCATCTCAAAAAAAAAAAAAAAAAAAAAATCAACATGTGAAACTGCTTACTAGAAAAGTTAGTCCCTTCCTCAGCCATCTGATTCTGTTTCAAGATCTGCTACTGTTAAACCAGTCTACTTAATCTTGAAGCTGTTGAAGCATTCACTTTATTTATTTATTTATTTATTTTTTGAGATGAAATCTCACTCTGCCACCCAGGTTGGAGTGCAGTGGCATGATCTCAGCTCACTGCAACCTCTGCCTCCTGGGTTCAAGCAATTCTCCTGCCTCAGCCTCCTGAGTAGCTGAGACTGCAGGCGCATGCCACCACACCCAGCTAATTTTTGTATTTTTAGTAGAGACAGGGTTTTGCCATGTTGGTCAGGCTGGTCTCGAACTCCTGACCTCAGGTGATATGCCCGGCGCATTCACATATTTTGAGGATTTAATTCACCAATCTGTTTTCCTCTCTCTTGTTTCCTTAGCTAGACTGAAGGCCTTCAGTGTGTTTCCTAGACACAACTCCCAAATCTGTGGTCCCTTTTTCTATTGCATATTTACACAGTGGTCAGTTTCTGATTACTTTAACCACTAGAACAGAAATCTGAAACTAGAAGTGATGAGGCAAAGCTTTGGAACAGCAGCAAAAACAGCCATCACAAAACTCATGCATTATATTCTGTAGGAAATCATAAACTCATATGTGGGTATCTAGCCGGTGTTCTTGATCTAGCAAGCTTAAATATATGGTTTTCTTGGGAAAGTTTTAGTTTAGCTACATTATAGTAGTAAGCAGAGTAGAGGCAGGGAGTCAAGATTTCTATAAGGGCAGCTAACAAGGGAGAAGACAAGAAACATCACTTGGAAAAGTGCCACGGTATGAGGTCATTCACTGAAAGAACAAGCTAAGCCCTGCATTCTTAGAAGTTCCCGAAAGCATCACTGAATTACTTATTGGTTCATCCAAATTCCTTGATATCACTAAGAAATGGTCTCCTTAGCCTCCTTATGCTCTGCTTAATAAGACAGAAGAGTGTGTAAAGTGTTTTAGAAGTACTCCCATTTGAAATAATGTTTTTAAGCCAATTGCATTTTGTTATTGAAAGAGGTATGTTTCAGATAACTGGAAAGTTAATTTATGTGGAACACCACCCTATCTGCATTACTTTATCCCCAGCAATATTATCTTGCTGTAAGAACCTGAAATTTATATTAAACTCAGGGCATGTGCACTAAGTGTCTGTTTATTGATTTCTCAATCATTTCTTACTAGGGCACTAGCTTTCTAGCTTCTGGCACAGAATCAAGACTAGCCAGCCTGTTTTCAAGGCTGGTCCCAGATTCCTAGTCTTGGACCTGTATGAGCTTGGGAAATCTAGGTAATCACTCTGTGTCTCAATTTCCCTTCCTGTTAAAATGAAAGAGCAATGTTTTATCTGAATTTTGACAATACCATGTGGCAATCATTAGAATAATAATGTCAACACACTGAACTCTAGAAACACATCTGGGTGGTAAGAGTGAGGAGAGAGAGAGGGCAGCAGGTGACAGAGCACAGGTCAAGCAGAATTCAGGTTAGATGGGTGCAGGGTCACATAGGTGACTAGTAGCAGAGGTTGAAAGTCAGACAATTCAGGGAAGTCGTAGGTCAGGCAAGTTGTCAAGTTAGATGGTAAAGACAGGTAGGTTAAATAGGTTAACTGAATCCATTAAATTAATAGGTGAGGTAATTTCAGATAAGTCAGACAGGTGGCAGACAAAGATAAGGAGACAAAAAAGAGGCAAGAGGAAAGGGACAGGGACGGGGACACACAGTTTGGGGGAAGGGAAACGAGGATCGAGAGGAGATGCTAGTTAAGGGAGGTAAGAGGGGGCTCTGTAGGCTCAGGGTTGTCTCTCTCCATCTCCCAAAGATGACCTGAGCTGATTATCAGAGTGAATGTGTTTTGGCATTTTGACTCTTCCTCTCTGAACTAGAAAATAGTTTATTTTCAGTAGTGAATCTCAAAATATACCTTTTCCTTCATGAAATCTAGAGGTTTTGTATGTAAAGATGAAGTCAAGGTGTCAGTTACACAGTTGACAGCCTAGAAACCTCAGTGATAACCCTCTACGTACTTTATAGCTAGAAATACACATTCACCTCCTGTCATTTGACCTCTGAACAATCCTGGGGTCTAGAGGGTGGGTGGTATCATCTCCATTGACAAGTGAGCTCCCTTCTGCATGGGTGGCACCAAGTGTCAGACAACCTGGCCACGCTCTCAAGCCCTTTTCCAATCCCATCATGCTCTTGAGAAGTGCTTCCTCTCCTCCCAGGCCCTGGAGACTCAGCCTGCTTTCCTTGCTCTGAAGGTTGGCCCTACCCTTGCCCCCACCCATCTTGTAGCACTAGCAACAGACTAGGATGAAGGTTCTCAAATCTTCTTTTTCTTTTTGTACATGAAATAAGTACCTTTTGTTTTAATATTTTACAACCCTTCACTCTAGAGAGCCGATATAGTATAAAAATAACTAACACATAGCATATATAGGTTTCAGAAATGCCATTGTGTCTGCATAGCCTGTAAAAATGGGGTTGGGCTGGCTTTCTCACAGCACTTTCTCTGAGTCCCTTCCTCCGTGGAAATTTTCCACATTCTTGTTAATACTACCAGAGCTTCACCCCCTCTCCTGATAGCATTGGCCTCCTTGAGATTGGCTGTGGCTGTGAAAAGGAAATAAATCAGTCAAGTATGCAATATCTTGGGATGTATTGCTGACCTCGTATTGTCTTCTGGGCATTACGGGACCAGGTTCATCAGGTTCACCTCAAAATAAACTGCCATGGAGTTTCCGCAATTTTTCCACAGCTCAGTCTGCATGTCTTCCTCTCCCCTATCATTATGTTAACTCACATGTGCAATAGGTAATTAGGACAGGAGAGCCAATTTCCCACGAATATGATCTCTACCCCTAATCTGGGAAGTTTTGTCCTTGGGGATTTTATCTTGTGCATATCTTGTGACGTATGGCACCTGACCATTATTATTTGGGTGGTCTCACGTGGATTTTAGTGCTCTTAATGCTTGGCAACAAGGATCTCACTAAGAAGAGACATCTATATAATTCTCAATGTCCAGCATGGGTAGATTAAATGAGCGCCAAAACCACACTAAACATACATGTCAAATAGGGGAAAGGAGAAAGAATCCAGTGCAAAGGATTAGACTGTCATATATTGCAAAACGGAATGAAATAGTCACTGGGTGTTCTTGTTCATAGATAAGGAAATATAGAATATTAGAAAGCTATGGTAGTGCATAACCAGGACAACAAGGAGACATTAAGGAATGCAGGCCTGGGCATGTTTGAGATAGCCATTGATTTTTGGCCTTGGTCCCTTAAGCTGGGCTTCATTCCTAGCTTACCCAATTTGGTTTAAATATTCTTTCCACCTTGCTTCTCTTCAACCCTTCTTGTCTTGGCACTCAGACTGTGGAGGAAATGGAAGCTTTTTAAAAAACTGAACACTATTAAACTACTAAGGAAAATATAAAAAGCATACTTTTCTTTGGAGAGATAAAAGATATTTAACTCATCTGTGTTTAAAATTAAGAATAGAAAATATAAGCCTTACTAAAGCAGTTAAATTATAAGGGAAAGAGGTAGGGAAAGAAGAGAAAGAGATGATAAAAGAAAGCAGGACAGGAAGAGAGAGAAGGAGCTCATGAGAGAGGAGGGAGAGAGGAGAAGAGGGGGAAGGAAAAGAAATAGAACAGAATATGAGAGATAGTGAAGGGGAGTAAGCCCAGAGAGGTATGGAGGGAGACAAGTCAAAATTAAGTTGTAGCTTTGGTACCAAAGATCTGGATTCTCTCTCTTTTTTTTTTTTTTTTTTTTTTTTTGAGACAGGGTCTTCCTCTGTTGCCTAGGCTGGAGTGTAGTGGCACGATCTTGGCTCACTGCAGTCTCAACCTTCCGGGCTCAAGCAATCCTCCCACCTTAGCCTCCAGAGAATCTGGGACCACAGGCCCATGCCACCATGCCTGGCTAATTTTTCTATCATTTGTGGAGACGGGGTTTCACCATATTGCCTAGGGTGGTCTTGAACTCTTGGGCTCAAGCGATCTTCCCGCCTCGGTCTCCCAAAGTGCTGGGATTACAGGTGTGAGCCACCATGCCCAACCAAGATCTGGATCTAAATCTATAAAAAAATCTACATCAAATCTACTTAGTGATGAAATATTGAAAGGATCCTCTGAGTTCAGAAATGAGACTAGGATGGCTACTATCACTACTTCTATTCAATATTGTACTGGAGGTCTTAGCTAGTGGAGTGAGGCAAGAAAAACAAATGTAAAGAAAAAAAAATAGATTTACCATTCAGGATGGGCGTGGTGGTTCATGCCTGTAATCCCAGCACTTTGGGAATCTAAGGTGGAAAGATGGCTTGAGCCTAGGAGTTCAAGACCAGCCTGGGCAACATAGCAAGACCTTGTCTCTACAAAAATAAAAAATAAAAGTTAGCCAATGTGATGTTATGCGCCTGTAGTCCCAGCTACTCTGGCGGCTGAGGTGGGAGGATTGCTTGCTTGAGCCTGGGAGGTCAAGGCTGCAGTGAGCTGTGGTTGTGCCACTGCATTCCAGCCAGGGTGACAGAGCAAGACCCTGTTCAGAAAAACAAAACAAAAACTTACTATTCATGGATGCACATGATTTGTGTGCACAGAAAATCCAAAGGAAAATCCCAGAGTGACTTTAGCAAGGTCTATACAAAGTCAGTATTCAAAAATCAATTGTATTTCTATATACAGTACACAAACAATAAAGAGAAATGGAAATCTACAAAATTATGTTTTATAATAACATGAAAAAACTTAAGATGCCCTTCTGAGCCTCATCTTTGTCAAGTGTAAAACTAGGTCTGCAGCAACAATAATAACAATAAAAATAATAGAAGCAGCAGTAGAAACAACTGGGGTTTACTGAGCATCTACAGTATGCCAGATATTGTTCTAAATGTTCACATGGATTGTTTCTTTTAACCTTTAATGGTTATTGTGAGGATTAAATAAAGTAATATATGTAAAACATTTAGCAAATTGCCTTGCATATAATAAATTCTCAATAAACTTTAGCTGTATAAAAATAATCATTATTTTAGAGAGACTCATAGACTAAGTTGTCAGTAGACCTAAGCTGCTGTTCATTTGGCTAAAGATTTGTAGAATAAACAGTCCTGTATTAGTGTTGTTTTGAATTTTTAAACAGCTCATTAATTCATTTATTCATCCAGACACTGCTCTTGGGTCTAGGAATATGGTGGGTAAGCAAAATAGATAAAAATCCGTACCCTAATGGAGTTTACACTTTAGTAGGGGAAACAGACATTAATCAAATGATATCACGGATTGTGGTATGAAGCTGAAAGTACAAGTACAAGGCATATGAGAGCATAAAAGCAGGAACCTAGTCTGGACTAGAGAATGAAAGAAGGCTTTCTGGCAAAAAATGTCAGTTGAGCTGAGTTCTGAAGGATAAGTGGAACAGGGCAGGGGTAGGAGAATTCTCTGTGCAGAGAAAGCAGTCCATCTGAAGGGGGTGAGGATAGTGGGTGGAGGGAGAGCTTGGTATGTTTCAGGAACTGGAAAAAATGAGTGACTAGAGTTCAGTGAATGAGGAGAGGGTTATTGAATGAGCTATGGCTACAAAGGAGGACAGAGGACAGGTCATCAGGGCCTCGGGAGTCTTGTTAAGGATTTTTGCAGTTATTCTAAGAAGAATGTAGCGCACTGCGGGGTTTTATGAAAAGAAATGATGTGATCGGATCCGTGTTTTGAAAATACTTCTCCATTGAAGAGGCTACTACTGTTGTCTAGGGAGATGTGAAAGTAGGTTAGGCTAGGGCACCATTAGCAGAGGGAAGAATTAGTGGGTATATTTGAGAGATGTTTAAGGGGTAGAATTGATGGGGCTTGGTATTAGCTTGGGTGTGGCAGGAGGGATGCTTCACTGATGCCTCCTTCCTAGGATCTGACTTGCAGAACTGAATGACTAGGAGTGACTTTCACTGAGATGAGGACAGTGTTCATGGCAAAATAGCTTTAGTAACTTTATATTGAAACTTGAGAATGTATTTGAAGTATTTATTTTCCTGTGAAAATGTGAATGGGGAAGAAATGACAGGTTCAAGACACTGATTTTGGAAACTTAGATAGATATGCCTAATTCCCATTTTCTCTTTGTTTTTCAAAAGATGTGAAATTGTTATATATTTAGTCTTTTTTTTAAAGGGCAGGGATATGAAACTTACACATTCCTGAAGATTATATTTAGAGCCAGTCTCCCTCCTTTTCCCTAAATCTGTCTCTTCAATCTGAAAAATGGAATGGATTCAGTACAGAAATCTGTATCTTCAACTTCTTTTTATAAACCTTTTACATCTCTTCTCCTCAGATGTAAGAAAATAATTTTGGAGTCAGAACATTACTGCCTTATCCAATGATTGTACGGATTGGGTGATATTAAGATTTAGCTGCTTTGATGTTCTCTGCCTCTGGTTTGGAATATCTTTGGCAGGTATACTAGGGCCAGAAAAGACCTTCAAATATCTTGGTTAAAGCCTACATCAAATGCTAGTAGTGCTTGGAGTTGATCTGAACAACCCCATAAGAAGGCCCTGCAGTTGACCCAGGTTCCCCAGGACTGATTGGAACTTTCTGAGCCTTGGCATTCTCTCAAAGAAGGTCTGAGGCAGATAAGAGTTTGAGCCTTCTCAACCCCCTGCTACTTTTGTATAGCAGAAACTATTCTATAGCACCCCTTGACGGGAAGAGAAGCCACTGGTGGTATAGTCAGAGGGGAATTTGAAGTTAGAGGGCAGTCCCACAGCCGGACCCTTTGCTTAGGTACAAGACTGGGGTGAGGGATATGGCTGTGTGTGTGTGTGTCTGTGTGTGTGTCTGTGTGTGTGTGTACATGCCTCAGGTCAGGCAATAAGTTCTCCTTCTCACTCTTGCTGTGACACACACACACACACACACACACACACACAATAGTTCTCCGCTTGTGCCTCTCTCTCTATGTCATAGCCTAGCAGCCTCCTTGGTTTCAGGAAGAGGAACAGGGCTTCATGCATTGCCTGAGTTCCTGGCAGCTACCAGCAGCTACCAGACTCTGAAGCCAGAGTGGAATTGGAGCATGGGAGTTCCTGTGGGTTGGGTCCCTCCTCTCCCTCCCTCCATTCCCAGCTAGCAGCCTGACTCTACCCCTTGTCTCTGTTCCTGCAGCACTCCACCTCGCTGAGCATCATGGGCTTTTCCAACACTCTGGAGATGGAGTTGTCATCTACCAGGTTGGAGAGGCCCCTAGAGCCACAGATCCAGAGTGTGAGCAACCTGACAGCTGGTGCCCCCCAGGCAGTACCAAGCCTGCTGAGTGCTCCCCCCAAAATGGTGTCCAGCCTGACAAGTGTTCAAAACCAGGCCATGCCCAGCCTGACAACCAGTCACCTACAGACTGTGCCCAGCCTTGTGCATAGCACATTCCAGTCCATGCCCAACCTGATAAGTGACTCCCCTCAGGCTATGGCAAGCCTGGCAAGTGATCACCCTCAGGCTGGGCCCAGCCTAATGTCTGGTCACACCCAGGCTGTGCCGAGTCTGGCAACTTGTCCTCTGCAGAGCATCCCTCCAGTTTCTGACATGCAGCCAGAAACTGGGTCCAGCTCCAGTTCTGGCCGAACTTCAGGGAGCCTGTGTCCCAGAGATGGGGCTGATCCCTCCCTGGAGAATGCTCTGTGTAAGGTAAGTCCTGGGGAAATGCTATCCAAACTTCCTTTGTTCATCATTGGGCAAAAGATTGGCCACTGGGACCCTTATTCTGACCTTAGCTTAACAGTTCTGAGACCACTAATGACAACCATGTCTGAGTTCTTTGATTCTTGTCGACATTTCACTTTTGAAAGATGGAAAGTGAGGATTCCACTCGCTTCACTGACTTACTGGGACAAGGTCCCATAGTCCCCGGTCTGGATGCTCCCAAGGACTTGGCCATCCCCTCAGAACTGGAGGAGCCAATTAACCTCTCTGTGAAGAAACCTCCACTGGCGCCAGTGGTCAGCACGTCTACAGCTCTGCAGCAGTACCAGAACCCAAAAGGTGAGACTCAAGCAGCCTGCCCTTCATGTTGGCCACAGACTTGAGCAGATGGACTCAGCACTTCTAGGTAAGAGAGGCCAGCAGACAAGCTCTAAGCTGGGGAAGCAGTGCATCTCTCTGAGGCTGAATTTACTTCTCTCCTCCGGAACTGTCTTAGTGACACCTGTTCTGCTTCCCTCACTGTGGCCATGGCTGATCTAGGCATGGCCAGGACTTACTCTTTTTGTAACACTCCCCATGCAAAGAGTCCTGGGGGTCTGCATTATACCTAGGGGGAAACAGAACTCAGCCCAGGAGGGCTAGCCTTGACAAAATGTTATAGGGAAAAGAGCATGTCTGACTTTGGAGTCCGATAGATGGAATTTGGTAAACCAGTTCTCTCTCCCTGTGATCCCGGGTAAGATACCTAACCTCCCTCAACTGATTTCTTTCTCTCTAAATGGGGCCAATCGCACCTACTTCTTAGGCTACTGGGACCAGTAACTATAGTGAAATCATTTGATAACTTCCTCTGAGTAGTAAGGATTTTCCTGGTACCTGACACTAATGTGGATTTGTGTTGTGCCTCATAGTGAAGGCAATTTGGACCATTGGAGATTGGTTCTGATTCGCTTCTCAGCTTCCCATGCCCCTTCTCCAACCAGGCTAGGCTAAGTTTGTTCTTCTGTGGAAGGTGAGGGCTAGTTGGGAAGTCAGGAAGCGACTTCCTGATGATCATTTGGGACTTTTTTCGTTCAATGTATGATGCGTGTTTAATTTGTAATGATTAGTCTGTTTCCTATATGTGTAATAAATGAAAACGAAAGAAATAATTTTTCTCCTTTTTTTTCACACTGACTGAAAGGCCAACTGAAAAATCGTTGGTTCTTATTACACACAATAATGTAACTCTGCATTTTATGCAGTTAAACTTTTTAGACCCTGCTTGCGCATGTACAGTGCCTAGGACCTTGCCTGGTGCTGAATGGATGCTAGTTTCATCCTTTTGCCCCATCACTGCCTCCTGCCCATCTCCATAGACTGCATACTCAGGGGAGAACTCCCTGGGAGCCTCTTTTCCATGGAGTGTGAGCTGGATTCTCAAGCACTGCTGGAATCCCAGCACTTGGCTGACATGGCAGAGGCTGGACAAAAAGACTCCTCAGAGGAGGCAACACTGGTGTACTGAGAACAAGTGATTTCTGAGCTCATCTTGAAGGTGAGAAACTGGCCCATCAGTGCCTGACCCAACACTTACCCATAGGCAGCCTCTTGAGTGTTACTTGTGTTCATCTTTTTAAAAGAAGGTGGGCTTCCTCCTCTCAAGAAGGAGATCCACGGCAGACTTGTCACCACTATGTATGAATGACTATAGTGTAGGTAACTACTGTATGACAGATGTGTGGCCAAAGGTATGAATAGCAGATATAAGTAGAAGATATGCATGACGGGGTTTGTTGCCACAAATGTGTGTCACAGGTATTTGTTTGTCTTTTGCCTTAGAGTGTGAGAATTTTGAACAAGGAGCCCTAGAGCTGGATGCAAAAGAGAACCAGAGCATCAGGTAACAGCCTTCTGGCTAATCTCCCTCCCACCCATGACTTCACGTCCTGAGATGCTGGCACAGGGATGAAGCATCCTTGATGAATTAACTACAAGTGGAAGAAATTTGCCTGCAACTGCCTTCCTCAACCCCTCAACCTTCAAGTGGATGTCTGGGATGGTTGTGGGAGGATGTCCTGGCTCCTGCACCACGAGGCATGCGCTCTGGGTGCCGCCCTTGCACTTCAGGGAGCTCCTGTCTTTGACCAGGACTACACCATAGGGCTTCCCAGTGGCTGACAGGGCCTGGCCATGCAGAGGTGGGCCAGGAGGACAGAATGTGGTGGACCTGTAGAGTCCACATTCAGAGTCCAAATCCAAGAGGATCTGGAGTAACAATTCAGCTGGGGATTGTATTAGTCAGGGTTCTCTAGAGGCACAGAACAAGTAGGAGATATATATATATATATATGTGTGTGTGTGTGTGTGTGTGTGTGTTGTGTGTGTGTGTACTTCCATATATATACACACACACATATATATATACATATATATATGGAAGTTTATTAAGTATTAATTTACGTGATCACAGGGTCCCACAATAGGTTGTCTGCAAGCTTGAGGAGCAAGGAGACCCAGTCTGAGTCTCAAAACTGAAGAACTTGGAGTCCGATGTTCAAGGGTAGGACGCGTCTAGCACAGGAGAAAGATATAGCCAGGAGGCTAGGCCAGTCTCTCCTTTTCATGTTTTCCTGCCTGCTTTATATTTGCTGGCAGCTGATTAGATGGTGCCCACCCAATTAAGGGTGGGCCTGCCTTTCGCAGCCCACTGACTCAAATGTTAATCTCCTTTGGCAGTGCCATCACAGACACACCCAGGATAAATACTTTGTATCCTTCAATCCAATCAAGTTGACACTCAATATTAATCATCACAGGGATCATGGATGTTTCTGACTTAGAGGTTGGGACCAGAGGAGGATCCCACCAAGACCCCGGGGTGTCTGTCTTGCTGCAGAGCCTTCAATAGTGAGCATAAGATTCCCTATGTGCGACTGGAGCGACTCAAGATCTGTGCTGCCTCCTCAGGAGAGATGCCTGTGTTCAAACTGAAGCCACAGAAGAATGATCAGGATGGGAGCTTCCTGCTGATCATCGAGTGTGGCACTGAGTCCTCCAGCATGTCCATTAAGGTACCACTTTGCTTTGCCTTGGCCTTAAACCCTGGCCCAGCCTAAGAGCTTATTCTTTCTGCTACTGCCCGAATTCTGACTCTGGGACCTTTCCTGAGTCTCTGATGGGGCTGCAGCTTGGCCAGACGTTGTCCCCTGCTGCAAGGTCCTGTGAGATGCATATTAGGAGTGAGGTGTCCCAGCATTCATGGGGCTTGCTGGCTTGGGGTCCTGGAATAAGTGGCTCTCATGTAGGCATGCAGGGCCTGCCAGTCTCTCCCTCCCCTCCCTCGAGAGCTTGTTGGTTCTGTGCTCTGGCTGCCCAGACTTACTTCTTCCCCAAGGTCAGCCAGGACAGACTGTCTGAGGCCACCCAGGCCCCAGGTCTGGAGGGAAGAAAGGTCACTGTCACTTCTTTGGCTGGGCAGCGGCCACCAGAAGTGGAGGGCACATCTCCTGAAGAACACAGACTCATTCCTCGAACCCCAGGAGCCAAGAAGGGCCCCCCAGCCCCAATAGAGAATGAGGACTTCTGTGCTGTTTGCCTCAATGGCGGAGAGTTACTGTGCTGTGACCGCTGCCCCAAAGTGTTCCACCTCTCCTGCCATGTGCCAGCCTTGCTCAGCTTCCCAGGGTGAGTCATGCCAGTCCAGGACCATCACCTGGCTAGTAGGGTTACCTTCCAGGGATGATTATTCCAGGCCAGGCCCACAGAGCTCCCAGGATGGGCTTACTCCCCTCTTCTGGACCTGCTTGAATTGCAGGTCTGTGAGTTAATGGGCCTGGGTATCTTCTGCACACAGACAGGTGGATGCTTGACATTTGGTTGACTTCATTTCTACCTCTTTTCTCACCTTCTTCTTGCATGTGGATTTGTGCCTATACTACTACCCCAGCCTCCCCTAACCCCTGTTTTTCTAGATTCACAAAATTCTGAGTTATTGAATTTCTTCCAAGCCTGTGGCTAGAAAGCCATTTCTTACACGGCAAAGCCGGAGACTCAGTTTCTCACGCCTGCCATAGGGCAGAGGGAGAGGGAAGGGTGCTCTGGGCAATGTGCTGAGGCCTAACATGGCCTCACCTGCCCCTGCAGGGGAGAGTGGGTGTGTACCTTGTGCCGCAGCCTGACCCAGCCCGAGATGGAGTACGACTGTGAGAATGCCTGCTATAACCAGCCTGGAATGCGGGCATCTCCTGGCCTAAGCATGTATGACCAGAAGGTAGGGAGGAGTCTTTGGAAACAAGGTTCCCTGCCTTTGGCAGCCCCCTTCTGCCTACAGGGTCTGAGGCCTTTGAGAGGGGATGAGGGGCTTTTCTGGATACATTTCTTCGTCCTATGCCTGACAACTTGGCCCAGGGGTGTTTGGATAATTTTCCTTCTCCTAGCAGTTTTCCTCTGGCTTGGGAACCTGAATTGTGCCTTAGTATGGCAGCTGGCATCCTGTGGGACAGAGCCAGGGAGTTATCAGGGTCAACATCTTTAGTTCATACTGAGGTGAGACCAGAACAAAGTGACTCTGTTGCCAATTCTGATTTTGCAGAAGTGTGAGAAGCTGGTATTGTCCTTGTGCTGCAATAACCTCAGCCTGCCCTTCCATGAACCTGTCAGCCCCCTGGTAAGGAAGGCCACGCTGTTCTCTCACCTTCTCCTTGCATGTGGATTTGTGCCTATACTGCTACCCCAGCCTCCCCTAACCCCTGTTTTTCTAGAGTCACAAAATTCTGAGTTATTGAATTTTGTGCCTGCTACTGTCTTTTCTGCTCAGAGGGCCCAGGCCATGGGGCAGGAGCGTGGTGGTTCCCAGGTTGGGCTCAGAGCATGGCCACTGGGAGTAGTGACAATATTAACTTATGGATAGTCCAGGGGACCGTAGGGCCATGGCCATTCCAGCCTCCCCCACCACAACTGCTACTGTATCAGATCCTACTTGACAGGTGACACATTCCTCCTTTTCCCTTGCTCTTTGTCTTCTTTCTCCATCCTTTTCTTCCTGCTGCTCCTCATCATTCCTCTTCCTATTCTTTCACTTATATTTCACCTCATTTTCCATTTCTTCTTCCTTCTTATCCACACCTCCATTTCTTCTCTCACTCCCTTTGCCTCCTTCTCCTCATGTCTCCTCCCCCAAGGCCCGGCATTATTACCAGATTATCAAGAGGCCCATGGACCTGTCAATCATCCGGAGGAAGCTGCAAAAGAAGGACCCAGCTCACTATACCACCCCAGAGGAGGTGGTATCAGATGTGCGCCTCATGTTCTGGAACTGTGCTAAGTTCAATTATGTATGTCTTGCCTGTTTTCCCTCTCTCCTATTTCCCTGCATCCCCAGGACTGTCATGGGTGGGTAGGGTTGGGAGGTTAGGTTTGGTCTGGGCTGCCATGAGGACTGGGGAGCAGATTCTGGGGGCCTGCTGTGGTGAGTGTTTAAAAGCTCTCTCCCACACTCAGGCCTTAGCATGGACTCAGGAAAAAGGGGAGGTACTAGTGAGTGGCCATCTGTGGATACCTGTTGGGGTCACTTCTGCTATAAGAGCTGCTACCAAACTAGTTTTCCTGAGTCCTAGGAGAAAAATGTCAAGTTCCAGACACCTCAGGACACCCCGCTAGGCTTTGTGCTCTGTGTAGCTCTTGAGGGACCCGAAAGAGATGGACTGGTAGAAACAGGCTAGACCATCACTGCTCTCCTCCCCCATCAGCCTGACTCCGAGGTTGCAGAGGCTGGCCGCTGCCTGGAAGTGTTCTTTGAGGGCTGGTTGAAGGAGATCTACCCGGAGAAACGGTTTGCCCAGCCAAGGCAGGAGGACTCAGACTCCGAGGAGGTGTCTAGTGAGAGTGGATGTTCCACTCCCCAGGGCTTCCCGTGGCCTCCCTACATGCAGGAGGGCATCCAACCCAAGAGGCGGCGACGACATATGGTAAAGAGTTACTGCCAGCCAGCAGCAGGTGGGCGGTGATCAGGCAAGCAGAGGGGCACCCAAGCAGAACCTAAGGTGAAGCTGTTCGGGTGGTGCAAAAAGATGGTGGTGACAACGAACCCTCACTTCCAGCCCCTTAGCCCCCAGGGAAGGCAGGGCAGTACAGGGCCCATCAATGCCAGTTACTCACGAGACTTGAAACTCAGAAAGGTGCCTGTCCCTGCCCAGGGTAACCCAGCATTTAGCAGCAGACCTGGGCTGAGAAACCAGTTGTCCTGATTCCCAGTTTGGTGCTGGTTACTCCACACTGTGATTGTGATGCCCCTAAGAAGGGAATTACCTGGTCTTAGTGCCTGGTTTCTATTTGGGTTTGAGAGAGAAAGGAAGGGATCTTTCTTAGCCCCTTGGTGTAGGTAAGGAAGGAGAGGTATTGCTTGCAGCAGAGAGAGCTCCTCTGATCTTTGGGCTGGTCCCACCTGTGTAGACCAGAAATGTCCATTCAGGGCTGTTTAATTCCACTGAAATATTTTGCCTGCCTACTGTGTGCCAGGGTCTGGCCAGCCATCCCCAGTTGTTTACCATACTTAGCATACAATGTTTAGTGGCTTCAGTAAGTTTTACTGCTGCATTCCTAGGGTAGAATAAAATACGTTGACTTGGCAGAACTGCAATCTTGACATAGCCTTTTCATGTTAATAAATCCTACATTTGGCTATTTTAATTCCAAATATATATTTTTCTTTCAGGAGAATGAAAGAGCAAAAAGAATGTCATTTCGCCTGGCCAACAGCATCTCTCAGGTGTGAGAGCCAAAAGGAGACTGGGCACTCTGGCAGCTGTTGTCCCATACTGTCGACCATTCCTCCCCATCTTGCAGCTTATCCTCTTCAGAGTGTGGATGGTAGATGAGTCTTGTTGAACTGTGTAGTGCTCTTCTTTGCCATTTGCATCTACAGCATTTATTTGGGAGCCGTAGTACATCCACTACAGAGAAGATTTCAGTAATAAACAGGAAAGAGGAAGGTATTTATTATTACCAGAGTAATCAGATGTATAGGCTCCACTTGACAAGACCACACCTGGTTAGGCTCGGGAAAACCTACTTTCCTTGGTGAATTTTTTTCTGCCTGGGAAAGCAGACCCGTCTAACCTTTTAGTGTCCAGGGCTCAGGAGCCATGTATACATCTGAACTCCTCCTGGGCTCAGAAGTGGGTAAAAGAAGGGAGAGAGGTTTAGACATATGGCAGGACTGTGATCCCTGGCCCAGCACAGCCAAAGACTGTCACTGTTTGCCTTTGCTTGTCCTGTCTGGATAGAGGCACCTGCCATGTGCAGACTAGTGGAGGCTTCTAGAGGCCATAGGTCTCAATTTGTGCCTATTTGGGTTCTAACGGTTTTCAGGGTATTTGTTTTGCATAGTCACTTTCCTGATGTTGACATAGGTGGCTGCTGTGAAAATGCTGTGGATGGTGTGACATTCTTGACTGAGCTGGGTGGCTGTGGAGAGACCACTTAAATCTTCTGGTTCAGATTTCACTTACAGACTTAGTAAGATGTCCACTTCAGAGCCCGCCCTCTGTGCTACTTACTCTGGGCTAATCACACTTCTTTAGGGTGAGAACCTGCCTTCCTAGAAGTGACTGTTGGTGCTTGTCAGTGGCCATACCCTTCATCATCCTCATTCAGAGGTATGGATCGTGAGTTCTGCTTGTGAATACTGTGAGACAGCTGCTGTCTGCTTCAGGTCCAGAGTTCCATGGGTGGAGAGAGTAACCCACAACCAGCTCACTCCTCTGGGCCTCTCCTCCTGCTTAAAGATTCTAGTTCTCAACCTCTCCAAGTTCATGAGCCAAAGATCAGAAGTGAGTCTTCTGACCAGCCCGCCTCCAGGCTGTCTACAGCCCCAAAAAAGCCAACACTTTTCTGGCAGCCCTTTTTGTTGGAGGTTAGAGAAGGCCTCAGGGACCAACAGGGGCCAGATCTAGACATTCCTGGGGGAAGTTTGTCTAAGGTGGACAGGGGGAAAAATCAAGAGGCAAAAAGCCAGTGTCCTTTGGTGACCATGAAGCAACCTCAGAGCCTTAGTTCTCCTAGAATGCAGAGAGAAGCATTCTGGAAGCCATGGGAACAGGAGCTCGAGGCTGCATCCTGAATGCATCTGCATGGCCCTCGCAGGGTGTTTGTGAGGATACTGGAGGTCAGGCTACCTCCCAAGCAAGGGCTTGGTTGAGAAGGAACCCATTGCTCATATTGTTGGGGGAGCTATGAACCTGACATGTCAGTGGCCAGGACTGAGACAGCTCTCCCTGGTCCTGTCATTGCATGGCTAATTTCAGGGGAGTCTGAGGTCATGGCTTTATTTTTGCTAACAGATGAAGTTCAAGGATGTTCTTGTTTGTAGGGCCTTTGCTAATGAGCAGTTTTTTAATTAGAAAACATTTCTTCTCTCTTTGTGAGTTGATGGTATTGCTCATTTCCTTCTCTACCCAACCTGAGAGATCATCTTCACTTTAAAGCAAACCATGCCCCTTGGCTTGCCATTCTTTCAGCAGCACATGCCACGTTCTAAGCAGATGGGCTTCCGTGATCCCGTTTTCTAGTTTGGGGTAACTGAGTCTTGAATGCTTTACTAGTCCGGCAATCTTTGGACTTAGGCTTCTGCCCTTTGAGACTCACATGACTTTCTGGTTTGGGGTCTGGTCATTTCCCTTTCAATTTTTGAATCTCCTTCTCTGTTCAGTTGGCTTGGCAAAGTACCCTCTGTTCTCATGTCACTAATTCCTGCTCTAGGTCATCTTTCCTTTGTGCAGCCCACATTCCCACCATCCTGTGAACTTTGTTGTACTTGGTGTTGGGCAACTGGTGAGTGTTGTGACAGGCTCAGACCTGATCCTTCCTCAGGAGCAATTGGAGACCACAAATTTAAAGCAGAAATACCTGTTAAAAGCTTGGCTTTCCTTATATGAGTGAGGCTCCCAGCTTGGGTGTGGCCTCCTGGGCTCACGGATCAGCTTGCTGGGCCAGAGGGGGTCTTAGTAATGTGCTAGAGAGACACATGCTCCCTTCTCATCGTAGAGAGCCTGCATGCTGAGAGGCTCCCTTTACACACCTGCCTCTCGCTGGCTTTTCCTTTAGACCTAGCCACCAGTGTTTTGAATCATGGTTTTGTTTTGTTTTTGCATGCAAAAACCAGAACATGACTTAGAAATTAAAAAAAAAAAAATCCTACTAGCCAAGTGACTGCCTGCAGAGGCTCTTCATTAACATTTGGGCTGATCCTGCTTTTGACTTATTCCCATAATGGCCCAGTTTTGAAGTCAGCCAAGTCCTTTTGTCCTTGACAACATCATGCAGTGGAAATACGGTGAGTTCTAGATTCTTATGGGACAGCATGCAGCCCTAGAGGAAAAATTGACTTCTTGGGTATGCTGAGAAATAAGACAGTAAAATGGCTTCAGTTGATGCAAGGGGATTTTAGTTAAAAATTGGTTCAGGATTTTTAAATTTTATTTTATTTTTTGGCTGGGCGCGGTGGCTCACGCCTGTAATCCCAGCACTTTGGGAGGCTGAGGTGGGTGGATCACCTAAGGACAGCAGTTCGAGACCAGCCTGGCCAACATAGTGAAACCCTGTCTCTACTAAAAATACAAATATCAGCCAGGTGTGATGGCACATGCCTGTAATCCCAGCTACTTGGGAGGCTGAGGCAGGAGAATTGCTTGAATCCGGGAGGTGGAGGTTGCAGTGAGCTGAGATCATGCCATTGCATTCCAGCCTGGGCAACAGAACGAGACTCCGTCTCAAAAAAAAAAAAATTGGTTCAGGATGAACTTGCAGAGCACTCTTCCACAGAACATGGTTAGGTTAGCCCTGCCTGACTTCTAGCAATTGCTAACTATACACCTTGCCTGCCTCTAGGACCCCTACCTGAGTGGCAACCATACCTTCCATATGCTCTGTTCCATGGCAGTCCCTGCCATCCCCCACCAGCGGACTCTGGCTCCCTCCCTGTACCCATTTCTAGCAACAGCTCCTTGCCTGGCTGCTAAGACGGAGGCGCCTCCTTGTTTGTTCCTGGGCTCTGTTCTGCTCCCTCTCTCACTCCATGGAGTCACTTATAGTCTTCCTTTCTGAACGCCAGAATTGAGCCTTTGCTCCTTCTGGATCACCCCTTCCTGGGCTTCTTCTCCATCCCTCAGTACTGCTAAAATTGCCCTGCTCCTTTAGTCCATTTCCATGACCTCAGCCCTCTCTCTCCTCTCCTTGTCTTTTAACTTTCTCCTGGACTTCTTCCTCTCCCCAGCATGAACCCAGAGCCTATCACACACTGATGTTTTTGTCAGCATCCTGAACTTTCTCATGCCCTTCAACTTTATTTATTTATTTATTTATTTATTTTTTATTTTTTGAGAGAGAGAGTCTCACTCTGTCATGCAGGCTGGAGTGCAGTGGTATGATGTCGGCTCATTGCAACCTCTGCCTTCTGGGCTCAGGTGATCCTCCCATCTCAGCCTCCTGAGTAGCTGGGACTACAGGTGCATGCCACCATGCCTGGCTAATTTTTCTACTTTAGGTAGAGATGGAGTTTCGCCATGTTGCTCAAGCTGGTATCAACACTCCTGGGCTCAAGCAGTCTGCTTCCCTTGGCCTCCCAAAGTGCTGGGATTACAGGCGTGAGCCACTGCGCCAGGCGTATCCCCTTCAATTTTGCTGAAACTATCAGCCATTCTCCATTTTCGGCATCATCATATTTGCTGCTTCCACCTCCTGGGCTGCTATGCATGACAGATTCACAGTTGGCAGCCTCAGTTGAGCTCTCAGTGTTGACTGGAAATTCTTTAACTTGTTGTGATCCCTTTTTTTTTCCCCACCCATGCCTCCATCTTTGTCCTCCACAAATGACTGAGCTCACTGTCTACTTCACAGAAGACAGCCCCTAAAGCAAGAGCTTCCTTGCCTGCTGTTCCTCTCTCCCCTCTCATTCATCTGTGTCTGTAACTCTCCCCAACCCCTCCATTCTTGCTCCTATTTAATTCTCTATATCTTGAATCCTGTTGTATGTCCTCCAAGACTGCTCCCTCGCTTACTCCACTGCTCCCACTCCCTGGAGTCTCCAGCCTCTGTCTCCACTGGTTACCTCCACACAGCCTGCAAACAAGTTCTCCACAAGATTAAAACAGCATTTCTCAGAGTCTGTTACCCCTTACACATTTTCCTTGTTAACCAAGTTACTTTTAAAAAGATCCTTTTTAAACTGATTCTTCCTCAGCTGTTCTTCAGCCCTCTATACTTTTTCATAAAAGTCACCAGTGACTGCCCAGTTGCCAAATAGAATGAATACCTTTCAGTGCTCAGCTGTCTTGACCTCTCCGCAGCATTTCACACCACCCACCAACCCTCAGTGAAACAACCTCCTCCCTTAGCTTTTATGACACCACAAGTCTCTGGATTCTCAGAGAATCCAGAAAAACAAGTCTCTGGATTCTCTCCTCTTACCTCTCAGCCCACACAGGCTGAGCTGTCCTTGAAACCTAGATGGGGGAAATGTCTGTGGCTGTCTGTGGTCTCTTCTTTTCAGGAGTTGGGTAGGGAGGAAGAATCACAGCTGCTCCTGCTTCCTCTGTCTGTCTCTCTATTTCCTGAGTCCCTTCCTTTTCCTGAACTCAGTTCTCCTCATGCCAACCATGTTTATGAGCTCCTGCTGGGAGGACAGCATCTGTGAGTCCTTCCCTCTGTCTCTCCCAGACAACACAGAGGTTTTAGCCTGTTTGCTAAGAGACCCCATCTAAGTCAGCCCAAGGGTGTGGATTAGGTTTTACAGCATCCAGGCCGCAGTCTGGCTAAACTGGATTACCAGGCTGGTGGGCAGCTCCTCACCATGATCCTGCACCAGTTAGAGCCTGCTGTAGTTGGGAAGGAGCCTGGGATTGTGGTAAGATGTGTTTCCGTGCATGTCAGTGCTGCTAACCAGGAGGAGAACCTGGCAGGGTGGGTGCCTGCTGCTGATAACATTCGGATGGAGGGAGACTAGGGAGCGCGGTGGCTGCTCCCTTGCTGGGGCTCAGCTGGAGTCAGCATGACTCCTTATATCAGGGCCTTTCCCACCTGTGCTGATCACCACCACCTGCTTGCTCCAGTTGTTTCTGGAGTTGGAGGCAGCTATTGGTTGCTTTCTTGGAGGTAAGGAGGTATATACTAGAAAGATATCTGATTTGAGAGTCTGAACACCAAAATTTTTGGCTCTTTCCATTATGAGCTGTGTAACCTTGGATACAGTTTCCTCATCTATAAAGTTGTGGTGGGAGAATGGCTGAGAACAGTGATCTCTCAGCTCTCCAGCTGTAAAGATGTTAATTATGATTTTAACTCTCAAGATCAGGCCACATAAGGAACAGGGGAATTCCAGGGGTGGGACACAGCTGGGGGAGTCCAGACCAGGGCAGGGAAAGGAGACTCACAAGCCAAACAGAGCTGCTTTGGGGAAAGTTCTTATCAGCTGGTGCTGCTTCCTGAGCCATATGCCCATTCCTCAAGCTGTACCCCTTTCTTGGCTATGTAGGATGAGTTCCTCCTAGGCCCTTGTTAGGAGTGGCTATTGGATTCTAAGCGGTTGGGGCATGAGGGAGGATATTTTAAAGGGAAGTATAGCTGATTTTAAAAGAACCTATACATTCAAGAACAAATAAAAAACAGCACTTTTCTTTACCAAGAATTGCGTCCTGGAGTGTTTTTCAGCGAAGATAGTTGAACCTATCACATGGTCTTCTTGCCCCTAGATCTCTACATCATAAGAACTCAAGGTGGGGAAGAATAGCCTGGGAAGCCTTTCTCTCTAGGGAAGAACTCACCTCTCTGCTTTTTCTTCTTCTTATTATTTTTTGTTTTGTTTTTTGAGACGGGAGTCTCACCCTGTCGCCAGGCTGGAGTGCAGTGGCGCGATCTCGGCTCACTGCAACCTCCGCCTTCCAGGTTCAAGCGATCCTCCTGCCTCAGGCTCCCAAGTAGCTGGGACTACAGGTGCGCACCACCACGCCCAGCTAATTTTTTGTATTTTTAGTAGAGGTGGAGTTTCACCATGTTGGCCAGGATGGTCTCAATCTCTTGACCTTGTGATCTGCCCGCCTCAGCCTCCCAAAGTGCTGGAATTACAGGCGTGAGCCACCACGCCCAGCCTGCTTCTTATTTTTATTATTTTTAGTTTTCTTCAGAGACAAGGTCTTGCTGCGTTGCCCAGGCTGGTGTCAAACTCCTGGGCTCCAGTGCTACTCCCACCTCAGCCTCCTGAGTAGCTGAGACTACGGGGACATGCCAGCATGTCTCGGCTTCTTACTGTGTTAACACAGCCTGTTTCTCAAAACACAGGCAACAAGTCTGTGGTGGAGTTAGGGAAAAGGCATCATATGAATGCCTAACACTTCCAAGTGCTAAACACTTCAAGAATGTTCTTTATATAGTTCTTTATAAGGATGGTTACCTATCCCTCGCTGTCCTCTCTGCTTCCTCCATGCTAGTGGTTTCTAGCCATTTTTTTTTTTTTTGGGGGGGGTCAAGGACATTGTTACGAATATTTGTCGTTCAATTAGGCTGCATAAAGTCTGAACCCCTTTCCTATTTTTGGTGAATTTCCCACCTCAGGAGTCTTGGGAGACACAGCTCATTCCTCCCTACAGAAGCTAAATATACTAGAATCTTGATTTCCTGGCATCCGTTGAAGTCAGGTTACAGGCCTAGTGGTAGTGATTTATGGAAAAAAAAAAAAAAAAGCCCAGAGCCTCCTTTCCGGTGACAGTGTTGGTTGCAGGCAGGTGGGGTTTCCATGGCAGCAGTAGCAGCAGCAGCGGTACAAGGTGAAGCACGTGGGGCTCGATGTCATTGCCAGTTTCTTCAGCAGACCAGTTTTGCACATGATTTCAGGAATTGTTCCTGGCTGCACAGCTCTGAGTATAATTCTCTAGCCTTCCTGACAATTCTGTGAACCACGTAAAAAACCTTATAATAAATTCATTTTTTTTGCTTACATCAGCCAGAAATGGTTTCTGGTACTTGCAACTCAACACTCTAACTGATGTTTGGTGATAAAAGTCATGGACCCACTCTTCTGAGCTCCAGACTCACCGATCCTGTGGTCTATTGGACACCTCCCCTTGGAAGTCTCAGTGTTACCTGACACACTAGCCACCCCCTTAACAGATTCTTCCTCTCATATTCTCCATCTCAGCAGCCAGGACGTGGGAAGAAAACTAGAGGGATGTGGTATCAGAGAAGCCAAGGGAGTTTGTGTTTCAAGGAAGGATAATCATCAGTTTTAATGCTTAAGATGAGACCTGAAAAATTTTCTCTGACCTCTCACCCCTCTCCAGACTGGCCCAAGTACGTGAACCGTTTCCCTGCTTACTCTGTGATCTTCCTGCCTCAGCCTCCTGGGTAGCTGAGATACAGGCATGTACCACCACACTGACTTGCCTTACTAATTTTATTAGTACTAGTCCTTCTCTAGGTTCTAGGGACACAGCCCTTCTACTCCCCCGACTCCTTGGGTTCCATGGCAAGCTGCTAGTCAGGCCAGCTCCCTGGAGCAAGTCTTGCTCTCATAGGTAGGGCAGTATTTGACCTCCTCTTCCTCCCCACCTGGCCTATGGATTATTTTATCCACTAGAGAGTAGAGGCATAGTATCCAGGGTCTAGGATCTTTCAAAGGCCTATAAAAATAAGTCCTGGCCAGGCACTGTGGCTCACACCTATAACCCTGGCACTTTGGGAGGCCAAGGTGGGAAGATTGTTTGAGCCTAGGAGTTCAAGACCAGCCTGGGCAACATAGCAAGACCCTGTCTCTTAAAAAAAAAATTAGCCAGGTGTGGTAGCACACACCTGTAGACCCAGCTATTCAGGAGGCTGAAGTGGGAGGATCACTTTGAGCCTGGGGGTTGAGGCTGAAGTGAGCCATGATCGTGCCACTGTACTCCAGCCTGGGTAACAGAGTGAGACCCTGTCTCAAAAAAAAAAAAAAAAAAAAACTCCTGGCCATGTGCAGTGGCTAACGCCTGTAATCCCAGCACTTTGAGGGGCTGAGGCGGGCAGAACACCTGAGGTCGGGAGTTCAAGACCAGCCTGGCCAACATGGAGAAACCCCGTCTCTACTAAAAATACAAAATTAGCCGCACCTGGTGGTGCATGCCTGTAATCCCAGCTACTCGGAAGGCTGAGGCAGGAGAATCGCTTGAACCCGGGAGGTGGAGGTTGCATGAGCTGAGATTGCGCCATTGCACTCCAGCCTGGGGAACATGAGCAAAACTCCATCTCAAGAAGAAAAAAAAAGTCCTGAAACAATATAAAATGAAAAATGGCAAATTATACATAAATGTCTTATTAAACGTCTATATATCATGTTAAACCTATAATTGTTAATTTTATAACAATTTCATAAAGTTTCATAAAAATTCTGTTATACCTGAAAACAATTTGTAAGTTAGAGTTTCACGCTTCATAAGAAATTCTATATACACAAGATAATTGCCAAGAAACCTGAGCCCAATGTAAATTAAATGAATTACTCCTAGCCAAATAATTTAAAAAGCAAAATTATAAAAAACAATTTCAAAAATTTGCAATAAAAGCTATATTTACCACAGACTGTAGGTGCAGCTTCATGTTTTATGTAGGGCTTCCTAGAATAAGAATGCCTGTTCTCTGGGAAGCACTCTTATCCATGGGCCCTGGAGTTATGCCCAGGTTGGAGAGGGGGACCCCTTGTCCTATAGACATCACTCCTGAAGGCCTTGCACAGAATATGCTTTGAGAAATGAGAGGGTGTAACCAATCCTTAGAGACAGCTCTGCAGTTGTAGCCAGTATCTGTTTTCCCTTTTTTTTTTTGACAAGCTCTTGCTCTGTCACCCAGGCTGGAGTGCAGTGGCATGATCATGACTCACTGCAGCCATGAACTCCTGGGCTTAAGCGATCCTCCTGCCTTGGCTTCCCAAAGTGCTGTGATTATAGGTGTGGGCACCCAGTCTGGGGTGTTTTTTGTTTCTTTTAGTTTTGTTTTTTACAGCAACTAACTATATTATAACCAGTATTCCAAAAACAGTGCTTTATTTGCTCACTGGGCTGGGACGATATTCCTAAGCTTTTTTGGAAATTGATGTACCCTTGATTTCCAGCTATGTCAGAGATGTAAGACCTGCGGAGGCCAAGCTCCACATTCGTGGAGAAAATAAGTATCTCCTTCATGCTTGTAAACAGGAACACCACAGCCTCGGTCTTGCCCCAGCCTAAGGGCTAAGGCCTGATGCTGGAGGAAGCAGTTGTTTGTATCTAGGACTCCTCATTTGTTCCAGTGGTTCCCATTTGTGGTGTGGCCCACTGACAATGTTGCTTTATGGTAAAGATTCTGCCAAGGCAGTGCCTCTGTGACTTTTGAAATTTATTAATTAGGGCTAGGCATGGTGGCTCACACCTGTAATCTTAGCACTTTGGGAGTCTGAGGTGGGAGGATCGTTTGAGCCTAAGAGGTTGAGGCTGCAGGGAGCCATGATTGTGCCACTGTACTATACATCCTGGGTGACAGAGAGAGACCCTGTCTCAATGAAAACATAAAAAGTAAATTTTATTAATTAGCTTAATAAAGGATTCGTCCTCTTTCTCCTACATAAACTGAATCTCTGGTAACCAAATAATTGATGAGGGAAGTTTCTTTTTAAAAAGTTTTCCACAGTAATTGAAGAAGGACTGATAGATTTAGAATATCATTTTTTAGCCCTCAATGAATGAATCTAGGCAATGACCATCTGTGGCTGCTCACATCACCAAAAAAGAGACGATCAGACATTGTGTGCATTTGTTTGTAAACAAATAGAATCTGAACCTAAACAAGTCTCTACATCTACCAATTTAAAGATTAATTCCCAATTGACAGGAAATGCAGAGAATAGAGGAACACCTTAAATGACTTCACAAGGATCCAGTCAGCAAAATCCAGTCTCCAAGGACCGATGGAACAAACAACTTGGTTTACATTACAAAGGGAAAAAAGGGAGATGGAGGGGAAACCTTAAAGAGTCTTAAAAAGCATATAAACCAATTGCACTATATAGAACTTACTTGCGTCTTGGTTTAAACACACTAAAAACATCATGAGACATTGAGAACATTTGAAGAGATAATGGCTGAGAACTGTCCAGAAGTGATGAATGACATGAATTCATAGCTATAAGATGTTGAACAAAATACACTTGAAAAATAAAAAGAAACTTGAAACGTATTGCAGTGAAACTTCAGAACACCCAAGACAGAGAAGATCCTACCAACAGCAGAAGGGAAGACGTAAATGTTACCTTCCAATGATTCTAGTGCTCCTCTCCTGAGTGCATGGGAAGATTGCACTACTGCACGCCACTTACTTATTTCAGGTGTGTTTATGAGACTTGAATTGGCCAATGAGAGTGGCAGTGATGTAGGTCATTGCTAGGTTGAATAAGAGCCAGTGCTTGATTCTCTGTTTATTTTCTCTCTTCCCTTACTGAGGTGATTCTGAGAGCATGCACTGATATGAAGATGCTTAAGTCTGAACCAGTCTGGTGTGCTGTGCTAATACATGGATAATATAAGCTTTGCAATATTTTCCATATCTGCAGCAAATTTTGCATGAATGAGGACTTTTGTTGTAAGTCAGTGAGAATTGTGTGTTATTTATTACTGCAGCATAGGCTGGCCTATAGTACAAAGAAGCTTGGGTTTCTCTGGAGAAAAAAAAATCAATAACAAAACACTAAGATCCAAGGCACTGGCCTAGCAAGCAGGTAGCAAGGAAACCGACATTGGTGACTAGAAGGATAGTGATTCAGGTTATGCAGTGGAAAAACATTTGGCAAAACTATAGTCTGAGATAACTTTGGAGTCACATCATGTACTTAATGAATTTCAATAGAGGGGAAGATATTGGAAAACAACATTGGTAGCCTACATTGGTTGATATTCTGTTTATCAAGCTATTTCAAGAAAGACATGAGTTCAGAAAAGAATTGCCCTGTTTTTAAGGAGTGAAAGAAAATACATAGTATACAAAAATCCAAGGACTTAGGGTTTTGAAGAGGTAATTGCTTCTTGACGCTGAAGACTAAGATAAAATTTAGAATTGAAGGCCCATTAAAATTCAGCCTTGAGGTAAGGATCATATTAAAAATATGGGCATAATATTCATTGTTAAAACCTTTGAATGGATTAAGGTACTTCAGGGAAAATATCAAATTAAGAATATAGTGCCCAGTAAAATCTTTTAGCTGGATAAGATTCAGTGAAAAAATTCTAAGGATGTGGCTTTTCCACCAAAGCCTGTGCGGAGGGAGGAGGAGGAGAGGGATAGAGAGAGACAGAGAGAGAGACAGACAGAGAGAGAGAGAGAGAGAGAGAGCAAGGCATGGGCATGTGAACTCCCCTTATCCTTGGCTTTGCTTTCTGTGATTTCAGTTGCCTCTGGTCAATGGCAATCTGAAAATATTAAATAGAAAATTCCAGAAATAATTCATGAGGTTTAAATTGCACACTATTCTGAGTAGTGTGATGAGATCTCTTACCACCCCACTCTATCCCACCCTGTCCTGCCAGGGACATGAATCATCACTTTTGTCTGGTGTATCCACTATATATACTACCCACCCTTAGTCCCTAGTAGCCTTCTTGGTTATTAGGTCAACAGATCATAAGAAGAAGGGTGAGCACAGTACAGTAAGATTTTTGAGAGAGAGATCACATTCACATAACTTGTGTTACAGTATACAAGTTATGTTTTTTTCTATTTTATTATTAGTTACTGTTAATTTCTGGCTGTGCCTAATTTGTGTATTAAACTTCATCATAGGTATGTTTGTATAGGAAACAACAGTATACAGTATGTTGGGTTCAGAACCATCCATGATTTCAGGCATCCACTGAAGATCTTGGCACATATCCCCCGTGGATAAGGTGGAACTACTGTAGTTCTCAAAAATAATTGCAGGTATAGCTTTCAGCCAGTGATGCTGCCTGCATTCCAATAGATAGACACATAATGAGGTGTGTTTGTTTGTTTTGAGGTGTGTTTGTTTGTTTTGAGACGGAGTCTTGATCTGTCGCCCAGGCTGGAGTGCAGTGGCAAGCTGTCAGTTCACTGCAGCCTCTGCCTCCTGGGCGCAAGCGATTCTCCTGCCTCATCCTCCTGAGTAGCTGAGATTACAGGCGCCTGCCACCATGCCCGGCTAATTTTTCTATTTTTAGTAGAGATGGGTTTTCACCATGTTGGCCAGGCTGGTCTCAAACTCCTGACCTCAGGTGATCCGCCTGCCTTGGCCTCCCAAAGTGCTGGGATTACAGGTGTGAGCCACTGTGCCCGGCCCATAATGAGGTTTTTAGAGTGTTTTATTGCCAGGGGAATGATGAGCCTAGACTAACAGAAAACAATAACTGTTGAAGACATTAAATGGCTCTTGGGCTTTCAATAATCTATGGTAGAGAATGCTCAGGCTCTTAACACACCTAAGAGTTGAGAAGGCTGCTCAGCCCCCAAAGAGGTTTATGCCTCAAGCCCCACATCAGCAGGGACACTAAAATGTGAAGAACCTCTTTGAGGGCAGAAGCAAGGGATAAGGAGAACAACAGGCAAGGGAGCTACTTCCAGGGACCTGAATCAGAAAATAATGAATAATTCCCGACCAGACTAGGAGGCCCTCAAAATATTTGCCCACTTGGATTTCAGAATTGCCATAGCCAATGACTCCTGTGTGCCTCCCATTCTTCCCCTTTCCTACGTGGAATGTCTTTCTCTGTTCTATAATCTACCTTTCAAAATCTTTACTCATCTTTTAAAAGCCACTTCATTTGTCAACACCTCTAGAATTTCTCCCTGTTATTCTGGAGAACACACCTCTCTCTTATCCGTCTCTTGCTCTGCTTCAGGGACACCTGGGAGTCTCCTGACCCTGCCCCCACACCCCCAAAGAGCCATAGATATGGAAGAAGTACCAAACCCCTAGTCATCCTTGACTCTTCCCTCTGCTTGGAAGGCTCTACCTCCAAAACTTCTCAAGGTCAGGGTTGGCTCCAATCACCCTTTAGATCTTAGCTCGCACCCCTCCTCAGAGAGCTTTTCCTAACCACACAATCTGAAGTGGACCCAGGCACTCTCTCACAGCCCTGTTTCATCGTCATCATGGCACTTACTATGAGGTATGTTTATCTTTTTCTTCGTCTTGTGTTCTTGCTCACTGTCTGAGTCACAGAGGGTGTAAGCTTCCCTGAGAGCAGAAGTCTTGCTTGGATCCTGGAACAGTGCCTGTAGTTGCTCAATAAGTATTACTTGAATGTATAACTCAGATCTCTGTCAGCCAACCCTACATTTCACTAGGAACATAAGTCTTAAGAAGACTTGTCCAAGATTCCTCATGAGTCATTGGCGGTGTCTGGACTAGAACTCAGGCTTGCAACTCAGGTCTCTATAGGATCTTTCAAAATGTCTAGGGCTGAAGTAGTTCCTGGACTCCAGACAAGTGGCAGAGTGAGAGAGGTCCGAGGTTCATTCCCGGTGTTGCAGTGTGCTGCAAGCCCCATAGGTGGCGCCGGGGCACTCATTTAGCCCCAGGGATCGTCAGAAAACTTGTTAAGGGCTAACCCTAGGGGGAAATTTTGATGAGGAGCAGGATATTTGCATAGTCCTAAATTGTCTCTCCACTGACTGCTCATTGTTGTGCAGGAAAAGTTGTGAGGGAGGAAAAAATATACAGCAATTGGAGTATTATACAGTGGAGAAATCACATAACATCTTGATCATGTGCTCAAAATAACATCACCAATAAGGGGCAGGTGGACATACTGTGCACCCAGATGTAATGCTGTGAGAAGGACATGATGTCACCCATGATACAGTATTGCTGCCAAGGATGCAGAACCTGAATCTCATTACAGAGAAACATCAGGCAAACCCACAATGAAAGACGTTATATTAAGTAAAGGCAGGGGATAGGGGACTGGATTCTTTAAAAATGTCCCTGTCGTTAAAGACAAAGAAAAGCTAGGAAAATGTCCAGGTTCAAGGAGGCTAAAGAGACATGACAGCTAAATGCAATTCCTGACCCTATATTGGGTCCTGTAGTGGAGTGAGGAAAATGTAATAGAAAGGACATTCTTGGGTCAACTGACAAAATGGGGATATGGAGAGTAGATGAGATTATTGTATCAATGTTAAATGTACTAAAGTTGATAACTGAACTGTGGTTATATAATTGAATATTCTCGTTTTTAGAAAATATGCACTGGAGTATTTAGAAGTCAAGGTCCTTAGTGTATGTAACTCACCCACAAATGGTACAGAACAAAGCTGTAGATGTATATCTTTTTTTAATTAAACATGCATACACACACACACACATATATAGAGAGAGTGCTATTAATAAAGCAAATGGTGTAAAATCTTTTTTTTTTTTTTGAGATGGAGTCTCGCTCTGTGGCCAGGCTGGAGTGCAGTGGCGCGATCTTGGCTCACTGCAACCTCTGCCTCCTAGGTTCAAGTGATTCTCCTGCCTCAGCCTCCTGAGTAGCTGGGACTACAGGTGTGCACCACCACACCCAGCTAATTTTTAGCAAAGACGGGGTTTCACCATGTTGGCCAGGATGGTCTCGATCTCTTCACCTTGTGATCTGCCCACCTCGGCCTCCCAAAGTGCTGGGATTACAGGCGTGAGCCACCGTGCCTGGCTGATGTAAAATCTTAATAGGTGAATCTGGGTGAAGGACATATGGGGGCAGACACGGTGGCTCACATTTTTTTCTTTTAAAGTTAAATTATTTATTCAAATATATTGAGGGGACTCAAGTGCAGGTTTCTTACATGCATTTATTGTGTGGTGCTGAAGTCTGGGCTTTGGTGTATCCATCACCTGAATAGTGAACATTGTACCCAATAGGTTTTTCAACCCTCACCCCCTCCCACCTTTTGTATTCCCTAATATCTATTATTTCACTCAGTATATGTCCATGTGTACACATGTTTAGCTCCCACCTGGGTGGCTCACACTTTTAATTCCACAGCTTTGGGAGGCCAAGGTAGGAGGCTCACTCTAGCCCAGGAGTTTGAGACCAGCATGGGCAACAAAACAGGACTCCATGCTTGAACCCAGGAGGTTGAGGCTGCAGTGAGCCATGATCATGCCACTGTACTCCAGCCTGAAAGACAGAGCAAGATTCTGTCTCTATTTAAAAAAACAAAAAAACAGGCTGGGCATGGTGGCTCACACCTGTAATCCCAGCACTTTGGGAGGCCGAGGCGGGTGAATCACGAAGTCAGGAGTTTGAGACCAGCCTGGCCATCATGGTGATCCCCCGTCTCTACTAAAAATACAAAAAATTGGCTGGGCATAGTGGCGGGCGCCTGTAGTCCCAGGCTGAGGCAGGAAAATGGCGTGAACCCGGGAGGCGGAGGTTGCAGTGAGCCGAGATCGCACCACTGCACTCCAGCCTGGGCGACAGTGAGACTCCATCTCAAAATAAAACAAAAAACAAAGGATATATGGGCATTTTAAAAACTATTTTAATTTTCATAACTTTTCTATAAAAGTTTGAAGTTATTTCCAAACAAAAATTTAAGAAGAATAAAAGAATTAAACAATAGTGATCCCAGGTAGCTCCTCTGCCCACCCCTTTCTGTTACACAATTCAGAGCCAGCGTCCTGCCTCGTTAGAGTGTGTCTTCCGCTGTCTCCTTTGCTTCCATCATTTCTCTTCTGATAGGATTGTGTTTGGCTTAGAGGCCTAAGCTGGAGGGGAGGAGCCACTATTGTCTATGGCTGGAAAATGCCACTGAAGGTTTCATAAGAGGATGTGCAGAGGCAGTGGAGGCCTCTGAGTCCAGACTTCACCCCCACTCTGCCCTCAAGGAACTGAGGCCACTGGAAGCAGTCAGGCTCCAGCTGGGTTTCCCCGACCATTCTGAACAGGCACCTGGTATCTGAGGGGACTCAGCAGGACTGGGTGTGTTAAGAGCCTTGGCGGTATGGGGACAGGAAGGGCTTCACTATCTTTTCCCTCTGCTTACAGTTTCTTGGAGGTGGCACAATCCATCTTCTCTCATGAGCCTGGGCATGCCAGACACCACGAAACTTCAGGAGTCCTTCCAATCTTCCTGTGATCTACTTTGCATTAAATTATCAACATTGGATGTCAGTGACAGGGCGGTAGAACGTTTGCCCCAGATGTGGCCCTGCATTCTTTCCTGGGATGACTTCTGGTGGCTTTCCCTCTGTGTCTATATCCTTCACATGTGAGTAAAAGGGACTTCGTCCATCTATTCCCATGCTTGAGCCTGGCTGGGCTTGCCCCTCACTCAGCTCTTCTCACAGGACAGGGAGGTAGTCTCTGCTGTCAACTGGTGGAAAAATGATGAGGGTCTAGACTAAGGCTCCAGCTCCCTTTACTCATGTGTAAGCAAAGCAGAAAAAGATTACTCCCTTTTATCTGTGCTCAGTAAACGAAGTTCTCCACCGTGAAATTCCTTAGACATAGCCAAACAATGTTTCGACATATGAATCAAACTTCCAAGTGAATAGTGTTTTTATCATGAAACCGTCGCAAGACTATTAGCTTTAGTTACTCTCTTGGCCCACTTTGCTCCGGGAACCTTAAAGGCTGTTTAAGGCTGACTTGCACTCACAGCATGTTACAGGTAAGGGAGGCAGTGATGCCAATGGTCAGGAGCGCAGCCCCTGGACCAGACAGCCCGGATGGGACTCACACATACTAGCCATGTGGTCTTGGACAAGTCAATCCTGTAGACTGTACTTCTGTTTCTTCATCAGTACCCACCTCACGGAGTTATTGTGAGAATTAAATTAAAATACATAAAGCATTTGGGACAGTGCCTGGCATGGAATTGGTGATATTATTAGGTGGGTTAGTAGTACCTGTATTTTATTAAAACGAAGGCACATAAATGTAGGTAATTTCTTGGTTCTTCAGGAAGGTGCCAACAAAAGGTTTTTATGCCACAATATCAGGACTGCTACCTGGCTAACAGCAATAGTAATATGTAATCAGTGAGAGGCAGCCCAATTTCTAAGAAGTTAAAAAGTGAAAAAAAAAGTGGTTTTAGAATCTGTAAAATATGAAGCATTATTTAGTTGTTTTTACTTTTTAAATTGAGATATACACTTCACCTTTTTTTTTTTTTTTTAGAGAGACAGGATCTTGCTCTGTTGCTCAGGCTGGAGTGCAGTGGCGCCATCATAGCTCACTGCAGCCTCAAACTCCTGAGCTCAAATGATCCTCCCACCTCAGCCTCTCAGGTAGCTGGGCCTACAGATGCACACCATGATCTGCATGTGCATCAGCTAATGTAAAATTTTTTTTGTAGAGATGGAGTCTTGCTATGTTGCCCAGGCTGGTCGGAAACTCCTGGCCTCAAGCAATCCTCCCACCTTGATCTCCCAAAGCTCTGGGATTACAGGTGTGAGCCATTGCACCTGACCAGAATTTACCTTTTTAAAGAGCACGATTCAGTGGCTTCTAGAATATTCACAAGGTGCACAGCCATCAACACGGTCTAATTTTAGAATATTTTCATCACCCCAAAAAGAAACTACGTAACTGTTAGCAGTTTTCCCCATTTTCCCTGTCCTGGCAACTGCTAATTTATTTTTTATATGTATAAATTTGCCTGTTGTGGACACTGCATATAAATGGAATCATACCGTATATGGCTCTTTGCATCTGGCTTCTTTCATTTAGCATAATGTTATCAGGGGCATCCATATTGTAGTATGTGTCAGTACTTCATTTTTTTTATGGCCAAATAACATTCCATTGTATGGATATACTGTCTTTGCTTATTTTATTCATTATTTGTTGGACATTGGGTCATTTCCTCTTTTTGATTATTATGAATAATGCTGCTGTGAACATTCATGTATAAGTTTTTGTGTGGACATATGTTTTTTATTCTTTTGGTCACATACCCAGGAGCGGTCATATAATAACTCTATGTTTAATCATTTAATGAACTGCCAGAGTGTTTTCCAAAGCAGCTGTACTGTTTTACATTCCCATCAGCAATGTATGAAGGTTCCAATTTCTGCACATTCTCACCAACACTTGTTATTGTCCAGATTTTTTATTATAGCCCTCCTAGTGGGTGCGATGTGATATCTCATTATGGTTTTAATTTTATTTATTTATATTTTTAGAGATGGGAGTCTTGCTATGTTGTCCAGGCTGGACTCCAACTCCTGGGCTTGATCGATCCTTCTGTCTCAGCCTCCCAAGTAGCTGGGCTAGCACATATCAGTATGCCAGCTGGTATCTCATTATGGTTTGATTTGCATTTCTCTGATGATTAATGTTGTTGAGCATCTTTTCATGTGCTTATTGGCCATCCATTGGTAAATCTTCTTTGGAAAAATGTCTATTCAGATCCTTTGCCCATTTTAACATTGGGTTGTCTTTTTTACTGCTAAGCTGTAGGAGTATTTTAAAAAAATATAATTTAGATACTAGACCATTATCAGATATATGACTTGCAAATATTTTCTCCTTTTCTGTGGATCGTCTTCTAACTCTCTTGATAGTGTTCTTTGAAACATGAAAATTTTAATTTTGATGAAGTTCAATGTATCTGTTTTTTCTTTTGGTTGCTTTTGCTTTAGGTTCTGTATCTAAGAAACCGTTGCCTAATCCAAGGTCATGAAAATTTATACTTATGTTTCTTCTAACAGTTTTATAGTTTTAGCTCTTATATTCAGGTCTTTGACTCACTTTGAGTTAACTTCTATATTTGATGTGAGGTACAGTCTAAATTTATTTCTTTGCATGTGGATATCCAGTTTTCCCAGCACCGTTTATTGAGAAGACTATTCTTTCCCTCATTGAATTGTCTTGGTATCTTTGCCAATTGACCATAGGTAAGTGGGTTTATTTCTGGAATCTGAATTCTACTTCATTGATCTTTATGTCTATTCTTATACTGGTATGACCCAGTTTTTTTTTTTTCTTGCCCTGTCTTACAGTGCTGAATGATCTAGTCTTGATGACTTTAGCTCTGTAGTAAGTTTTGAAATCAGGAAGTGTGAATCTTCCAACTTTGTTTCTGTTTTTAAGATTGTTTTGCCTGTTCTGGGTCCCTTTCATTTCTTTATACATTTTAAGATCAGATTGTCAATTTCTGCAAAAAAGACCACTGACATTTTGATAAGGATTGTAATGAACTTGTGGATCAGTTTGGGGAGCACTGCTGTCTTAACAATATAAGTCTTCCAATCCATGAATGTTTGGCATGCACTAACTTGAACTCTAATTATTATCTGACAAGAAAGCTAGTCCAGATATCCAAAATTGATGAGACACACCAAGTTAATTGCCAAATGTTTATTTCATTTTTGAGCTGTTATGGATAAGGTATAGTTTTATTTTGTCAAAGTAGGGGAAGAGAACAAATGGAAAGACATATAAATTGGTAGAGCCTATCAGTAATCAGAGAAAGATCTCATTAGGAAAAAGTTACACTTTGTATTATATACTTTTCAAAGATATGTTCCCATTTAAGAAATCTTGCCAGACATGGTGGCTCACGCCTGTAATCCCAGCACTTTGGGAGGCAGAGGTGGGTGGATTGCATGAGATCAGGCATTCAAGACAAGCCTGGGCAACGTGAAGAAACCCTGTCTCTATAGCAAATACAAAAATTAGCCAGGTGTGGTGGTGCATGACTGTGGTCCCAGCTACTCGGGAGGCTGAGGTAGGAGGATTACTTGAGCCCAGGAGGTTGAGGCTGTAGTGAGCTGAGATTGTGCCATTGCACTCTAGCCTGGGTGACAGAGTGAGACCCCTCAAAGAAAAGAAAGAAAAAGAAGAAAGAAAGAGAGAGAGAGAGAGAAAGGAAGGAAGGAAGGAAGGAAGGGGGAAATCTTAATATAACACATAATAAGCTAAGCATCTCTTAATTTGTTTTATGGAATGAAAAAATTATAGGGTTTTTTTTGTTATATAGAGTCTCTTAAAATTTTTTGAATAGCAGAGATAACCTTATTACATGTATAAATCCACTGCTTCTTGACTTAAGAAAACTGAAATCCTCCACTCACCCCACAAATTCTGGTATTTTTACAATAGGGTCAGCAAATCCTGGGACAAACTGTACTAATTGCTTCTGTGTTTTGTTTTATTGACAAATTTCAATTCTGGCTTCTCTTCCTTAAATGTCAAGCAGTTTGATATTGCATTGTAACAATAACGTTACCATAGAGTGTTTAAGTAAATAACATATAGCACTTGTTGCTAGTGGTGACATTAATAATTACAGGGATAGAATGAGAGCAGATTGTTGTATAGTAACGGCCCCTAGAATAGACTGAGTTCCTTGGCAGTGTTAAGAATTTGTCATGTTAGTGGTCATGGTGTTGCAATCCATTATCTCACTGAGAATTGATGACTTCAGCTATGGTTACTAGCCCTAATATTTAATGTAGCTGCCTTGAGCGACTTGAATGCTTAAAAAAAATGGTCTAAGGCATTATGTCAAGAGTTACCCAAGGAAACCTAGGATCTTTCTGTATATATTTTAGGGAATCGAGTATATTTTACTTTCTTGTATAGTTCCTCTGGTTCCTCTCTATAAATATTAGTGACATTTGCACACTGGAAATGAATATTTGTCTATTTGTCAGTCTATCTATCCACCTATTTACCTATCCATCTATATCTTACCATGTTCAACAAAATCTCTTTCCTTCAACCCTCCCCTCCCCTCTCTGCCTCCCTCCCTCCCCTCCTTTCTTCTATTAATTCTTTTATTTATTAACTCCATAATGTTTACTAACTAGCTACTAAGTTCCAGGCACTGTTCCCAGGCACTAGGAACAAGCAATAAACAAAGAGGCCAGGTCCCTGCTGTCTTGGAGCTTAGCTTCTGGTGAGGAAACAGGGAAAATAAAGAGCTTGTTTTAGATGGTGTTAAGTGCTCTGAGACAACAAAGCAGGGTGATGTGATAGACTGTGGGGTGGGGCTATTTTAGGTAGGAAGATCAAGGAAGGCTTCTCTGAGGAGGTGGCAAGTGAGCTGAGATCTGAATGATGAGAAGGAACCAGGCTTTAGGAGATACAGGGGCAGAGCCTTACAGAAAGAGGAAACAGCAAGTGCAAAATATTTGAAGCAGTTTAAAATAATAGTCAGTACAACAAAAAGATAAAAGTAGGAATGAGGGGAAATGAAAGAGAACAGGAGAAAGTTGTGATGCAGATATGCAAACTGTAGTTTGACAAAGTTATTAAAATTGAGTTGCAAATTTGGGTGCTATCTTCCTGAAGTCAAGGTGAAAGGGAAATGTGATCAATCTCATGGTCTGCTTTCTTTATTAAAAAAAGTCATGTCAGTTTCTCTAGGGAAAAAGTGTTCTTTTCTGGCACTCAGGATTGAAATATATTTCTTGCATTGACCCTCCTATACGGGGCATATAGGTGATTATATTAGTGTGGTAGGCCCCTCCTCCCAACTCCAAAGAGTTGGAAATACTATATGGAATTCAAAGGCAGGAATACAATTCATTTCAGAAAATACCATGACTAGGAATGGAAAGCCGTCAGAACTCTTTTGGTCTCTTCTTTCTGTATATCTTTTTCAGCCTTCCTCTTCTTTTCCCATTTTCCCTGCAGCCTGGCTTTCTACATTGCTTTTGGCCACATGGTGGGAAAGTATGTCTGTTGAAGGCTTCTGATTTTCTATTTTAAAGATGTTCTGTGTTTCCACATTAGCTTCCTAGAGAAAGATTGCAATCTCTCTGTCCTAATTCCAAATTCCTGGGAGAGGGATATGATTGCCTTATCTTGAGTCAGGTCCCTACTATTGGAGCAATCAACTGTAGTCAGGTGGCCTGGTTACCTTGTCTGAGGATCCAGGTCTAGTTTCCAGAAAAAGACATCTGGTTATACTGCTGTTTTTGAAATGCAACTTGCATTGAAGGTCAAGAAACCATTAGTGGGTAGAAACTAGCCTTAAAAAGAGATTAAAAGTATCAGGGTGCATAGCATGTGATGTGGGTAATGTTTTATAAAACTTGTTTCATTTACTAAATATATGAGTACCTGTGTATTGAGTGATAATGTAAAACATATTTATTTTGATGGATTGTGCTCAAAAAAGTTTGAAAAGCTCTGCGCTGGACAAGCTGGTAGGATTCTGCTACAAAGATGTAATAAACAACATTCTTAAAGTAATCCCTCTAGTAAATGCAGAGGTATCATGAATTTTTTTAAACAGCATCTCTTAATATAAGCAAATGGCATAGTGCTAAACATGACTTGGTTCATGCAATGTTGCCAACGGTGAAGACAAAATGGTACAAACATACAGTTTTTTGGTGGTCTGGTTTAATCCAGGGCAAAACGCAGTCCAGTGGTTGCTTTTGTTTTTAGAGGCAGGGCTGGCTATGTCGCCCAGGCTGGAACCTGTGAATATGTTACCTTATATGCAAAGGGCACTTTACAGATGTGATTAAGGACCTTAAGATGCGGGAGATTATCCTAGGAGATCTTTTTTAATCTCCTAGAGCCTGGTACCTAGTAGGACGTCATTATATGGTAGGTTTCTTGCAGCCCTTTGGTGGCCAGGTAGTTTTTAATTTTGTAGAGATGGGGGCCTCCCAGTGTTACCCAGGCTGGTCTTGAACTTCTGGGTTCTAGCAATCCTCCTGCCTTGGCCTCCCAAAGTGCTGAGATTATCGGTGTGAGCCACTGCGCCCGGCCTAGTCCAGTGGTTTGAAGTTTGAAGTTACCAGTCACCCATTATGACCATTTTGAGTTTTTTGATGAAAAGGACTGGATGAACTAGTTGCCAAATGTAGCCTCCCCCGAAGCAATACAATGAATCCACCTGCCGTATCAAGTTACTGGCTATCAATCAGCTAATTTTAGAGAACATCTGCCTCAAATAATTAGGCTAGTATTAGGAGAGTTGAATTTCTTCCCCACACTGCTAGAGAGTAGGACCCAGGACCACAGAAGCCATTCTTAGTTCAGGCCAGTAAATACATTAGCATACAGCTGGACCCTCTGTTGCATGGGGCAGGCATTCAGATGGTTCTCATAGGTTTGTAGCTAAAACATATCCCTGAGAATCGTCATTTGATCTGTCAGGAGTCTTCTCAGCCCCTGCGTGGGGACAAACACCCTCCCCCCAGCATTTTCCCGTCTTTTTAGGCCAGCTCCCCACTCACTGCAGTTCAAGGCTTGCAGCCCTTGCTCCAACTGGCTGGGGCTTGATGGGCTTGACTCCGAGTGAGAAGAGTGGCCTGAGCATCAATCACCTCAGTACTGTGATATTCCTGCTACAAAGCTTTATTTTACGTAACACGTGGCTGCTCCTCTGTGCCCCAGACGGGGTTTTAGGTCCTTCTCTAAGGCGAGCTGCCCTTGGGCGCGCCTGGGGCTGCACCTGGGTCACGTGGGCGCCGTTGTGCAGCCGGCACCTCCCGGCCAACCCCGCGGCTTGGAGAAGGGGCTTTGCACCCGCCGCCGCTGTTTGTCCTCGCGCGGCCCCCGTCCACTGCCCTGCGGTTGCTCTGCGGGCTGAAAAGTTTCTCCCGGTGCAGAATTCCGGGCTCAGCGACAGCCTGCGCCGAGTGTGCGCACCTGTCGGAGACCCGCCAGTCCGCCGGCCGCGGTGAGTGGTCCCTGGAGTCACTGGCTCAGGGCGGGCCCGCGGGATGGGGCGGGCGGCCCGGGGCGCAGCCGGCCAGGCCGTTGCTATGGCAACGCGGTGGAAAAACGGGCCTCTGGGTATCTCGCTGCCGGCCGGCTGGTAACCCCCCAGCGGAGGGACCGGGCCGAGCCCGCGGACCCCTCCGAGTGTCTCCTGGGGCCCAGCCGTTGGTACCCCATTTCCCCCGGGTCCGGTATTTGGGGTGGTCTCTGTCTGCCCCGGTTCATCTCCACCGTCTCACCTTCACCCCATCTTGGGACGTGAAACTTTTTGAAAGTTTAGAAGCGAACTTACTGTGGGGTAAGTGTGTGGGAAACATCCTTAGAAGTTCTGAAGTTGTGTTTCTTTTTTTTAAACTGCTAGAGCCTGGTACCTAGTGGGACCCCATTATATGGTAGGTTTCCTGTTGCCCTTAAGATAGTCTCTTGCACCTAGAGGCTGCACATAGGAGGTGAAAGGATGACATAAAGCAGCCCCGTACTGGCTCTGTGGACAGGTAATTTAAGAACTCTCCCTCAGCTTCCTAAATGTAGATTATAATTTCTCACAAGGTCGTGGGTTTCAGTGAACCTATATGTGAAGCTGTTTTGTGAACAGTACATGTGAAAAGCACTTGAGCGTTAGTAAGGGATATTTGCATGCTAAGAGTGGTCTGGTGCTCCCCGTCCCATATCACCAGCTAAGAAGGACCTTCTTTTTTGCCTGACCACCAAATGACTCCAATATCCAACCAGAAAATAGGATAGTCCTGCCTTGAAAGAGGGCTCTGTGAATGGAAAGGAACATCAACAAGTTTTGAACCCAAACTCTTTCCTTGTTCTCCAGGCCCGTGCCTTTAGACAGTGATGGATATGCAGATATATCGCGCATTTAAATTTTTAGCTCGTGTAAATCTCTGTTGCTATCTCAATGGGTCATACCAACCTCTAGTTTGCAAATCAGAAATCTTGGCCTCATCCTTGACACCTCGCACTTTCTTCCTTTCCATATCCAAACAATCATCAAGTTCTATTCATTTTATCTTCAAACCAAATCTCAAATCCATTTGAGTATCTCTGTCTCTGCTACTATTACCCTAGACCAATCTACCATGATCTGTTGTCCAGTAGTAGCCTCTTAACTAATCTAAAGGTATTTATCCTTTCCTTTCAATATTCCCATCCATTCTTTGCCCTGCAGCAGGAGTAGTATTTTCACAACTAAAATTTGATTATGCTACCCCCCAACCTCCTCTAGCTCAAAATCCATCATGGCTTCTCATTATTCTTAGAATAAAGACAAAACTCTTAATGTGGCCAAAAAGTTGGGTGACCATGTACATGACCATCCAGACCAAGATATTTTTGAGAGTTCGAGGCTGCAGTGAACTTGCCACTGCATTCCAGCCTGGGCAATGGAGTGAGACCCTGTCTCAAAAAAAAATAAAAAAACAGTTCCCAAAAATGAAATTATAGGGAGGTCAAAGGGCAGGAACATTGTGAATGCTCTCAAAACATCGAAACATTGCCATACTGTTTTTCAGAAAGATTATGCCAATTTACATTGCCACCGTCAGTTTTATGACACCCATATTAGCATTATTATTTTAAAAACTTTGCTAATTTCACAGATAAAAATGGCACCTCCTTATTTTAACTCACATCTGTCATTATTAATATGTTTTAAGTGAAATCTTATTGTTAGCTATTAGCAAAAGCTTTTTGATGGTTTTTGTATTGGAGTCTTAGTTTTTTCTTACCAGTTGTTTAATTGTTTGATTTTTATCTTCCCCAGCCCAGGCAGGAACCACTATGCTGGGCTTTGGCTGGAATTAGTTGAATAAGTTATCCCTGGAGCCTGGGGCGAGTTGTTACTTCCCTGCAGGCTACAGGGCAAGGCAGAAAACTGTTTCATAGTCTGTTTCCTGGGGCAAAAACTGGAATCAAGACTGGGCTGATTGCTTGTTTTTCTGAACTTTGAGTCAAACAGGGCTTGGAAGAAAGAGAGCATCCAGGTAGGAGGCAAAGACCAAGACAGACAAGGAAAGGCAGAGTAATTTTTTTTTTAATTTTATTATTATTATACTTTAAGTTTTAGGGTACATGTGCACAACATGCAGGTTAGTTCCATATGTATACATGTGCCATGTTGGTGTGCTGCACCCATTAACTCGTCATTTAGCATTAGGTATATCTCCTAATGCTATCCCTCCCCACTCCCCCCCACCCCACAACAGTCCCTGGTGTGTGATGTTTCCCTTCCTGTGTCCATGTGTTCTCATTCTTCAATTCCCACCTATGAGTGAGAATATGCAGTGTTTGGTTTTTTGTCCTTGCGATAGTTTGCGGAGAATGATGGTTTCCAGTTTCATCCATGTCCCTACAAAGGTAATTTTCAAAGCTGGAGGAGAGAAGCTGCAACCTCTTTTTTTGCAGAGACATTGCGGTTTCCTGTATGGAGGATGAGGGAATGCTGGGGGCACTGTCTTGGCCATACAGTGAACCATGTGAACTCTTGTTATAGTGAGAGTATTAACCCTTCGTCATTTGGGGCATCTTCCCCACAATTGCCCTTTCATTTATGATGGCTTATGATTTATAGAAATTAAAACAATTTTATGTTGTCTGCTTGTTAATCTTTTCCTTTATGATCCATTGCTTTTACGCTTAGAAAGTCCTTCCCATGAAGAGACCAGCTACCTATCTGCATTTTCTTTAAAAATGTTATTTTGTAATATTAGCAAATCAAGAGGTAAAGAAAATAAGTACAAGAAAGCTGAGTAGTGTGATGTCCAATAAAAAATCTAAAAGAGGATGATACAAAGGTGGGTACTCGTGTCTTCTTCATGTGTCCTTGAATCAAGGAGCAGAAAAGAGCTTATACTGCTGTAAGGGAGATTTAGGAAGGCTGTCTCTGACAGTTGTTTGAACTGATGGCTGTTTCAACCATTGACTTATCTGTCACACGTTGTAGAAGCTTATCCTTAGAGACTTACAGAAGAAGTATCCTTCTGAAAGAGAAGATGTGTTCTCTGGAGCTATTTTCTACTTTTATTCATCTGATGATACTATGTAGTACTTCAAACACCTATAGTTGTTAAATACTGAGAAATAACTTCCCTGTTTTTAAAAAGAGACTTACAAAATGGAAAATGCAATATAAAATTAATTGCTGACTTTTTTGGCATTGTTAAATTGGTATGCCTTAAGATGCGATTCAGAAAGAATTTCCTTTCCTGCTGAACTCCAGTATATATGAGTGAGGCTAACTGTGTTTTGTTTGGATTTATCTTAGAGCTCTAGAATGTGAAGAATGGGCATCTTATTTTTAAGCTTTAATATATATTTTCTTAGTTTATTAACTAAAATAAATTGTAAGTGCATAAGAAATTACTAACCTCACAAATCCCACAGTTTTATTGACTTGAAGTTGTTTTATTTTAAAAAGTTTACAAGGTGAGGGGCAGTAATTTTAATAATTAGAATGTCCTTTCTACATATATGGACTAATTATCTTTCTTAACCATTGACTTGTCAGTGAAGTTCAGTAAGGATGTGGTTTACATTAGAAATAAATTAAGAAAAAACAATTTTCTATTGATAAAGATAAGTTCACTTAGGAATACTATTATCCTTATTTTTGATAAAGTTATTTAGTAAACAATATTGACTATTATAAACATTCATTCAATAAATATTTATGGGGTGCTGATCATATGCCAGGCACAGTTCTAGAATATTGTATTATATGTTTACTTTTATAGTGTATGTGTAAAAAGTTTGCTTGTGATTCAGTATTCTTAACATGAGCTGATGATTATTTGGAAAAACTGGCCATTTGGACTCACACATATTAATTCAGAGACTCATAAAAAAGCCTTACGTAAAATGTTAATGCAGTCTCCAAGGTTGAGATGTTGGTTATTGAAAGTTCTACTCTGTTACTTTGTCATTATCATGGTGGAATGCTTGTCTACCACAGAGCTCACTGGGAGAAAATCCATTTACCATTTACCAAAGGCAGTGCATCTGAGGCTCAGGTTCTTAGACTTGAATTCTTTCAAGTTTGTTTGCTGCTAGCAAATCTAACATCGAGGCTCTTATCTTTGCTCTAAGGAGCTCAGCTTCCAAACAGCTGAAATATTGGGAAGAAAGCAAATATTTATCCTTGGATATTTTTCATGGAAATCCAATTAATTTTTCTCTCAATCTTCTTTATTTTGGTTTTCAGTTTATGGCAATAAAATTCAATATTTTTCATATTTGTTATTATAAAAGTAAACACCAATATCCAGCAGTGATTTTCAAGTTAACTTCTTTATTGCTTTTCTGTCATATCTCTTTGATGGTACATATAATATGTAAACTTGGCTCCTTTTTATAGTTGCACCTCACTTTTTTTATTGAGATATAATTTACATACCATAAAATTCACCCTTTTAAAGTGCACACTAGTTAAATAGTAGTGACACTAGCAATCATAACTACTATTTAATTCCAGAACATTTTTATCACCCTCAGGAAGAATCCTCACATCCAATAGCAGTCATGCCTTGTTCTCCCTTTCCCTGAGCCCCTGGCAAACATCAGTCTTTATCTGTAGATTTGCCTGTTATGGAAATTTTATATAAATGGAATTATACAATATGTGGCCTTTTGCATCTGACTTCTTTCCCTTAGCATGATGTTTTCAAAGTTCATTTCTGTTGTAGTATGTATCAGTACTTTATTCCTTTTTATGACCAAATAGAATTCCATTGTATGGTACATTTTGTGTATCCATTCATCAGTTGATGACCATTTGGGTTATTTTCTTTTTTTTTGGTATTTTGAATAATGCTGCTATGAATATTCATGTACAAGTTTTTGTGTGAACATATATTATCAGTTCTTCTGGGTTCTCTAGGAGTGGAATTGCTGATCGTATGGTAACTCTGTGTTTAACTTTTTGAGGAACTGTCAAATTGTTTTCCAAAGTGGCTGTACCATTTTGCATTCCCAACGGCAATGTATGAGCATTCTCATTTCTCCATAGCTTCACTAGAACTTGTTACTGTCTTTTTGAGTATAGCCATCCTAGTATGTGTGAAGTGGTATCTCATTATGGTTTTGATTTACATTTTCCTGATAACTAATGGTGTTAGGATCTTTTCATGTGTTAATATGAAGATATGCAATTTGTATATCTTCTTTGGAGAAATACCTATTCAAATATTTTGTCTGTTTTTAATTTGGGTTGTCTTTTTCTTGTTCAGTTGTAAGAGTTCTTTATGTAGTCCGGATATTAGACTATTCTCAGATATTTGATTTGCAAATATTTTCTTCCATTTTGTAGATTGTCTTTTTACCTCCTTGGTAGTGTTCCTTGAAGCACAAAAATTTTTAATTTTATGAAGTTCAATATATTTTTTATTTGGTTTAGGTGCCATATCTAAAATACATTATTGCCTAATACAAGGTCATAAAGATTTACCACTATGTTTTCTTCTAAAAGTTCTGTAATTTTAGCTCTTATATTTAGATTTTGGATCCATTTTGAGTTAAGTTTTGTTTATGATTTGAAGTAGATGTCCAGATTCATTCTTTTATGTGTAGCTATTCAGTTGTCCTGACTGTTTGTTGTACACTTCATTTCACTTGTTAAAGTCAACTCGTCAGGCATGTTTTGGGGAGACAAAATTTGGCTGATTCCTTGTCACTCCAGTTACATGCCACCATCCTACACAGAGGACATTCCAGGCAAAGGAACATTCCATATTGCTAACAGGACTTTGGCTCCAAATTTCCATCTAGGGATATAATTTGGTGCATTAGTGCTATGGATTGAATGTTTGTGTCCCCTCAGAATTCATATGTTGAGGTCTAAATCCCCAGTGTGCTGGTATTTTGGGCCATTTGAAAGATAATTAGGTCATGAGGGTGGAGCCCTCATGAATGCTGTTAGTGACCTTATAAGGGAATGGAAAGATGAGAGTGCTCTCTGTTCTCTACCATGAGAGGACAGAGCAGGAAGATGGCCATCTGCAAACTAGGAAGAGTACCCCCACCAAGCATCAGATCTGCTGGTGTCCTGGTCTTGGACTTCTCAGCCTCCAGAACTGTGAGAAATAAATGTTTGTTGTTTAAGCCACCCAGTCTATGGTATTCTGTTAGAGCAGCCTGAACTAAGATAATTGGCCTGTTGAGGATGTAAGCTTCAAGGCTGCTTCCCTGTCTAATCTCACTTAAGGCCTCTAAGTAGACCCATATGGGTGCCCCTTTGCCATCTTTTTTTCAGGATTGTAACCTGATTCCCGCTTGACCCCTTGGGGAAAGGGAAGAGCAAAGGAAGGATTGCCCTTTCCCAAGAAGAGGCCTTAAGATTTTCCCTACAGCCTCATGGGAGAAACAGGAAGGGCCATGTGAACCTTTCCACAAAGAAAAGATGATGATCTTCAAGGGAAGAAAGAACTTTTCATCTTTTTTTTTTTTTTTTTTTACCTTCCATTGAAAACTCCTCCCTCTGGAATTGTGATCCAGTTGAGCCGTGGCTTGTTCAGAACTCCTTTTCTTGGAGTGGAATGATAGGGAGGTGTGCCTCGTGTTCTTTCCAGAGGTTCAAGCGTGCAGTGTGGAAAAGCTTAGGATTGGTGAGCTCAGGCTCACCTGGGTTCAAATTTTGGTCCTGCATTTCTAGCTTTGGTTCCTTTTTCTATAAAATGGGGCTTATAATTACAATTTCCCAGAATTCTGAAAAGCAAATATCATAGGTAAAGTGCCTAACAAATATGTAGCCCTTCAATAAATACTAGTTTCCCATCCCATTGAAAAATGTTTTCAAATTTTCTAATAAATTTGTATAAATGCAATTAAAAAAACTCCATAGAGTCTTAGAGTTTGAAGGGAGCTTCATACTTGATGTCATAAATAATACTTTGCTGAATCTGTTATAGCTCTTTTCATGTTTGTTCGCTTAATTTATTGTTTTTGTTGATCACCTACTGTGCATCAGACACCATTCTGTCTGTCACAAATCACTGAGGGAGAGATGCCAGATACACATGACACACAGCCTGGCATGCAGTTGCCACTGCACTCATCCTCACTTCCCTAATTTGAGTCATTCACTTACTAAATTATGAGCCAGATACTATGCTAGGTTTTTGGGATACAAAGATAAAAAGATACACTCCATGTCGAGCTCATAATCTGTTGTGGAGGGAAACAAGCTAATAATTTTTTTTTTTTTTTTTTTTTTTTTTTTAGACAGAGTCTTGCTCTGTCACCCAGGCTGGAGTGCAGTGGTGTGATCTTGGCTCACTGCAACCTCCACCTCCCGGATTCAAGTGATTCTGCTGCCTCAGCCTCCCGAGTTACTGGGATTACAAGTGCCTGCCAACATGCCCAGCTAATTTTTGTAGTTTTAGTACAGACGGGGTTTCACCATGTTGGCCAGGCTGGTCTGAAACTCCTGACCTCAAGTGATCCACCCATCTTGGCCTCCCAAAGTGCTGGGATTACAGGTGTGAGCCACTGTGTCCAGCCCAAGCCAATAAATTATAATCCCCTGAGGCAGGTGCTATAACAGACACATTGGTTGGTGTGAAGGGAGATGGAGGAGAGCACTTCTGTGTCTGCTTGGGGGAAGTCAGGGAGGGATGAGCAAAAGGGAAGAGGAAGCTGAGGCAGAAGGAGCAGCAGACTCAAAGGCCTAGAGGTGGAAAAGCATGTAAGTCTTAGAGGAAGTTGAGATCTAGAAGAATAATGGCAGACAATGACTGGACAGGCTAGCATGCCATTTTACAGAGACCCTGTTATGCCAGGTTGGGTTGGGATTTGAAGTCAGGTGTTTTTTTTTTTTTTTTTTTCCGAGATAGGATCTGGCTCTCTTGACCAGGCTAGAGTGGAGTGGCACGATCTTGGCTCACTGTAGCCTTTGCCACCTGGGCTCAAGCCATCCTCCCATCTCAGCCTCCTGAGTAGCTGGGAGCACAAGCATGCACTGCCACACCTGGCTAAATTTTTTGTTTTTTGAGATGGAGTTTTGCTCTTGTTGCCCAGGCTGGAGTACAGTGGCGCAATCTTGGTTCACTGCAAACTCCACCTCCCAGGTTCAAGCGATTCTCCTGTCTCAGCCTCCCAAGTAGCTGGGATGATAGGTGTGTGCCACCACACCTGGCTAATTTTGTATTTTTAGTAGGACGAGGTTTTACCATGTTGGTCAGGCTGGTCTCGAACTCCTGACCTCAAGTGATCTGCCCGCCTTGGCCTCCCAAAGTGCTGGGATTACAGGTGTGAGCCACTGCACCTGGTGCTAATTTTTAATTTTTGTATTTTTTGTAGAGACAGGGTTTTTGCCATGTTGCTGAGGCTGGTCTTGAACTCCTGGGCTCAAGCAATCTGCCTGCCTCAGCCTCCCAAAGTGCTTGGAATACAGGCGTGAGCCACCAAGCCCTGCCTGAGGTCCATTTTGTTGGATAAGACAGAAACACAATTTGTAGTTAATTAACATCTGTCTTGGACTTGCTCTTCTTCTAACGCTAGCTTAAAAAAATCATTTTTGGCTGGGCGCGGTGGCTCATGCCTGTAATCCCAGCACTTTGGGAGGCTGAGGCGGGTGGATCACCTGAAGTCAGGAGTTCGAGACCAGCCTGGCCAACATGGGGAAACTGCATCTCTACTAAAAATACAAAAATTAGCCGGGTGTAGTAGTGGGCGCCTGTAGTCCCAGCTACTCAGGAGGTTGAGGCAGGAGAATTGCTTGAACCTGGGAGGCAGAGGTTGTAGTGAGCCGAGATTGCGCCACTGCACTCCAGCCTGGGTGACAGAGTGAGACTCCGTCTCAAAAAAAAAAAAAAAAAAAATGCTGGGTGCAGTGGCTCACACCTGTAATCCCAGCATTTTGGAAGGCCACGGCAGGTGGATCACCTGAAGTCAGGAGTTTGAGACCAGCCTGGCCAACATGGTGAAACCTCGTCCCTAATAAAAATACAAAAATTGGCAGAGCTTGGTGGTGCATGCGTGTAATCCCAGCTCTTTGGGAGGCTGAGGCAGGAGAATTACTTGAACCCAGGAGGCGGGGGTTGCAGTCAGCTGAGATCGCACCACTGCACTCCAGCCTGGGGGACAGTGATACTCCATCTCAAAAAAAAAAAAAAAAATCATTTTCTTTGTCTTTTGTCTGTAGCATTTTCTCTAAGAATCTGCTATTTTGGGATTTTGCCTTCCTCATTGTCTTCATATAGCATCCTGTCTAGATTAACTGCCTGTTTACCTTAGGGTTATGACCTTTCACTTCATGGAGAGCTCCCTCTGTGGCTGTATGCTTTGTCTGAAAGGGTCTATCTCCTGTTTGCCCTGGCACTTGGTAACAGAAAAGACCTTTCCTATTGGATGGCTGAGACCTAGTAGAGAGAGAGCTGTTGGAGAAGGGCCAGGCATAAGGAGGAAGGCGCCTAAACCAGAGGTTTATCCTCTGGTGTTGCTGACGTTGGCATTATCATAGTCTTGCTCTGATCATTGCCCATAGTCTCTCACTGATTGGCTTGCTCCAAGGCTGTGTCTCTCAGGCCTCTCTTGCCCTGCCTTATTTGTGTTATTAATAACTGAAAGTTGAGGAGTGGCCCAGCAGCTCAGGAGTTCTAGTCTTGTTGAGCAGCCATCCTTAATGTATCCAGTTAACAGTATTCATTCTCTCAAGACACAGTCCAGGCTGGCACTTCAGACATGAAGGAATATGTATGAAGTTCCAGAGGTCACTTATGTAGGACTTTGTTCTGGAATCCTCCCTACATTATGAATCATTGAAGGACCCGGCCTTGAAAGAAGATTGGTTAGAGGTGGGAAGGGAGGGTATGATAGCTATTTGCAAGTATTTGGAGAGTTGTTCCAAGTATAGCAAAGTCCCAGATTTTGGTCTTAGGTTCTGGCCCTACCATTTACTAGCTTTGTTTTCTTTCTTTTTTTTTTTTTTTTTCATCTAAATTCCTTTCAGCCTAAAATCATTCTGCGATTCAATAAATGTAACAGGCAGTGACTGTACTGATTAGATCTGGATCCTTGAGGCAGATTGAGTGGCAGCATTTTAGCTTTTTGAGCTCAGCCACTAGTGAATTGAAATTGTAATAGCTGTATTCGTTATACTCAGAATTGAATGTTATTAATAAGCCATTCCTTAGTCCCATATTATCTCTGTTTTACAGACTAATTTTTTTCAATAGGATTTCCTTAATTGTCTCAAATGTTTCATTCTTAGAATACTTAAAATGTCTGATTGCTGTAATCTCCAGGGAAACTAAACAGTCTTAATTACATCTAGTGTTTTTTATTTTATTTGATTCTTTAGATGAGATTAAAAGTAACTTATTTCAGAGGATATGATTATTCTCTATATAACTATGCTTATTGTAAATTTAGAAAGTTTTGGTCATATTACACCCACATTATCATTATTTCAGATAATTTAGGCTGTGGACTAGCATATAGGGGGGTTAACTTCTTTCAGAATGAATAACTTGATGACACTATTTTTTACCACCCTCCCCGTATCTTTCTTATCATTGTCTTTGATAGCATTGATTTATATTTTCTGTTCATCTAGTCATTTCCATAGTACATGTCAAGACTTGCTCCCTATGAAGCAGAGGGTTCTTGAGTTTGATCCTTTCCTACATATCTGCTTTCTCATGAGTAATGTTATCAATAATTTGTGGAATTTTACTTTTAGTACTAGATGCCATTTTTTTTTAGTAGAAATATTGGCAAATTGGATTTCACCCAGAAGGTGAAGGGACTGGGATAGTGAAGACCTTTAAATGATATGAAGGACAGGTGAGTGTGTTGGGGTTGTAGAAAAGACAACCTCTAGGAGGTATGACCAAGGGGACACATGATCATTTTCTTCATATCTGAAAGGCAGAAACCTGTTAAAGAAGGACTAGACGTATCTGTAAGAATGACATAATTACGTATGACCTGTAAGAAGTTTTATAAGGAGATAATTTTGGCTCATTATGAGGAAAAACATTCTGGTGGTGTCCAATGAAATAAGCTTCTTGAGGAAATTAAGGAATGGGTTCCCAGTCATTGGAAAACTTTAAACAATGTCCATGTCAGTATCCATCAGATCTTCTATGAAAGAAATTTCATGCTGTGCCAGATGTCCTCAGATATTCTTTGTAATTTCTAGATTCTGTGGTTGCTTCTCCACTACTGATGCTATGTTGTGGCCACTTCTCCACTGTAGGGTTTGCTTTGGTGACTTATCTCATTGGTTTTATGTTTCTGAACATACCATAGCCCAGAAGGCTGTGATATGGATGAAAATTTTAAAAGATAATTAAGAGGATATATACCATGTACATATATACTTATACACATACATACTTGATATGATTAGGCTTTGTGTCCCCACCCAAATCTCATATTGAATTGTAATTCCCATAATCCCCATAATCCCCACGTATCAAGGGAGAGACCAGGTGGAGGTAATTGAATCATGGTGACAGTTTCCCTGATGCTGTTCTCGTGAGACTGAGTGAATTCTCATGAGATCTGATGGTTTCATAAGTGGCTCTTCCCCTCTTCCTGCTGCCTTGTGAAGAAAGTGTCTGCTTCCCCTTTGCCTTCTGCCATGATTGTAAGTTTCCTGAGGCCTCCCAAGCCATGCTGAACTGTGAGTCAATTAAACCCCTTTCCTTTATAAATTACCCAGTCTTGGGCAGTTCTTTATAGCCGTATGAAAACAGACTAATACAATACCTATTTGTTTTGTATAATTGAGAATTACACTTTTTAGTTTTGTCCTTAGTTCCTGTTGTTAAAAAATATCAAGCTATATGCTGTAGAGATCTCTGAGTATCATAAGAAAATGTTTTTTTGTTTATCAAATTGATTTTTTTAAAAATACAGCTCTGTTAAGTCTTCAAAATAGAGCCAACAAAGAGCTTTTATGGAAGTAGGAATTAAAATTGGTGGTTTTATTGTGAGAGTATTTGAGAAAGACCTATAAATAAAATAGTATGGACATTCAATTAGTGTCTTAGATATTTAAGAATAGGAAGTGGGAGCACTATAGTCATTTTGGAAAATTGTGTTTTCAGACTCACTTAATAACTGGATTGTTGAGTGCTGTATTAGTGGTTTCAAATGGCATTACAATTCATTGCAGTTCTGACCTGGGGTAATAGATGTAGAGGTAAAATGAAATCCATCTTCCTGAAGAAGTACTAGTTATATGAAATGATTAAATCTGATTTTAAAATAAAGCATTAAATGCAAACCGCTAAGAGTTCAAAAAATACACGTTCCGTGAAAGAAGATTTAGTGCATTTAGCTTTTGCTCATTGTGGATGAAATGCCTTTAAACTGATGCAAGTTATCCTGCCAATAAATTAATCACATAGGGGAAGTTACGTATCTTCTCTTTGAAATGGACCCATCCTTCATGGACAGAGAGTTCTCTTTCAGGACAGATTTTCTTCCAAACACTTAGAAGACTCCCTCTAAGTGTTTGGTGTCTTTTCCTAAGTCTTTTCTGGGATGAGTCTTAGCTCAGTGCAGGTTCTTTGATTTGGTATTGTGAAACCGAAAGTCATCATGCTGGAAGAATTCCCTGGTGACTCTCTCACTCAGGCTTAGCCTCGACCTTCCAGACTCAAGTGATCCTCCTGCTTCAGCCTCCTGAGTAGCTAGGACCACAGGCATGCACCACCATGCCTGGCTATTTTTTTTATATATATGGGGGTCTCACTATGTTGCCCAGGCTGATAAGTTATCTCATATGCAGAAATATACATTTCCAAACATATATACAGAAATATTATGAGATGTGAATAGGAAAATTGTACAACACTGTGTATATCGGTTTCTAAGAAAATGGGCTGAGTTAAGGCTTTCTGTGTGAGGGGGATTGGGTTAAGGTTTGGCTCAAGGTGAGGAATGTGAGTTGATGGGAAGGAAGGAAAAGGCATCCCAGGAGGAATTTAGAGGGAGGGATGAATGAAGAGGCAGATACCTTTGCTTGGCTGAGAAGTCTGAGCTTCCAAGTGGAGGGAAATGTCAGGGATAATAGGCTGAGGGGGAGATAGGGTAGATGGTGGTGATTATAATGTCTTTTTTTTACCAGACCAACTTGCTTCCAGATTGCTTACACCTGGGGAGACAATACCACCATGAAGATGACAGATAACCCACGATGAAGTGCTAAGTTGTTTGCTATGGTAGTAGCTGGAATTCAGAGGGGAGAGACTTATGGCTACCAGATCCAAGATAGGTTCTGTGAACAACGTTTTCTTTTTTTACAATTTGCAGTTTTTAATTTCTGTGGGTACATGGTAGGTATGTATATTTATAGGATACATGAGATACTTTGATATAGGCAAGCAATGCATAGTAATCACATCATGGAAAATGGGGTATCTGTGCCCTTAAACATTTATCCTTTGTGTTACAAATAATCCATTTATACTCTTTAAGTTATTTAAAAATGTACAATTAAATTATTTGACTATAGTCATCCTGTTGTGCTATCAAATACTAGGTCTTATTCATTTGTTCTATTTCTTTGTACCCATTAACCATCCCCCTCCCCCTTCCCCCTCCCTCCATTCTCCTTCCCAGCCTCTAGTAACCATCCTTTCTAAAACCATCTAAAAATCAATTTAATTGTTTTGATTTTTAGATCCCACGAATAGTGAGAACATTTGATGTTTTTCTTTCTGTGCCTGGCTCATTTCGTTTAACATAATGACCTCCAGTTCCATCCATGTTGTTGCAAATGACTGGATCTCATTCTTTTTTATGGCTGAATAGTACTCCATTGTGTATATGTACCACATTTTCTTTATCCATTTATCTATTGATGGACACTTAGGTTGCCCCCAAATCTTGGCTATTGTGAATAGTACTGCAGCAAACATGGGATTGCAAATATTTCTTCCATATACTGATTTCCTTTCTTTTGTGTATATACCCCACAGTGGGATTGCTGGATCATATGGTAGCTCTGTTTTCAGTTTTCTGAGGAACCTCCAAACTGTTCTCCATAGTGGTTGTACTAATTTACATCCCAAAAACAGTGTATGAAGGTTCCCTTTTCTCCACATCTCCTCTAGCATTTGTTATTGCCTGTCTTTTGGATAAAAGCCGTTTAAACTGGGATGAGATGATGTCTCATTGTAGTTTGATTTACATTTCTCTGATGATCAGTGATGTTGAACACCTTTTTATATACCCGTTTGCCATTTGTATGTCTTCTTTTGAGAAGTGTCTATTCAAATCTTTTGCCCATTTTAAAAATCAGATTATTAGATGTAAACGGGGTTTTAGGTTGTATAAGTAAGAGCCTTTTAGGTGAGGGAAAGTAGCATACTTGATGACTTCCTTGTAAGAATGTGAACGAAATGAGCAGTAAAATGAGAACATGTGAATGCTAGGCAGCCTTTTTTTTCTCTTGTAAAGCATGTGAGTCTTTGGCAAGTCGCTTCTCTTCTTTGGCTTTCATTTCATTTATTTATTTCATTATTTAATATAATTTAAATTCATATTTAACAGGTTGCTCTTAAATTAAAAATATTCATCTACAAGAGAGATAAAAATATATGCTCTGATTCCCTCATCATTGTTGAAAAAAATTGCATTGTATTTTAAAGGATCTTCCATTTCTGAGATTCTTATTCTAGGAATTGAACTAAAGTATTTGAAAGTACCTTATAATTGTTAAAATAGGGATACAAGTATAAATTGGTGGCATTTCATTTGGTATTTAGTGTGGTAGAGACTCTGTAGATATGCCTATATATAGTGGCAATAAGGGCTCCACTGAAAGGTTTAGATTTAATAAAAAACCTATACCAAATGTATGATGGTTCCTAATTGCTCACAAAATCCCTACTCTAACTGATTCTTCAGGGTCTGGGCCAATCTCTAGTGGCTATAAAATGGACAGAAATGATTGAATGCCACACATTTTAAAAGAACTAGCAAAATTTTTTCATTCAGAATAAGAAAAAAGAAAAAGGAATTGGTGATGACTATAACTTGGTGATTTCCAAGTCTGCAGTACCATTTAAAAGATAACACTAAATAATAATAATTGCCAGGTACTCTGATAATTGTTTTATATACCTGATTGTTTTTCATTCTCACAGTAACTATCATTACTTCCATTTTACAGATGAGGAAACTGGGGCTTGGAGAACTTGCCTAAGGTTACACACCACTGGTTAATGGAAGAATGGGGACTTAAACCCAGATTTTCTTATCCAATAGAGCCTCTGCATATAATTATTACCCTATATATTCTTTTAAAGTTTAATTAGTTTTTAGATAGATAATAGTTGGACTTGGTATATAATTTTAAAAAAGAAGAGTATATAGTAAAATAGTCTTCCTGTTGTCTCTGTGGCCTTGATACCCATTTAATTTCCCTGGAGCCAAGTAACAATTGAGTATGCTTTCAGAGATGTGTGTGTGTGTGTGAATTACACGTACAAAAATGTACATATGTGGTATACATATAGTATATTATATATAAATAAAATGTTACCCTTATTTTATACAAGTGGTAGTATACTGTAGTTGCTATGTTGCACCTTGATTTTTTGCCTAAAAATATCTTAGATATTGTTGCAGTTGAAGAAAACCCTCTTCATTTTTTAAATTGCTGCATAGTATTCCACTGAATGGATGTACCACAACTTACTTAAATAGTTCCCTATTGAAGGGTATTTGAATGTTTTCCAGTATTTTGCTATTACAAGTGATGCTGTAAAAAGTAACTTTTAATTTATGTTATTTTGTACATGTGTAAATTCACTGTATGTGTTAAACAAGAAACTAGGAGATTACTGTCGGCATGGTGAAATTCACTAATACAGAAGGTTTTTCTTCCCAGTACAAATGTGTGATAAATCATAAATAAGTAAGTGCTTTCCTATTAGCAGAGCTCCATATCAGGCACTGTAATCGTATATATATGTATGGGTTGGTAGATTTCAAAATGAGAAAAGAGAAGATTATGGCATAGTTGACTGACTTGTAGTGAGAGATGTCTGCATATGAGCAGACATTTACTCACCAGAGTGAAACTTTCATTCCTAAAGAAAAAATGACTCACTGCTGCATGGAAGAACTTCCCTGGAGAGGCACTGTTGCATTTGACCTTTATTAGGGTTATGGTATGATTCTTGCTCAGGAAAGTTACCATATAAAAATGCTTACAATGGCTCTGTTACCATTGAGTATATCCAGAAAATGGGCAAAAGGAGGTTTTAAATATTTATGTATAAATTGAAGAGAGCCAAAGTAAGCTTGTGTATAAAGAACTGCAGAGCAGTAAGATAGGATAGAGTATAAATGGCATGTATACTTACACCTTCATAGCTTCTGCATTGGTAGAATATAAGGTGAATATGAAAATAAATGTTAATATTACACAGTACTTTGCATTTTTCCTGTTACTGAGTAAGTAATTACTATGTCCAGGAGTGATTCTAGAGTTTTTAAAAAGAATATGTATAGTAAAGAAAAATAATATATTTATATACCCAGATAAACAAGCTCAAGGAAGGTGACATGGCAGAATCAAAAAACATATCTAAGATTATTCTGCTTATAGCATGTAGCATAAATACTAAATAATAAGCAAAGTGTATGAAAAATCATCTAGGCTTTTGAAATTTGAGTTAAGACTTAGTTTTGTTTGTTCTCCTAATATTCTGATTTATTAATGAATTCTTGAAATATCTTTGATTTTTCCTTCTGCTATTTTTTGTTTCTTAGAATCCATAGTTAATGAACTCTGGAGTACAGTCTAAAGTCACTATGATTATTGAAGATTTTAAAATCTTTTATCCAGAAATATAGCTTTTTAGCTTATTTGTATTGTGTTTGAGACATAATTGAATGTAAAAGAGTGATACTGCCATATTTTGATAGTTGTATCATGTTAGATACCATAGTACCCTCTGCTAACTATTTACTAGACACATTTCAGGGCTCCTATCCTCCCAAATTTTCTTCTAAATGAATCTTCCTGGCAGGACATGGTGACTCATGCCTGTAGTCCCAGCACGTTGGGAGGCTAAGACAGGAGGATCACTTATAGCATATAATTTATTTATTGTATGGAACATTAAATCCCGGGGAAGTAGAGCAATTCTTTCATGTCTTATTCAAGGTTTTTTAAAGTCATCCAGTAGTCTTTTGTGAATTGATGAAACTCTGGAACATCTGTCACTTGCTTCATTTTATAGCATTGTTGTTAGGAGTTTGGCATGTTAGCAGATTTCTGGTTTTGAAGCCTGTCTCTGTCATTTATTAGCTGTGTGGCCTTGTGCAAATTACCGAACCTCTCTGTGTCTTGTTTCATGATCTGTAAAGTGGGAATAGTAGTAGAACTTATCTTATGGAGTTGTTACAAGAATTAAGTGAGACAATATTCCCAAAGTACTTAAGCCAGTTACTGGCACAAAAAAGGTATTTAATAAATGTTAGCTATTATTATTCAGTATGAGAAAGTTAATATCTGTTATATTCACACATTAAGCATTTGAAGTGATGAAATTTGTGGCATATATTTATAGCCAGATAGATAGTAATACATTATAAAAATTTTATCTACAATCTGAAAATAGATTTCAGGTTTATTTATTTCTTCTTATTACATTAGATGGTTTCATGAACATCAAATAGTTTGGAAAGTTCCAAAAGGAAATGAAGTCTTAAAGGCCTAAGAACACACTGACTTGAATGTTGGTTGTAATTCGTGTTTTGAATGAGGGAGGTCACCTTGGAACCTGAACTGTTCTTTCTTGTCCATGCAAAGTATGATCACTAATAACGCATTTCCCAGACATGGGTGCAGTGGCGGTGGTGAGAGAGTCATGAGGATTAGGAAAGTTCTGCTGTTTGTTTTCAACTCCCCATTCAGTCCTCTTTTTAGAAGTCTCTCTTCATTTTCCCCATCTCAGATGCCCAGTTTCTGTTTGCTGCCCTCTGGCACAGCATCCTGTAAACATTTTCTCTACCATTTACAAATGTCGGTTGTTGATTCGCTAACTAGATTGAGTTAGTCTTCTTAATATCTCCCTCTTAATATCCCTTGGTGAGGAATCTGTAGTCTTTAGAATACAGTATAAGCTTGTTAAGACTTGTAAGGTACTCCATGATTTAGTCTCTCCCAGTCTTCTCAGCCTGCATCTATTGAGATGATCATATAGTTTTTCTTTTTTAGTCTGTTACTATGGTAAGTTAGATTGATTTTCAAACGTTAACCCAACCATACATTTTTAGGATGAACCCTACTTGGTCGTGATCTGTTATCCTCTTTTTTATTGTGGTGATATATACATATATATGAAATAAAATTTGCCATTGCAGCCATTTTAAGTATACAATTCAGTGGCATTAGCTGGTTATCCACTACTTCCAAAAATTTTCAACACCCCAAACAGAAACTCTATAGCATTAAGCACCCCATTCTTCTCTCTTCCCCCAGCCCCTGATAACCTCTAATCTACTGTCTGTCTCCACGAATTTGCCTATTTTAGCTATTTCATATAAATAGAATTATACAATATTTGTCATTTTGTGTCTGACTTATTTCATTGAGCATAGTGTTTTCATGGTTCATCCATGTTGTATCAGAGCTTGTTCCCTTTTGTGGCTGGATAATAGTCCCTTGTGTCCGTATACCACAGTTTGTTTATCTGTTCATCTGTTGATGGACACTTGGGTTGTTTGTGTCTATTGGCTATTGTAAATAATGCTGCAGTGAGTGACTGTTGCTGTACAGGTATCTGTTTGAGGCCCTGCTTTCAGTTCCTTTGCATGTATACCTAGGAGTAGAATTGCTGGTCATGTGGTAATTTTATGTTTAGCTCTTTGCGAAGCCACCAAACTGTTTTTCACAGCAGCTACACCATTTTAAATTCCCAGCAGCAATGTATGAGGGTTCCAGTTTTTCCACATCCTCACCAACACTTGTCATTTTCACAAAAAATTAAAGCAATTTCATTATCCTTTCCCTTCCCCCTTTTTTTGAGACAGGGTCTTGCTCCCTTGCCAGACTGGAGTGCAGTTGCGCAATTATAGTTCAGTGTAGCTTCAAACTCCTGGGCTCAAGTGATCCTCCTGCCTCAGCCTCCTTTGTAGCTGGGACTACAGGTGCATGCCACCAGACTTGGCTATTTTTTTTTTTTCCTTTTTTTGTAGAGATGGGGCCTCATTATGTTGCTCAGGCTGGTCTTGAACTCCTGGCTTCAGGCAATTCTCCTGGCCTGGCACCCCAAAGTGTTGGGATTACAGGCATGAGCCACCATGCCTAGCCTCATTATCCTTTTATATATTAGAGGATTTAGTTTGCTAACATTTTCTTAAGAATTTTTGCTTCTAGGTTCATGAAGGATATTGGTCTGTAGTTATATGTACTTGCAGTGTCTTTGTTTGGTTTTGGTAACATGGTAATGTTATTGGGAAATGTTCCTTTTTTATTTTCTGGATGAATTTGTATAGAATTGGTATTATTTCTTCTTTAAATGTTTGATAGAATTCACTAGCAAGGCTATATGGGTCTAGAGTTTTCTTGGTTGAAAAGTTTTAACTAAGAATTTAATTTCTTTACTATTTATAGTTATTTTAAAAAGAAAAAGTATTTATGGCTATTCTGATTATCTTTTTTCTTTCTTTTAACTTTTAATTTGAAATAATTACAGATTTACAAAATGTTTCAAATAAATACACAGGGAGACTCTGAGCACGCTTCAACCATCCTCCCTCAATATTAATATCTTGCATAACTGTAGTATAGTATCATACTAGGAATCAAGGTTGACACAGTCCACAAAGCTTATTCAGACCTCTACAGTTGTATATTTACTCATTTGTGTATGCGTGTATATAGTTGTATGCAATTTTATGCCTGAAGCTCATATTAGCTCCATCTCTAAGTGTCCACTTCCTCTGGGGTGAGTGGGGATAGGGAGGGAGGGAGAGGGGCCACTGAGGGACTGGCAACACTCCAGCATGTGGTGTTGGGGTCCATGGGCAACTTCAAGGCAGGTCTTGTGTAACCACGAACTTTGTGTAACCATCACTGTAATCAAGATACAGAACTGCATCATCACCCTGAGTCTCCCTTGTCTACTCCTTCCTTTATACTCATACCTACCCCTCTCCTATCTGTAACCCCTGGAAACAGATTCATTTCTATAATTTTGTTATTTCAAGAATGTTATATAAATGGAATCATACAGTATGTAACCTTTTGAGATTGGCTTTTTTCACTCAGCATAATTCCCTTGAGGTTCATCAAAGTCTGTTGCATATTCCTTTTTATTGCTAAGTAATAGTCCTTAGTATGGATGTGCTACAGTTTGTTTAACCATTCACCTGCTGAAGGACATTTGAATAGTTTCCAGTTTTTGACGGTTACTGATAAAGCTGCTATGAACGTTTGTGTACAAGTTTCTGTGTGAACATAAGTTATCATTTCTTTGGGATAAATGCCCAAGAGTACAACGACTGGGTCATGTAATAAGTCAATTTTAGTTTTAAAATAAACTGCCAAGCTAATTTCCAGAGTGGCTGTACTATTGTACATGCCCACCAACAGTGTAGGAGTGATCTGTTTTCTCCATATCATCACCAGCATTTGGTATTGCTACTATTTTTTATTTTAGCCTTTCTGATTGATGATACTTCATTGCGATATTAATTCACATTTCCCCAAAGCCTAATGATGTTGGTCATCTTTTCATGGGCTTATTTGCCATTGTGTATCTTCTTCTGTGAAAAGTCTATTCATGTATTTTGCCCATCTTCTAAATGAATTTTTTAAGGTTGAGTTTTAGACATTCTTTGTATGTTTTAGATACAAATTCTTTGTCAGATATGTGATTTGCAGTCATTTTTCTCAGCCTGTAATTGTCTTTTTAATAATTAACAGGATCTTTTGCAGAGAAAAAGTTTTAAATTTTGATGAAGTCCAGCTTAACAATTTTTCCTTTTTATCTGTTTTGTTTTGAATGAGCTTTGGTGTTTGTTGAACTTCTTGGATCTGTAGGTTGGTAGTTTTTGTCATGTTTAGAAATACTTCACCTCTTTTTTCTGCTTTTGGAAAGCAGAAAAAAAAAGTATTAAGAATGCTTAATACTCTCTCACAGGTCATTGAGGCTCTGTTCATTTTTTCCTTGAGCATTTTTTTAATCTTTTATTTTGGATAGTTCCTATTACTATGCCTTTACTGATTTTTTTCTTCGGCAGTATCTGATCTGCTGTTAATTCTATCTATTGCATTTTTCATTTTAGGTATTGTATTTTTCATCTGTAGAGGTTCCATTTGGGTCATTTAAAATATATCTTTCAGGCACCAGGCATGGTGACTCACGCCTGTAATCACAGTGACTTCAGAGGCTGAGGTTGGAGGATTGCTTGAGGCCAGGAGTTCGAGACCAGCCTGGGGAACGCAGTGAGACCCTATTTCTAAAAAAATAAAATAAAATAAATAAAAAATCTTTCATTTTTCTCATCATGTTTATGTATTTCTCTACCCTGTTAGACATGTAGAACATATTTATATGATTCTTGTCTGCTAGTTGTATCATTTCTGGGGCATATTTTCGCAGATTTTATATGCCCATTAACTTTTAACTGGTTGCAAGACATTATGGATTTAGGTGACTTCTTTAAATAGTGTTCGCTTTGTTCTGGCATGCAGTTAAGTTGCTTGAAATCAGATGAAGCCTTTTGAGACTTGCTTTTAAGCTTAAGTAGGGCAGGTCTGGAGCAGTCTTTAGTCTAGGGATAATTTATCTCTGTTGTCAAGATGAAACCCTTCTGAAAATTCTACTTGCTGCCCTGTGTATTAAGATATCTTTCCTCTCTGTCTGGCAGGAATAGGAATTGTTCCCAAATCCTGTATGAGATCTGGGCGTTGTTCTGTCTTTTTCTTGCAAGGCTGTTTTCCTTCCTCTCCCACCCCCAACACGAGCCTTGGATAGTTTTTTTAAAATTAATTTTTAATTTTAAAATTAATTAATTAATTAATTTATTTTTTAAAATTAAAATTTAATTTTAATTTAAATTTTTTAAAATTAAAATTTAATTTTAATTTAAATTTTTTAAAATTAAAATTTAATTTTAATTTAAATTTTTTAAAATTAAAATTTAATTTTAATTTAAATTTTTTTAAAATTTTTTTTTTATTGTGGTAAAATACATATAAAATTGACATTTTAACCTTTTTTTTTTTTTGAGACTGGGTCTCGCTCTGTCGCCCAGGCTGGAGTGCAGTGGCGCGATCTTGGGTCACTGCAAGCTCCGCCTCCCGGGTTCACACCATTCTCCTGCCTCAGCCTGCTGAGTAGCTGGGACTACAGGCACCCGCCACCACGCCTGGCTAATTTTTTGTATTTTTAGTAGAAACAAGGTTTCACCGTGTTAGCCAGGATGGTCTCGATCTCCTGACCTCGTGATCCACCCGCCTCAGCCTCCCAAAGTGTTGGGATTACAGGCGTGAGCCACCATGCCTGGCCCCATTTTAACCATTTTTAAGTGTATAATTAAGTGACAGTAATTACATTCACAATTTGTTATAACCATCATCACTATTTCCAAAACATTTTTATCACCCCAAACAGAAACTCTTAAACTTTACTAGTAACTCCTTATTCTCCCCTCGCCTATCCCTAGTAAACTTGAATTTACTTTCCATCTCTATGAATTTGCTTATTCTAGATATTTCATATAAGTGGAATCATACAATGTTTGTTCTTTTGTATCTGGCTTATTCTAGTTAGCGTGCTGTTTTCAAGGTTTTTCCAACTTAGGTAGTTTTGGCCTCACATATGCTTGTATCAGCTCTTAGCCGAGACTCATGTGCATGCTCCTGCAGATTTCGGAAGCTGTCTTTTGTGCAGCTCTTACCCTCAACTAAGCTAAACTGCTGGGCTTTTGGGGAATTTGCTGCATTCTGGAAACTGCTTCTATGTGTTAAACTGGTGCAATCATGGAACTCATCATGTTTGCTTTCCCTCTCCCAGGTATTACAGTGCTGTGTCTTGTGTGATGGTCCAAAAACCATTGTATCATGTATTTTGTCCAGTTTTCTAGCAGTTTATGGCAGAAGGGTGAGATCTGTCCCCCGTTACTCTATCTTGATCAGAAGCAGAACTGTCCTCTGTGTCTGTGTGTGTGTGTAACAGCTTTTACTGAGATGTAATTGCCATGCAATAAACTACCTATGCTTAAAGTGTACAATTTGATTTTTATATATGTGCACATCCATGAAACTGCCAGACAATGAAGATAGTGAACATATCCATCACCCCCCCAAAATTCCCTTATGTCCGTTTTAATGTCTCCATCCTGCCTCTCTCGGCCCTCCTCTGCATTCTCAGGTAACCTCTGAATGCTTTTCTGTCACTGTAGATTAGTTTGCATTTTCTATGTAAATGGAATCATACAGTACTACGTGTGTGCACCCATAACTTACTCATTTTTATTGCTGAGTGGTGTTGCATTGTGTGGGTATACCACCATCGATTTATCCATTCACATGTTGTTGGACATTCATTTGGGTTGTTTCTAGTTTTTGACTACTACAAACAAAGCTGTTATATATTTGGATAAGGCTTTTTGTAGACATATGTATTTATTTTTCTTTGGTGATTACCTAAGATTGGAGTTATTCATTCATAGGATAGATTACATGTTTACCTTATAGAAAAGCTGTTTTCCAAAGTGGTTTTATCATTTTACATTCCCGCCATCAACAAATGAGGGTTCTTGTTGCAAGAACCTTACATCCTTCCCTAATATTTGGTTTTGTCAGTCTTTTAAACTTTAATCTTTCTGGACGATGTGTAGGGATGTCTCATTGTGGTTTTAACTTACATTTATCTAATGATTAATAATTTTTTGAAAATTTTATCTATTAATTGAACACTCATATATCCTTTATAAAGTATCTGTTCTTTTGCCTATTTTTTTGAAAACAGGTTGTCTTTTTATTTTTGAGTTGTAGGAATTCTAATTTTGGATACAAGTTTTTTTTAGATATATGTATTGTGAATATTTTCTCCCAGTCCGTGGCTTGCCTATTCGTTTTCTTTTATTTATCTATTTATTTATTTTTTTGAGACAGGGTCTCACTCTGTTGCCCAGGCTGGAGTGCAGTGGCACAATTACGGCTCACTGTAGCCTTGGGCTCAAGTGATTCTCCCATCTCAGCCTCCCGAGTAGCTGAGACCACAGGAGTGTGCCACCATGCCTGGCTAATTTTTGTATTTTTTGTAGAGATGGGGTTTTGCCATGTTGCCTAGGGTAGTCTTGAATTCCTGGGCTCAAGTGATCTGCCTGCCTTGGCCTCCCAAAGTGCTGGGGTTACCAGTGTGAGCCACCATTCCTGGCCACCTATTGATTTTCTTAATGGTGTCTTTTGAGGAGTAGAAGTCTTACATTTTGATGAAGTCTAATTTATCAGTTTTTCTCTTATGGCTAATGTTTTCTGTGTTCTTTCTAAGAAATCTTTAACTTACCTGAAAGTCATAAAAACATTCTGTGTTTTCTTCTAGAAGTTTTTAGTTTTAGCTTTTGCATTTGTGTGTATGATCTATTTCAAGTTAATGTCTGTGGGTGGTGTGAGATAGGAGTTGAAGTTCAGTTTCTTTTTTCCCTTATGGATATACAGCTGTTTCAGCACCATTTGTTGAAGACTTTTCTTGTGTTGTTGAATTGCTTTGCCAGCCTTGTCAAAAATCAGTTGACTTCTGTTTTCATTGATTTGTCTATTCTTATACCAATACCAAAGTGTCTTGATTACTGTGGCTTGATAGTGAGTCTTAAAACAAGGTAGTGTGAGTCTTCCAATTTTGTTATTTTTCAAGATTGTTCTGGCTTTTCTGGGACCTTTGCCTTTACTGATGCATGCTAGTATCACTTTGCCAATTTCTATAAACTGTGCAGCCAGATTGAGAATCATAGAATAAACCTTGGTAAATTCATGCCTTGTGATGTTTTTAAGAAGTCATTTTGGGGACCTTCTCCAGATAATATTCCTTGGGAGCACTGGGCTTTATTCTATTTGAATGTCTATGTCTTATAACTCCTAAAAAGGAAATTTATACTATACATACTTTTCCTTAGGTCTTTGCCTAGGTACATAGTTTCCTTGTCATCTTTAGTGTCTTTGGTGGAACTGAATTGTTACTGTTCCAATCTTAATAATATAAATGTTGCTTTAGTACAAGAAAAATAAGAAGGTAATATAGCACATAATCCATTAAGGTCTGTCTACAAAGGATATGTAAGGGAATAAGACTTTTTCTCTGTAGTATCAGAATCAATCTTCCTTCTGCTGCATTATATTTCCTAGACAGTTATTAGGGAAATGTTCAGGGCCACAGTTTTATGGAACTGTACTTAGTGAAGTATCAAATACTATAATAAATAGCTTTCTTGCTTTTATATTTCCAGATAAACTCAAGCTTTCAAAAAACTTCAAACGTCTAATTTTTGCTGTTATCTTGAAATACATGCTTTAATAGCACCACACTTATTGATGACTTTTAATAGCAGAGCGAATTATGTTACAATATGTCTGATGCTTTCTAGAAGTTGTCTGACCATACTGTGGTATTCATTTTTGTAATTGTTTTTGAGTTGTGGTTTTACATATATAATTCATTATCCACGATTTATGATCCCAGTTACATAAATCAGTTCTTTTTAGTCTCTTGTAGTAAATACATGTAAATGTTATGAATAATACTTTGGAGGAACTTTTATGCCATTTTAATGAGTTCATGTTTACATTGAATAACTGAATTGCAACTTGGAGTGTTCCCAGAATAGAAAATGTGAATTACTAAAATGAATTTGGGTACTTCAGGACTGTGATGGAAGGAACTAAGAACTGTATTTTATTTAGTGATCATATTGTTTTATGATAAAAACAAGCTATTTTTCTCTGGATGGCAATTATTTTGTACTAAGGAAGTACCTTGGAATTATAGACCATCTTTCAATTTTATGCACATTCCTGTAAGCTGAAAATAATTGCTGATTTGGATTTTCCTTGGAAAAAGAGGTGGAGACTATATTATTAACTTTGTAGGGAGGCATTTTTTAGTCATTAGTCAGATATATTGCTGTAGAAGCCGTTGAATATTGTTTTTAAAAGTTCAGAATCTTGTAATATAAGCCCAAAGAATAAGTTAATTATAGAAAAGTGCTACATTGTATGACTCAGATAATCTGAGACTGATGACTAATTTAGTGTGTAGCTAGGTGCTAAATGTAAAAGGAGTTCAAAGCCTGGAAAGACCCACATGGACTGGAGCTGTTAGTTTGTTTTTGGTTTAAAGGATAGAATCTGGTGTTATTCATCATGCCCATATTGGGACAATGAAAAGACTTCCCAGTATTTCCTACAAAAGGTTACCCAGGTGTAGTTATGTGCTTCTGATTTTCCCCGTTCCTCTGTTTATATAGGCATAGCTCATATATTTTGGGAAATGGGAGGAATAGCTGTATTGGTGCTATATTGGTTTGTTATAGCCAATCCCTAAAGAAATGTGTTCCTGTAAAGACTCTTTTGTTTTTCTTTATATTCTCTGAAATTATTATTTGCCTCCAGCCATAATTTCTTGCAGCCACAAATAGTAATAACTAATAATATTATAGCACTGAACTGTGTACCTTACTGTGTTCTAGATATGTTTCATATTTTGACTAATTTGATCTTCATGATAACCCCATGTGGTAGGTAATATTCACTTTTTCATTTTACAGATGGGGAGCCAGATAAACGTTACATAACTAGAAAGTGGCAGAGGTGAGCTCTGAACCAGAGTCTCTACTGTTAACCCTAGTCTATGCTTGAATTGACTTAAGAAGTAAATTTTATTAGTAATGTTTTAAACATTGTTATTATTATTATTATTTTGAGACAGGGTCTCACTCTGTCACCCAGGCTGGAATGCAATGGCTCGATCTTGGATCACTGCAACCTCTACCTCCTGGGCTCAAGCAGTCCTCCCACCTCAGCCTCCCGAGTAGCTGGGACCACAGGCACACACAACCACCCCAGCTAATTTTTTAGTATTTTCAGTAGAGTTGGGGTTTCACCATGTTGCCCAGGCTTGTCTCAAACCCTCCCACAGTGCTAGGATTACAGGCATGAGCCGCCACGCCCAGCCTTAAACATTATTTTAACAATGTCATAGGTTCGACAGTTATAACTGTATTAAAGTCCTGAGAAGCTCACTCAGTAATTTAAAAAATTTCCACTAGAGGTCAGTCTATCACTTGGCAATATAAATATTTGCTGCTTTCTTAGTGCAAAATTTCATTTACTAAATTAAAGAAGTATGCTGTGGAAGAGACTTGGGTAGCAGAATAGATTTTGAATTGGAAACATAATAAAAAGTCATCTTTATAGTAGTAAAAGCATGTATGACTATTACAAGATGCAATATTGGTTCAATTGACTGTTTGCAGAATTTAGTCAAGATATCCTATGAGATGCTATCTGGCACAGGAAAGGCTAATGACCCTGATCTTTAGTTGTTGCCTCTAAATGAACCACACATTAAACATTAGACCAATTTTGTGTTACTAGTACTTCAGATTCTTTTTCTTGACTCATTTAATTTAGTCAAGGACTTAAAATATACCTGGAGAGTAATGAAATAGTGAAAATATTGAGTGTTTACTAAGAGATATTCTGATAATTTTAAGACAATGTGGGTCTAAGATTGTTTAAAAAGTAGCCTAGAGGCTTTTATTTCTCAACTCTCACGTTTTGGAGATAACAAGGAGTTGAATTAAGATGCAGAAACTGAGGGTCTATTTAGAAGCTGCATTTTGAGGTAACTTCTTTGCTTGTAAATGCAGTCATATTTTGGAAGGATAAAATATAATTAATTAACTAGAGTCTTAACTTGGAAGGATTAAATATAGTTGGAGAGTCTAGCATGGTCCTGAGTATAAAGTTATTAATCAGTTGACCAATGATGTTATTTATATGTAAATAATGATTTTGGCTTCTGTAGGTTAAATAAAGCCTTTTAGGCAGCCTTCAAACTAACTGAAACAATCTGACTTGACTTCAGATTTGTCACACTGGAAATGAATGGCAACATGCGGAACAGGCCAGGACAGGGAGGGAAGTTACACAGGAGGGATGGGTCGGCAGAGTTTGTAAGTTTGGATGGGTAATAACTTAACCCAGGGGATTGTTGGTGGAGGAACGAGGGAGTCCTGTAGCTAGAGATAGGCAGAAGCAGACAGGATATTTGGGTTCTAGGTAAGCAAGGTGCATCTAAGACCTAAGAAGTCTTCAGAGGCAGCAGAGACGAACAAATGAACGTGAAGGTGAGAGTTAATGATTTCTAATGGTACCTATCCCTTACTGTGTACTTATTTATGTGCCAGGCACTGTGCTAAGAGCTTTATGTACATTATCTCTTTTTCTCCTTATCATAATCTTGTGAGGTAGGTTCTAATCCCTTTTCACAGACAAGATGACTGAGGCTGAATGAGTTTCAATAACTTGCCTTCAGTCGTAGAACTTGTAAATGGCAGAACTGATATTTGAACTCGGGGCTTATGACTCCGGCTGTGAAACTCTGTTATCGGATGCAGAAGGTATTTCTTTTTTTGCCCCAGTTTTATGCTGCCTGCAATGTAGAGATGGCCATAGGCTTATATCCAATGGGAAATTAACCCCATGGGTAAACCCCAATTACAACAAAAGCAGAGAGTTACAACTTCCAGGGAGATGGGGGTTGGTATTTTTGTTAAAAATGTGAAGTTTTTTAACCTTTGACTATAAATCATGGTGAAAAACCTATATCCTCCATGTAGCGCTGATTAGATGGTGGCGAATCCATCTCCTGTACTTTCACTACTTTGTTATTTTTTTTTCCTCTTTTCTAAAATCCACTAATTATCTTACTAGGTGTTCTCTCTGTTGGCTTGGTTTCTCATAAATGACACTCCCGGAGATGCCCTCTCAAGGGCTTTCTAGAGTCATAATAGGAAGAGTAGTGGGCAAACCTAAAAGGAAGTTTAGGGATCACTAATTTGGTCTGTCAGTGTACTTTTGTCACTTTATTTTTACACCTGCAGGCAGCAGTGCTTCTGAGACCTTTTAGTCCTTTAAAGATAGCTTTGATCCTAGATCTCTTTCTGCTTAGGATATGTTTTTGAAGGGATGAGGACAGAATGTCAGCTTTCTTCTCCTAAAGGCACCGGTTGTTGAATTTCCCCTGTAATCTGGGACTTTCATCATTTCCTCCATGTTGATGGTGGCGCTAGACCTGGGGAATAGCATTTATCTTTTGTTTTTTGACCTAAGTGACAGGTTAATGGTGAAAGGTCCATCAGCTAAGAATGCTTTTAATAAGGCCCTCTTTTTTGTGGTTTAGCCAGGGTCCATCTGTGGTTAACTGCAAAAAGTATTTCCCAAGTTCCTTCAGTCTTTTCTTCTGAAGTTGCTTGAAGGTGATACTTAGGAAGAGTACATTCACATGCTATACAAGGGCAAGCAAATGGAAAGTTCTCTTTCTATATCTTTTTATCTCTTGGGTGAAACTTTGATTTATTTTGACAAAATAATACAGAATTCTTAACCTAGCAGTATAAAGTAACACCAGATTCACAAGGGGCAAACTCTTCTCAGCAGAGCAGGCTCAGCAGAATTGCGTAAGGCCAGAGTGCCTGCTTTCTTCCATAAGGCTTTGGGATTAAATTTATTCATCTCTGTTTTTAATCCATCAATGCCCAAAGTCATCTGTCTCTTCTATTTGCTATTTCATAGAGAAGGAAGCCATTTGATGGGAATTTCCTAAATTCCCTACAACCAAATCTATATACTTACTTCCACCTGTTAGCATCCATCTTCTTCAGATAGCTTTCCAGCTGGCCTGCCTGCTACTTTACACTCTTGATTCTCTTACATCCTGCCCCTAAAGTCATATTTTACAAATAAAAATCTGATTATGCCACTCCGCTCCTGAAAAAGTGTTTATTTGCATGCTTGTAGGATAGAGCCTCAGATCTTTAACATACCTTATGAGGCCCTATAGATATTGCTCCTTGTCTACCTCACCATCTTTGACTGACAGCAATGTAGCTCTTTTTTTTCCCCACAGTTCAGCCATACTGGTCCCTTTTAATTTCCTCAAATCTGCCAGGTTTCTTCCTGGCTCCTCTTTTTGGAATGCATTCCTCACTTTCCCTGGCCAACTGATTGCTGTCCTTCAGGTCACTGCTTGTGTTACTCTTTCTGGGAAATCCCAATATAGTCATACCTCTTGTAATTATTAAGTTAGTGACATTATTTTCCAGGTGTTTTTATTACCAGGAAATTCAGTTCTCACTCTTGAGGACTCTTCCTTCACTTTGTGTATTATGTAAGAACTGGGGGTTCCAAAGGGTTAGTCTCATGTACCATGTGGAGGGTGAACTTGAAATCCGAAAAGTACAATATAGCTGTTGCTGATAAAGACTGTTGCTATTGAAGAATGGTCCTGCACAGCCCAAAGGGACTGATTATTTATGATGACCTGCCCAAGATGTAGAAGTTATATTTTACATTCATATACCTACAGACTTACGTTCATACACTTAGTCATTGTTTCTCAAAGCATAATTTTGTGTCATGGTGGTTATAGGCTGGGTTAGAGTCACCCTTCCTCATGATCCCCTGGGCTGGATTGAGCTTGGGACACCAACCCAGACAGCTCCTGCCTAGTGAGTATTCTTTTGGTGCCATTTGTATCCCTTCTTGCCAGAAGATTTTGGTCAGGGCAATGTTAGGTTTACTCCAACAGCTAACTTTGAATCCCAAGGAACACTCCCAGAAGGCCTATGGGTATCCCAAGAAAAAAGATAGTTATTTCTAGGTTGTATGCCCAAGGAAGGCCCTACTTACCCAGATACAGGGTACTTACTCATTTTTGCAATCTGTCACTATGGGAGGCGACTTAAGTGACTCTTCACAAAATAAAGTGAGCTTCAAGGAGACTTTTGCCTCTCCTTGAACTGAGAAGCAACTCAGAGATTCTTTAGCTAGAATAATCTAATCCATAACACTTGGGGACTCTAATCTCTGCTTAAACAGCTACCCCTTTACTTACTTATTGATCTGCTATTCTTGTGATTTTTAAAAATAGTAATAGTCTGTTTTCCCCACTATAATGTAAGCTCCAAGAGGGTAGGAACTATTTCTGTCTTCTTCATTGCTGTATCTTCAGTGCCTCCCAAAGTGCCTTGCAGATAGTTAATATCCTATGCATATTTGATGAATGAATGAACTTTAAGTTTTCCAAAGTAGAATTGTAATAGTAACTATTACTTCTAAGAATGCAGAAGATATTCAGAAAAGTAAAGCCATACTAACCATATTCCTTATCATGAAACTAATTGAGAATCAACAAATAGAATGAAAAGCAAACAAAAAAAAAATCTGTGAAACTAGGAAATGGCTCAGTTCCTAGCTATGGACTAGAATCTAAGAGTATAATGAAATATGGATGAAATCAAAGGGGATGCTAAATTCTGTTATACACTGTTTAGACTGTAAACAGAGTGCAGATTTCACTGAAAGTGGGGGGCCATGAGTATCCCATCCTGTAAGGTTTTCGTGTTGGGACACGCCATGGGAAAACCTGGAAAATCCCCAAGGAAGCCAGTGCAATATCTCAAAATGGAGACAGAGAGAAAGAAAGAGAGAGAGAGAGGAGAGAGAGACAAGAGGACAGTATCTTTTGATTTCTAACCTGCAGTGAAGTGGAGAGGAAGAAAGAAGAAATGACAATGAGCTATGTAGCAGTTAACTGAATCAAATGAACATAAATGAATAACTAATAAATTAGCAAACCAAAGCTAGTTAACTGCTTTACTCTAAGCATGCAGAATGAAGTACATTTCAGATTAAGAATTATTTTAGTAAACAAATTCTTGAAAAATACATCTGTATTCACTTAAAGAAATTGAAGGGGAACATAGAATTTTTAGAAATTGGAGTTAAGGAAAGCAAGGCAATCCCTCTCTGGTGGTCAGTCATAGGATGTGAGGCTTTATAGCTGTTGGCAGCCATGTTCTGTGCCTTGTGGGAGAAATTGGTCTGTCTATGATACTGACAGCCAAGCCAACACATTGAAGCAGAAATAAGAGACAAAAGAAAAATAGCCCTAGTTGAGATAAGCAGTCCTGGTGGCGTTCAAGTCTGTGGTTCCAGTTATCCCTCAGGCTCAGTTACACTTTATACATTTCCTAAAGTTATATGAGGTACTGCATTGTCTTTCTGATAAATTCTTTTTATCTAAACTATTTCAAGTTAGGCTTATGCCATAGGCTTTCAACTAGGAATTCTGTATGATATGTAGATAATACAGGCAGAGAAGATCCAACATATGTGTTATTGGTGTGCCTGATAGAGAGTAGAACGAATGGACAATAATTTCAAATATATCATGGGGAAAAGACCACCAGAGATTAAACGGATTAGTAATCTGCAGATTCAAAGAACACAGAATTCTAAAAGAACTGAAACAGGATGATCAATATCAAATAAGTATGTAACAGTAAAGTTACTTGTGCTTCAAGATTAAAAAAAAGAATCGCCAAGCATCCAGACAGGAAAAGCAAGTCACCGAAAGGGGGAAAATGAGACTGGCTTCTGACATCATGGTAATAGCCAAAGCCAGGAGGCAGTTGAACAGTGTCTGAGTTTTGGTGGAATGTGTGTAGGCAGGGAATAGTGTGACCCACAGATTTAATACCTGGTCAAGCTCTTATTTATGCATAAAGATAACAACCAATATTCTCAAACATTCAAGGACCTAGTCCCTGAAGAAATGCCTCATGAGTAAAATTAATCATCTAAGTGATAAATAAAAAGAACTTGGGAATGAAGAAGCAGAGATAGGAAGGGGTTGATAGGGCATATGGAATCTATTTAAAAATAGACCAAGTAAAGTCTGAATAACTGCGTTGTATGAAAACAGAAGAAAATGTAAAGGCTCTAAAATTAATGTTGAATAAAGGATTTATGTAACAGATATAAAGAGGGGAAGGGAGAATAGGTAGAGGTTTGTAAAAGAGTTTGAACTCCCATTTATCTTCGTGGAGAGAGAGTCAGTAGATAACAGCCTGTAGTTGATGAATCTGCTAGTCTCAGTTGAAATCTAGGCACTGCCACATAGCAGCTATGCATTCTCAGATGAGTTTAATTCTCATAAGTAGCTGTAGAATCTTCATCTGTGTCTTGGAGGTAATGATACTACTAACCTACTAGGGTTGTTGTGAAGATTAAATACAATAATGTGTGTCAGGTACTTAGAACAGTGCCTGGCCTGAAGTAAGCATTCAGTAAAAATTACCAATTGTTTATTATTATTTTAAGGCAAAAACATGGGCAGATAATTTTATAATCTTGGGGCAGAGAAGGCCTTTCTAAGCATAACTCTCAACCTAGTGACCACAAAAGAAAAGATTAATTATTTGATTTCATAAAAACTAAAAGCTTTTACATGACAAAATCACCATGATAAGAATCAATGAACAAATACCCAAGTGGGGGAGAATAATTGCAATATGTTTGACAGAAGGAGGATTGATATCATTAATATTTAGGGATCACTGATAAGTCAACAAGAAAAAGATGAGAAAAAATCAGTATGAACAGATATTTTACAGAAAAAAAATTTGAAAAAATACTTAGCCTCATTTATAATTAAGGAGGTAGAAATTAAAATAAGATGCTATTTTTCATTTATCAAATTGAGAAAGATGAAAAAGTTCAAAAATATCTAATGACAGAATGTGGTAAAATGCACTCTCATATCCTTTCTTGAGGGCAGTCTGACATTTATCAAAATAATAAATGCTCACACATTTATCTCTGCAGTGCTACTGCTAAGAGTGTATTCTACAAATATATTCATCTTAGTATACAAAGATATATGTAAAAGGTTATTGCATATAGCATCATTTGTAATAGAAACCATTTGGAAGCAATTTACTTGACTATTGATATGGACTTGTTAAATAATTTAGAATGCTTATATATATTGGAATATTATATAGCCATTAAAACAAAAGAGGTGTAAATATATATATGGATAATGAAAAAATGGTTAGGCTATAATATTTAGAAAAAGGGTAAGTTACTGAGAATAGGTATAGTATGAGCTTATTTACAACCATATGTGATTTATACTTAGGCTGTGTATATGCAAAGAAAATTTCTAGAATGTTACACAGAACCATTGGAAATGATTATCTGTGAGATGGAGAATGGAGATGCTCTGGACTCTTATTTTCATTTTATACCCTCTGGACTCTTTCAGTTTTTATTACAGCAATTATTTTCTGATTTTATAGTAATTAAAAGCAAACAAAAATATTTTAACCGGTAGTGACTATGTTGCTTTTGAAAATAGAATTTAATATTCTGGGAATAAAATTATGGGGTAGAATAGTAAAACAAATCAAGTAGGTTCAACTAATGTTTGTTCAACAAAGATTTAGGAAGCTCCTACTTTGCATGACGTACTAAACTGAGCTTAGCTTGTGGAACAGATAATACTTGATAAATGCTAAAAATAGCGGTTCAGACATTTCTCCTAGAGGTTATATTTTCTTAATTAAAACCAGATGAAATGAAGTCTGTTAGTGAACACTGTTTTTATTACATGATTGTCATGCCACCAACCTAGAAACTAGCATGAGGGGCAGGAAAAAATGCTAAGGTTTGTGAACTTGGCTATGCCATTTTGTTGGCTTTGTGCTTTGGTTGTCATAATATGGCTGCTGAAGGTGTTGGGGATATGTGAGAAGGTATATTAGTGATAATGCTCATGATGACAGGAGAAGATCCTGTATTCCTGAGCAAAAACTAGATTTGATCAAATGCTGTATTTACCAGTGCTATTTATGTTTTGTTGCTTTAGAGGCAGCAATTTTATGAAGGAGGTTGTAGTTTCATGGAGGCAAGTGGACCTCTACATTTTCTAGGGTTTGGCCATGTGAATTATACCAATCTATTTAGAAATTGTGGCTGTTTTCTATTAGAGAGTCTGTGATTCTTCAAAATCTTGTGATTTCATTGGGCTCAAGACATTTTGAGGAATGGGAAATGAGTGCAGTATCCAGTTGGCATTAGCTTTTTGAATTTGAATACCCGCACAGCCAGTTGTGCTATATTAACACTTGTTTTGAAAACGTGAATTTGCTGCAATGCCATTGATATATTAGGAAGCGATTTGAGCATAAGTGAATTTCATGTTTGTGTTATCCATGATTTTTGTCAGCAAGAAACACCAGGTGAACACAGAATACAGCACATAGTTGAACCGAGCCCAGCAGGAACACACAAAACGGACACATGTACATACCTGGAATATCTACCAGCTACCTCAGTTCACCACAAGTTATGAGCCACACCCACCCGCATCTGGTGTCACACCTTTCCTTCTGATTTCAGATAACCTTCTTTCTGGCACCCTTGATTAATTCAAAAACTACAGTCTTTCAAATGCCTATATCTATAAGTAAACTTCAGGTTTTTTTCAAGGTAAGGTGCCATATATTTATGTTTCCTAACCATTTAACATATACAAAAATGCTATGATTTTTTATTAGGTTTCGTGTGTGTGTGTGTGTGTGTGTGTGTGTATCACTGACAAAGATTTGGAGTTTTGTGTCCCTAGCTACATTTCCCCCGTAAGTCCTTGTTTGTGCCATTTTTGCATAGTGTAGTGATTTTTAGGAATGTAGGTATTTCCTTATAGTGAAACTGACTATATCTCTTTGAACAAATTTATGCTGGTCTTTTTTCCTTTTCATTTTAAGTTTATGTAGTGCATCTGATTTGCAATAGTTAAACAGCTCCCTGCAAACAAATGAATGATGGAAATCTTATTTTTCCTTTTTTTGCAGGTAATCCATTGTACCAAGTTAGCTCAACATTTCTGATTTTAAACCAACTTCTCTAGTTCCTTGTTGGCAGTTGGTTAGGGCTTCATGTGTCCTAGTGAATTGAGTGATTTTTCTAAGTTAAATTTTTGTGAAGGGCTGCATCTTGAGATAAGGTCCCAAATGCCTCATGTTGAACTCCTTTGGACTTCTCTAGACTTCTGTGACTTAAGGTTCATTACATTGCTAATCGTCCATGTTTATTATTATATGAAGAAAGCCTTGCACCAAGTTTGTGGCATGAAGTAAGTACATAGGTATAAACAGCATGTGATTGAAAACCAAGTATTTATTATTTGGAAGTGAATTACTTTTTTTTTTTCAAAGCTTAGTTATCTTTTTTGAGGGTTTTTTTCTACTCCAGTGATGATATAGGTTGAAGTAAAAATCTTTCATTGAATGCTGAAGTTCCTTTTTGAGGTTCTAACATGATATACATGAATAAAGGAGTTACAAGTCTATAATTGCCTTCTTTACATCTGACTTATAATGCTTTCTTGTGTCCAGGTTCCGTTCCTTATTCTAGTTCACTTAGTAGTTGCACTAGGAATTATTTCTGTAAAAATATGAGAGATAGGAATGTATATTTTGACTTGAGTATTTGCTTTAAGGTTTTCCTTGTGTAAGTACAGGTTTTTATTCTGATTTTGGCACGTAAGAATTCAGCTTTAAGTTGAAATTTAAGACTTCCTGACTTCCTTTTTCCCCTCCTTTTTTCCTTCCTTCCTTCCTTCCTTCCATCCTTCTTTCCTCCCTCCCTCCTTGCCTCCCTCTTTCTTTTCTCCTCCTCCTCCCTCTCCTCTTCTCTCCTCCCCTCCCCTCCCCTCCCCTCCCCTCCCCTTCCCTTCCCCACAAGGTCCCCCTCTGTTGCCTACGGTGGAGTGCAGTGGCACAATCAAGGCTCACTGCCGCCTTGACCTCCCAGGCTCCAGTGATCCTCCTACCTCAGCCTCCCAAGTAGCTGGGACCACAGGCATGCACCATGATGGCCAGCTAATTTGTTTATTTTTTATAGAGATGAGGTCTCACTATGTTGCCCAGGCTGGTCTTGAACCCCTGGGCTCAAGTGATCCTCCTGCTTTGGCCTCCCAAAGTGTTGGGATTACAGGCATGAGACACCATGCCTGGTTTAAGGTTTCTTTTAATTTTCTCTTTGAAAGAAAGTATCTTAGTCAATAGCAAGTGCATCTAGCAAAGAGGGGCATTACTATGGTGACCCTAAAATCTGTTCTTCTCTTCTTCATTCATTCATTCTTCATAGAACAAATATTTGTTAGGTGCCTAATATGTGTTACATCATTTTAGGCTCTGGAGAATATAATGATGAGCAAAAATACAGTCTTTCCCCTCACAGTCTAGTGGGGGAAATAGACTTTAATTAATTAGTGACCAAAATATATACTTATAAACTGTGATAAGTGCTATGAAGAAAGTGTACAAGTTCCTTTGAAAGAGAAAAACAAGGGGACCCAATTTGGATAAGTGATTTAAAAAAAGCCTTTCTGAAGAAGTGACATTTAAACTGAAGTCTACAGGATAAGGAGTTTACTGGAAGGGAAAGGGGGTGGAAGGATTTCCAGGCAGAGGCAAGAGGTTTTGTGATATCATTTTATAGTACTTATGACCTTTTTAGATGCTTATATAATTAGGTACTAGTCTATGAGCAAGACAGTTTATAGAGCTGTGTTACTGAAAAGATGCATATAAATTACATTTTTATAAATGAATTCCTGAATTCCTGCAGGCTTACATTATACTCACTGTGCTATATCATCTGCATTTGATTGATGTTCAGTTACTTCAATTACTGCTAGATTGATCTTTCTAAAGCACAACTTTGATGACGCTTTTTTCTGCTCAGAAATCTTTACCAGCTCCCCAATTACCCGATAAAATCCAGACTTCTTAGCCTTATGGTCAGGCCCTCCCCAACTGGCCCTAGTCTCAATATTCTACTTCAACTTTACTCCTATTTCTGAGGTACTCTCTTGGCCAACAGAACTTCTGGATGATCGTGGGTGCTTTCTTATGTGCCCACCTTCACTTACATTGCTTCTCTTGCCTTACAATCTGTTCACCTCCTTCTTAGACTGCCCAAATCCAGGCCCATTTCAGATGTTAACATTTGATCTTGGTGTCTTCTCTGATCACCCTAGCTGGAAGTTACTTCTTTTTCTTCTGACTTCTTATGGCATTTTTATTTTTACTGTTTTTTAGGTACTTTTCCCTTCTTGTTTTTAAAAAACTTATTATTTTTAATTGACATCATAATTGTATACATTTATGGAGTAGAATGTGATGTTTTGATACATGCACACAGCATGGAGTGATTAAATCAAGCTAATTAACATATTCATCACCTCACTTTTTTTTGTGGTAAGATAATTAAAATTTACTTTCTTTATTATTGTTATTTTTATTTTTATTTTATTTTAAGATGGAGTCTCGCTCTGTCACCCAGGCTGGAGTGCAATGGCTCAATCTCAGCTCCCCACAAGCTCTGCCTCCCAGATTCAAGTGATTCTCTCACCTCAGCCTCCCGAGTAACTGGGATTACAGGCGCTCACCACCACACCCAGCTACTTTTTGTGTTTTTAGTAGAGATGGGGGTTTTGCCATGTTGCCCAGGCTGGTCTTGAACTCCTGGGCTCAGGCAATCCACTCACCTCAGTCTCCTAGTGTGCTAGGATTACAGGTGGGAGCCACAGTGCCCAGCCAGTTTCTTAATTATTTTTAAACGTGCAATATGCTATTACTGACTATAGTCACCCTGCTGTGCAATAGATCTCAAAACATTCCTCTTGTCTACCCTTTGACCAGCAGCTTTCCATTCCTTCCCTCCTATTCCCCTCAGCCTCTGGTAATCATCATTCTACACTCTACTTCTATGAGTTTGACTCTTTTAGATTCTACATACAAGTAAGATGGTGTGGTATTTGTCTTTTTTTTTTCAAATGCCCAAGGGAGGTAAACAAGGCTGCCCAGCTCTCAGCAGTCATGATGATGATTCTCAAGGGCCATCTTGGCCTCCAACCCTGGCTGAAGAGAAAAAAGATCCCCTACAGCCCTATGAGAGAGAGGTCCTCTGTCTTTCTGTGCTTGGCTCATTTCAGTTAACATAATGTCCCCCAGGCTTATCCACATTGTTGCAAATGACAGGATTTCCTTCTAAAAAAGGCTGAATAGTATTCCATTGTGTATATATATCACATTTTTTATCCATTCATCTGTTGATGGGCACCAAGGTTGTTTCCACATCTTGGCTATTGTGAGTAGTGTTGCAGTGAACATGGCAGTGCAGATCTCCTTCTGACATATGGATTTTGGTTCCTTTGGGTATGTACGCAGCAGTGAGATTGCTGAATCATATAGTAGTGATGTTTTTAGTTTTTTTGAGGAATCTCCATACCGTTTTTTATAATAGCTGTACTAATTTACATCCCTACTAACAGTGTACAAGTATTCCCTTTCTCTGCATCCTCACTAACACTTATCTTTCATCTTTTTGATAACAGCCATTCTAACAGGTATGAGGTGATATCATCTCATAGTATTTTTAATTTGCATTTATCTGATAATTAGTGATATTGAACATTGTTTTCATGAACTAGCTGGCTGTTTGTATGTCTTTGTAGAAATGTCTGTTCAGGTCATTCACTCTTTTTTTTTTTTTTTTTTTTGAGATGGAGTCTCACTCTGTTGCCCAGGCTGGAGTGCAGTGGCGTGATCTGGGATCACTGTACCCTCAACCTCCCGGATTCAAGCGATTCTCCTGCCTCAGCCTCCCCAGTAGCTGGGACTACAGGTGCATGCCACCATGCTTGGCTAATTTTTTGTATTTTTAATAGAGACGGGGTTTCACTGTGTTAGCCAGGATGGTCTTGATCTCCTGACCTCGTAGTCCACCTGCCTCACCCTCCCAAAGTGCTGGGATTACAGGTGTGAGCCACCACACCTGGCCAATTCACTCATTTTTTGATCAGGTTATTTGTTTTCTTGCTATTGAGTTGTTTGAGTTCCTTACATATTTTGGATATTAATCCCTTTTCAGATATATGGTTTGTAAATATTTTCTCCTACTCTGTGAGTTGTCCCTTCACTTTGTTAATCTGTTTCCTTTGCTCTGCAGAAGCTTTTTAGGTGGATGCCATCCCACTTGTCTGTTTTTGTCTGTGTCTTTGGGGTCATATCCAAAAAATCATTGCCTAGTCTAATGTCATGGAGCTTAACCTCTGTGTTTTCTTCTAGTAGCTTTATAGTTTCGGGTCTTATATTTAAGTCTTTAATCCATTTGGAGTTGATTTTTATATATGGTATGAGATAAAGATGCAGTTTCATTCTTCTGCATGTGGATGTTCATTTTTTCCAGCACCATTTATTAAAGAGGGTGTCCATTTCCCATTGTGTGTTCTTGGCACCTTTGTAAAAAAAAACATCAGTTGACTATTAATGTGTGGGCTTCTGGGATTTCTGTCCTGTTCCATTGGTCAGTGTGTCTATTTTTATGCTAGTACCATGCTGTTTTGATTTTGATAGCCTTAAAATATACAGTCGTATAGCGTATAACAACATTTTGGTCAGTGATGGATCACGTATACAGTGGTGGTCCCATATGATTATAATGGAGCTAAAGAATTCCTGTTGCCTAGCAACATTGTAGGTGTTGTAACATTGTAAGGCAACACATCACTCAGGTGTTTTTGGTGATGCTATTGTAACCAAACTTACTGTACTTCCAGTTGTATAAAAGTGTGGGACATATACTTATGTAAAGTACATAATGCTAGATAATAATAAGCAATTATGTTACTGGTTTATATATTTACTTATATATATGATATATATATCATATATATCATATATATATACACACCATATATATATATATATATATATACACCATATATATATATATATATATATATATATATTTTATTTTTGGAGACGGAGTCTCCCTCTGTTACCCACGCTAGAGTACAGTGGCTTCAGCATAGCTTACTCTGCAGCCTTGAACTCCTGGATTCAAGTGATCCTCCTGCCTCAGCTTCCTGAGTATCTGGGACTACAGGTGTGTGCCACATGCCTGGCTAATTTAAGTTTTTTTTTTTTATGTGGAGACAAGGTCTCACTGTATGGCCCAGGCAGCTCCTGAACTCCTGGGCTCAAGCGATCCTTCTGCCTTGGCCTCCCAAAGTGTTGGGATTATAGACATGAGCCATCACCCAGCATATATTATACTCTTTGTTATTTTAGAGTCTCCTCTTTTCACTTATTAAAAAAAGTTAACTGTTAAGCAGCCTCAGGCAGGTCCTTCAGGAGGTATCCAGAAGAAGGCATTTTTATCATAGGAGATGACAGCTCCGTGCTTGTTATTGCCCCTGAAGACCTTCCAGAGGAACAAAATGTGGAGGAGGAAGACAGTGATATTGATGATCCTTATCCTGTGTAGACCTAGACTAATGTGTGTGTATGTGTCTTAGTTTTTAACAAGAAAGTTTAAAAAGTAAAAAAATAAATGAGTAAAAGAACTGAAAAATAGAAAAAAGCTTATAGAATAAGGATATAAAGAGATAAAATATTTTTGTAAAGCTGAACCTGTATTTGTGTTTTAAGCTATGTGTTATTAAAAAGAAGCAAAAAGTTAAAAAAATGTAAAAAGTTTATAAAGTAGAAAAGTTACAGAAAGCAAGGTGATGTCAGCCAAGCAGCAGAATAGAAGATCCTCTGGCATCACTCTCCCTACAAAAATACAACTAGAAATGTTTAAAAACAAGAATACCACCCTGAATATACCAGAACTTGGAGGAGAAGCTGAGAAACCCCATAGACTCACAGGATCGAGATAAGCCATGACTGGTAAGAGAAAAGGTCGTTTCAGTCTGTGCCACTTCCTTCCCCAAGCTGGCATAATGCCACTCACAGAGAATTTTTCTAGACCTATGGCTTATAGGGTGATAGGAGGGAATTGGAGGTGGACATTCATTTTTGCCACTGGTCTGGAATCTTTGTGAGAAGCCTACTCCAGATGCACTCCATAGGAACCATGGGGAACACCAGGAGGGTTGTACCATCTGGGGGTGAATTGGGGGCACACAGGGGCACTGAGCACAGTGACTGGTGTGCAGATCTTGGTGGCTCTTTAGCTCTCCAATCAGCAGGGACACCATGTTGAAGAGACAGGCCAGTGCCATAGTGCTGCAAGGGGTACAGTTCATGGAAAGGCTGGAATACCTAGCTGCATTTTCCACAAAGCCTAGGCATTTGAATCAAGCCTTCCCCTGACCTAGAAATAACTAAAAGGCTGGGATTAAGTTCTGGTGCCCATTTATGTTTTTCCTAGATTAGGAAGCAATAACGGGACAGCAATATAGTTCTGGGGTAAAGTTTTAGTTCTGATGCTCCCTACAAGTTCTGCGCAGAATGGGAAACGATGACAAGCCAGCGTTTAAGTTCCGATATGAAGAAGTAAAGGTCTAACACCACGAAAGAACACCTGTAAAAACTAGGAGAGGTAGCTCTCTCCTTAAATGTGCAGGCATCAACAAAAAGACACAAGGATTGTGAAAACTCAGGGAGATTTAATACCACCAAAAAATACTAACAAAGCTCTAGCAGTGGACCCAGAAGCATTGAAGATCTATGAAATGTCTGATAAAGAATTCAGAATAAGGCCAGGCATGGTGGCTCATGCCTGTAATCCTAGCACTTTGGGAGTCTGAGGTGGGCAGATTGCTTGAGGTCAGGAGTTTGAGACCAGCTTGGCCAACATGGTAAAACCCAGTCTCTACTAAAAGTACAAAAATTAGCCAGTTGTGGTGGTAGGCACCTATAGTTCCAGCTACTCAGGAGGCCGAGGCAGGAGAATCACTTGAACCCAGGAGGCAAAGGTTGCAGTGAGCCAAGATTGTGCCACTACACATCAGCCTGGGTAATAGAACAAGACTCTGTCTCCAAAAAAAAAAAATTATTCAGAATAACTGACTTAAATAATTTCAGGGAGTCGTTTTGCCTGCTGCCATCCATGTAAAATATGACTTGCCCTTCCTTGCCTTCTGTCATGATTGTGAGGCCTCCCTAGCCATGTGGAGCTGTGAGTCCATTAAATCTCTTTTTCTTCCAGTCTTGGGTATGTCTTTACCAGCAGTGTGAACACTTACACTGTAAATTGGTACCAGTAGATTGTGTTGCTGCCATAGATACCTGAAAATGTGGAAGTGACTTTGGAACCGGGTAATAGGCAGGGGTTGCAACAGTTTGGAGGGCTCAGAAGAAGACAGGAAATGTGGGAAAGTTTGGAATTTCCTAGAGAAATTTTGCCCAAAATTCTTTGCCCAAAATGCTGAAGGTGATATGGACAACAAAGCCCAGGCTGAGGTGGTCTCAGATGGAAATGAGGAACTTGTTGGGAACTGGAGCAAAGATGCCTCTTGTTATGTTTTAGAAAAGAGCCAGTGGCATTTTTCACCTGCCCTAGAGATTTGTGGAACTTTGAACTTGAGAGAGATGATTTAGGGTATCTGGTGGAAGAAATTTCTAAGCAGCAAAGCACTTAGGTGACTTGGGTGCTGTTAAAGATATTCAGTTTTATAAGGGAAGCAAAGCATGAAAGTTCAGAAAATTTGCAGCCGGACAGTGCAATAGAAAAGAAAATCCCGGTTGAGTGTGGTGGCTCATGCCTGTAATCCTAGCACTTTGGGAGGCTGAGGCGGGTGGATCACAAGGTCAGGAGTTTGAGACCAGCCTGGCCAATATATTAGTAGAAGGAAAGAAATAATAAAGATCAGAGCAGAAATGAATGAATTTGAGACTAAAAAAAATTACAAAAGATCACCCTGAAACTATTGCTATTAATTACATATTCCGGGACCTTATTGTGTATTATGTAGAGTTTCAAACAGAAGTATTTTTGTAAGAAGAATTATTACTATCATAAAATAATATTTCTTCAAAACTGTTACAATAATTGTTTGTTCCTTCATTAATTACATAGTTATATAAAACTTTTGCAGAAGATGCTGATATATCACTGAGAGCCATGATTTGTTCAGAGTGAGATTTGTAATTATGGAAATACAAAGTACAAAGTTAATATTTGACATCTATTTGAAAGCATGTTACAGAAACACTGACTTTTGTTTTAAGTAAAGATAAGCTGACTTAAAAAATCAATGAATTTAAAAGTTGGTTTTTTTTAAATATGAAAATCAACAAACCTTTGGCTAGACTAAGAAAAAAGAGAGAAGACCCAAATAAATAAAATCAGAGATGAAAACGTTACAACTGATAACCACAGAAATACAAAGGATCATTATAGAATCTCATGAACAACTATATGCCAACAAATTGAAAAACTTAGACGAAATGAATAAATTCCTATATACATAACCTATCAGAATTGAACCATGAAGAAATAGGAAACCTGAACAGACTAATAGTGAGTTATGAGATTGAAGCAGCAATCAGAAGTTCCCCAACAAAGCTCAGGACCCAATGTCTTCACTACTGAATTCTAACAAATGTGTAAAGGAAAGCTAATACCATTTGTATTCAAACTATTTCAGAAAATTGAGGAGGGAATACTCCAAACTCGTTCTACAAGGCTAGCATCACTCTCACACCAAAACCAGGCAAAGCCATAACAAAAAAGAAAAAAAAAACAAAAACAGAAAACTACAGGCCAATATCCCCAATGAACATAGATGCAGAAATCTTCAACGAAACACTAGCAAACCAAATTCAACAACACACTGAAAAGATCATTTAGCACAATCAAGTGTGATTTACACCAGGGATGCAAGGATGGTTCATCATATGTAAATTAATAAATATGACACATCTGATTAACAGAATCAAGAATAAAAATTATATGGTCATTTCAATAGATACTGAAAAAGTATTCAATACAATTTAACATCCCTTCATGATAAAAACTCTGAACAAACTGAGTATAGAAGGAGAATACCTGAAATCAATAAAGACCATATATGACCAAACCACAGCTAATAATTTGTTTATCAGTTCTAACAGTTTTTTGGTGGAGTCTTTAGGTTTTCCTAAATATAAGATCATGTCATCTGTGAAAAAGGATAAATTGGCTTTCTCCTTTCCAATTTGGATATCCTTTATACAAAACCAGCATGCAAAAATCAGTAGTATTTTTATACACCAACAGTGAACAATCTGAGAAATTAAGAAAGTAATCCCATTTACAATAGCTACAAGAATATAAAACACCTAGGGATAAATTTAACCAAAAAATAAAACACCTAGGAAAAAATTTAACCATTTTTTATAATGCAAATGATAAAATATGAAGAAAGAAATCAAAGAGGACACAAACAAATGGAAAGATGTCCCATGATCATGTATTGGGAGAATTAATATTGTTGAAGTGTTCATACTGCCCAAAGTGATCTACAGATTCAATGCAATCCCTCTCAAAATACCAATGACATTCTTTACAGAATAGAAGAAAAATTCTAAAATTTGTATGGACCCACAAAAGACTCTGAATAGTCAAAAGAATTGTGAGCAAAAATAACACAGTTGAGGGCATCACACTTTTTGACTTCAAAATATATTACAAAGTCATAATAACCAGAACAGCATGGTACTGGCATAAAAATGGACACATAGACCAATGGAACAGAATAGAGAACTCAGAAATAAATCCATACATTTACAGCCAATTTATTTTCAACAAAGCCTCCAGAAACATACACTGTGGAAAGGACAGCCTCTTTAATACACGATACTGGGGAAACTGTATATCCATATGCAGAAGAATGAAACTAGATCCCTATCTCTCACCATATACAAAAACAAAATAAATGCATTAAAGATTTAAATGTAAGACTTGAAACTATGAAACTGCTAGAGGAAAACATTGGGGAAATACTTGAGGACATTGGTCTGGGCAAAGATTTTTTTTTTTTTTATTATACTTTAAGTTCTAGGGTACATGTGCACAACGTGCAGGTTTGTTACATATGTATACACGTGCCATGTTGGTGTGCTGCATCCATTAACTCGTCATTTACATTAGGTATATCTCCTAATGCTATCCCTCCCCCCTCCCTCCACCCCACAACAGGCCCCGGTGTGTGATGTTCCCCATCCAGTGTCCAAGTGTTCTCATTGTTCAGTTCCCACCTATGAGTGAGAACATGCGGTGTTTGGTTTTCTGTCCTTGTGATAGTTTGCTCAGAATGATGGTTTCCAGCTTCATCTATGTCCCTACAAAGGACATGAACTCATCCTTTTTTATGGCTGCATAGTATTCCATAGTGTATATGTGGGTCTGGGCAAAGATTTTTTTGGATAAGACCCCAAAAGCACAGGCAACAAAAGCGAAAATAGACAAATGGGATTACATTAAGTTAAAAAGCTTTTGCACAGCAAAGGAAACAACAGAGTGAAGCAACAACCTACAGAATGGAAGAAAATATTTACAAACTCTCCATCCACAAGGAATTCATAACCAGAATAGATAAGGAACTCAAACAATTCAATAGCAAAATAATGAACAATCTGATTTTAAAAATGAGCAAATGACCTGAATAACTTCTCAGAAGAAGACATACAGGGCTAGGTGCAGTGGCTCACGCCTGTAATCCCATCACTTTGGGAGGCTGAGACGGGCAGATCACCTGAGGTCAGGAGTTCGAGACCAGCCTGGTCAACATGGTGAAACCTCATCTCTAGGAAAAATACAAAATTAGCCAGGCGTGGTGGCGCATGCCTGTAATCCCAGCTACTAGGGAGGCTGAGGCAGGAGAATCACTTGAACCCGGGAGGCGGAGGTTTCAGTGAGCCGAGATTGCACCATTGCACTCCAGCCTGGGCAACAAGAATGAAACTCCGTCTCAACAGAAACAAACAAAAAACAAAAAAGAAGACATACAAATGGCCAACTCTATATGAAAAAATTCTTATCGCTAATCATAAGGGAAATGCAAATCAAAACAACAATGTGATATTTTGCCCCAGTTAAAATGGCTATTCTCCAAAAGGAAAAGTAACAGATGCTAGTGAGGATGTGGAGAAAGGGAGAAGCCAGTGCACTGTTGGTAGGAATTTAAATTAGTACATCCATCATGGAAACAGTATGGAGGTTCCTCAGAAAACTAAAAATAGTCTACCGTATGATCCAGCAATCCCACTGCTGGATATATATCCAAAAGAAAAGAGATACCTGCATTCCCATGTTTATTGCAGCACTATTTACAGTAGCCAAGATATGGAATCAACCTAAGTGCCCATCAGTGGATGAATGGATAAAGAAAATGTGGTAAATATACACAGCGGAATATTATTCAGCCATAAATGACAATGAAATCCTGTCATTTGCAGCAACTTGGGTGGAACTGGAGGTCATTATCTTAAATAAGCCAGGCACAGAAAGACAAATATTGCATGATTTCACTCATGTGGGGGATGAACAAGTTAATGCCATGGAAGTAGAGAGTAGACTGATGGTTCCAAGGAGCTGAGCAGGGTAGGGTGGGGGGGATGAAGAGAGGTTGGTTAGTGAGTACAAAAATATAGTTAGAAAGAAGGAATAAGTTCTAGTGTTTGATAGCACAGTAGGGTGACTGTAGTTAACAGTAATTTATTTTATATTTCAAAATAGCTAGAAGACAAAATTTGGAATGTTTCCAGCATAAAGAAATGATAAATGTTTGAGGTAATGGATAGCCTAATTACCCTGATTTGATCATTACACATTGTGTGAATGTATGAAAATCTCACAGGTACCCCATAAATATGTGCAATTATCATATATCAATAAAAAGTTACAGTAAGCTAGTTTATTATTGAAGAAAGAAAAAGTTTTAAAAATAAATTTAGTGTAGCCTAAGTGTACAAGTATTTGCACAGTGTACAGTAGTATGCAATAATGACCTGTGCCTTCACATTCACTCACTACTGACTCACTGTTGTACCCAGAGTATCTTCCTGTCCTGCAAGCTGCATTCGTGGTAAGCGCCCTATACAGGTGTATCATTTAAAAAATATTTTATCTGTGTTTTTACTATACCTTTTCTATGTTTAGATACACAAATACCATCGTGTTACAATTGCCTACAGTATTTAATACAGTAAAATGCTATACAGGTTTGTAGCCTAGGAACAAGAGGCTATACCACATAGCCTGTGTGTGTAGTAGGTTGGCCCATCTAGGTTTGTGTAAGCGCACTCTATGATGTTTGCACAATGATAAATTACCCAATGACACAGTTCTCAAATGTATTCCCATTGTTAAGCAACACATGACTGTATTTTGAAATTAGGAGGTGTGATACCTCTAGCTTTGTTCTTTTTGCTCAGGATTGTATTGGTCATTCATCTCTCTTCTTGTTTTGAAGTTATTTCTAGGCATACCTTACCTTCCTAACTAGACCTTTATGTTTCTTGAGACCAAAGCCTGTGAAGGATGAGTCTGCTTCTTTCACTGTGCCTAATACAGTCCCTTGCACATGGTAGGCTCTTAATATAAATTTCTTAAACTAATTTGTAAGTTAATTGTTGGTGGCTAGATTGCCCTTAAAGAGTACTTAGTAATCTTTAAACAAACGCATTCAGGGGACTGTTATGCATATAAATACTTTGTAACATTAGTAATCTTAAATTTGTATTTTCCTTCAAGGGGATACTACTTGATTGGGATATTTATATTTCGTTTTGCCCAATTTAGTGACACTGATTCACAGAGATTATTTTAGATTCATAAATGGTGCTGTCATTTCTATTTTTGCCTCTCTTTTAAAGGTTTGCATGCTTATTTAGCTGTAAAAAAGGATGAAAAGAACAAATCAACACCCTCACTGGTTGTTGATTCCCAGTAGAAAGAAATAGATTTGAAAGCATGTCTAGGTAATGGATTTATTTTGATTGTTTTGAGTTTTCCAAGTGCATGTGGCTTCAGATGAGGTTGGAATAATCCCACAAAGAATTTCCTTATTCATTGGTTCATTTGGACTTACACTTCTGGTAGGCAGCTTCCTATTTGTAAGATTTTATTAAAAATCATTTCCCTTTCAGAAGTTGTGCCCTTCACTTCTCTCTGAATAAACATTTGAAAAGCTTTTGGATTGCTCTTCAATCTATGACTGTAAGCAGGACCGTGTCATGGTTTTAGCTGATGCAGTTTTTAGAATATTTCTTATTGGAATAACATTATCTCAGGGCAATATTTAAATATAAGAGGGAGTGATTTATTTCTCATAGAAACATTTGTCTCTAAGGAC